>NC_000018.10:17202206-17527844 GCF_000001405.40 Homo sapiens
TTGAAACACTCTTTTTCTGGAATCTGCAAGAGTATATTTGCCTAGCCTTGAGGATTTCGTTGGAAACGGGATTGTATTCAGAGAAAATCTAGACAGAAGCATTCTCAGAAACTTCTTTGGGATGTTTGCATTCAAGTCACAGAGTAGAACATTCCCTTTGGTAGAGCAGGTTTGAAACACTCTTTTTTTAGTATATGGAAGTGGACATTTTGATCGCTTTCAGGCCTACGTTGGAAAAGGAAATATCTTCCCATAACAACTAGACAGAAGCATTCTCAGAAACTAGTTTCTGATGTGTGTCCTCAACTAACACAGTTGAACATTTCTTTAGACAGAACAGTTTTGAAACACTCTTTTTGTGGAATCTGCAAGTGGCTATTTGGCTAGATTTGAGGATTTCGTTGGAAACGGGATTACATATAAAAAGCAGTCAGCAGCATTCTCAGAAAGTTCTTTGTGATGATTGCATTCAAGTCACAGAATTGAACATTCCCTTTCACAGAGCAGGTTTGAAACACTCTTTTTGTAGTGTGTGTAAGTGGACATTTGGAGCACTTACCAGCCTAAGGTGAAAAAGGAAATATCTTCCCATAAAAACTAGACAGAAGCATTCTCAGAAACTTACTCGTGATGTGTGTCCTCAACTAAAGGAGTAGAACCTTTCTTTTCATAGAGAAGTTTTGAAACGCTCTTTTTGTGGAATCTGCAAGTGGATATTTGGCTAGTTTTGAGGATTTCGTTGGAAGCGGGAATTCATACAAATTGCAGACTGCAGCGTTCTGAGAAACATCTTTGTGATGTTTGTATTCAGGACACAGAGTTGAACATTCCCTATCATAGAGCAGGTTTGAATCACTCCTTTTGTAGTATCTGGAAGTGGACATTTGGAGCGCTTTCAGGCCTATGTTGGAAAAGGAAATATCTTCCCATAACAACTAGACAGAAGCATTCTCAGAAACTTATTTGAGATGTGTGTACTCAACTAAGAGAATTGAACCACCGTTTTGAAGGAGCAGTTTTGAAACTCTCTTTTTCTGGAATCTGCAAGTGGATATTTGGCTAGCTTTGGGGATTTCGCTGGAAGCGGGAATACATATAAAAAGCACACAGCAGCGTTCTGAGAAACTGCTTTCTGATGTTTGCATTCAAGTCAAAAGTTGAACACTCCCTTTCATAGAGCAGTCTTGAAACACCCCTTTTGTAGTATCTGGAACTGGACTTTTGGAGCGATTTCAGGGCTAAGGTGAAAAAGGAAATATCTTCCCATAAAAACTGGACAGAAGCATTCTCAGAAACTTGTTTATGCTGTATCTACTCAACTAACAAAGTTGAACCTTTCTTTTGATAGAGCAGTTTTGAAATGGTCTTTTTGTGGAATCTGCAAGTGGATATTTGGCTAGTTTTGAGGATTTCGTTGGAAGCGGGAATTCATACAAATTGCAGACTGCAGCGTTCTGAGAAACATCTTTGTGATGTTTGTATTCAGGACACAGAGTTGAACATTCCCTATCATAGAGCAGGTTGGAATCACTCCTTTTGTAGTATCTGGAAGTGGACATTTGGAGCGCTTTCAGGCCTATTTTGGAAAGGGAAATATCTTCCCGTAACAACTATGCAGAAGCATTCTCAGAAACTTGTTTGTGATGTGTGCCCTCTACTGACAGAGTTGAACCTTTCTTTTCATAGAGCAGTTTTGAAACACTCTTTTTGTAGAATCTGCAAGAGGATATTTGCATAGCTTTGAGGATTTCGTGGGAAACGGGATTGTCTTCAGGTAAAATCTAGACAGAAGCATTCTCAGAAACTTCTTTGGGATGTTTGCATTCAAGTCACAGAGTAGAACATTCCCTTTGGTAGAGCAGGTTTGAAACACTCTTTTTGTAGTATCTGGAAGTGGACATTTGGAGCGCTTTCAGGCCCATGTTGGAAAGGGAAATATCTTCCCGTAACAACTAGGCAGAAGCATTCTCAGAAACTTATTTGAGATGTGTGTACTCAACTAAGAGAATTGAACCACCGTTTTGAAGGAGCAGTTTTGAAACACTCTTTTTCTGGAATCTGCAAGAGTATATTTGCCTAGCCTTGAGGATTTCGTTGGAAACGGGATTGTCTTCAGAGAAAATCTAGACAGAAGCATTCTCAGAAACTTCTTTGGGATGTTTGCATTCAAGTCACAGAGTAGAACATTCCCTTTGGTAGAGCAGGTTTGAAACACTCTTTTTTTAGTATATGGAAGTGGATATTTGGAGAGCTTTCAGGCCTACGTTGGAAAAGGAAATATCTTCCCATAACAACTAGACAGAAGCATTCTCAGAAACTAGTTTCTGATGTGTGTCCTCAACTAACACAGTTGAACATTTCTTTAGACAGAACAGTTTTGAAACACTCTTTTTGTGGAATCTGCAAGTGGATATTTGGCTAGATTTGAGGATTTCGTTGGAAACGGGATTACATATAAAAAGCAGTCAGCAGCATTCTCAGAAAGTTCTTTGTGATGATTGCATTCAAGTCACAGAATTGAACATTCCCTTTCACAGAGCAGGTTTGAAACACTCTTTTTGTAGTGTGTGTAAGTGGACATTTGGAGCACTTACCGGCCTAAGGTGAAAAAGGAAATATCTTCCCATAAAAACTAGACAGAAGCATTCTCAGAAACTTACTCGTGATGTGTGTCCTCAACTAAAGGAGTAGAACCTTTCTTTTCATAGAGAAGTTTTGAAACGCTCTTTTTGTGGAATCTGCAAGTGGATATTTGGCTAGTTTTGAGGATTTCGTTGGAAGCGGGAATTCATACAAATTGCAGACTGCAGCGTTCTGAGAAACATCTTTGTGATGTTTGTATTCAGGACACAGAGTTGAACATTCCCTATCATAGAGCAGGTTGGAATCACTCCTTTTGTAGTATCTGGAAGTGGACATTTGGAGCGCTTTCAGGCCTATGTTGGAAAAGGAAATATCTTCCCATAACAACTAGACAGAAGCATTCTCAGAAACTTATTTGAGATGTGTGTACTCAACTAAGAGAATTGAACCACCGTTTTGAAGGAGCAGTTTTGAAACTCTCTTTTTCTGGAATCTGCAAGTGGATATTTGGCTAGCTTTGGGGATTTCGCTGGAAGCGGGAATACATATAAAAAGCACACAGCAGCGTTCTGAGAAACTGCTTTCTGATGTTTGCATTCAAGTCAAAAGTTGAACACTCCCTTTCATAGAGCAGTCTTGAAACACCCCTTTTGTAGTATCTGGAACTGGACTTTTGGAGCGATTTCAGGGCTAAGTTGAAAAAGGAAATATCTTCCCATAAAAACTGGACAGAAGCATTCTCAGAAACTTGGTTATGCTGTATCTACTCAACTAACAAAGTTGAACCTTTCTTTTGATAGAGCAGTTTTGAAATGGTCTTTTTGTGGAATCTGCAAGTGGATATTTGGCTAGTTTTGAGGATTTCGTTGGAAGCGGGAATTCATACAAATTGCAGACTGCAGCGTTCTGAGAAACATCTTTGTGATGTTTGTATTCAGGACACAGAGTTGAACATTCCCTATCATAGAGCAGGTTGGAATCACTCCTTTTGTAGTATCTGGAAGTGGACATTTGGAGTGCTTTCAGGCCTATGTTGGAAAAGGAAATATCTTCCCATAACAACTAGACAGAAGCATTCTCAGAAACTTATTTGAGATGTGTGTACTCAACTAAGAGAATTGAACCACCGTTTTGAAGGAGCAGTTTTGAAACACTCTTTTTCTGGAATCTGCAAGTGGATATTTGGCTAGCTTTGGGGATTTCGCTGGAAGCGGGAATACATATAAAAAGCACACAGCAGCGTTCTGAGAAACTGCTTTCTGATGTTTGCATTCAAGTCAAAAGTTGAACACTCCCTTTCATAGAGCAGTCCTGAAACACTCCTTTTGTAGTATCTGGAACTGGACTTTTGGAGCGCTTTCAGGGCTAAGGTGAAAAAGGAAATATCTTCCCATAAAAACTGGACAGAAGCATTCTCAGAAACTTGTTTATGCTGTATCTACTCAACTAACAAAGTTGAACCTTTCTTTTGATAGAGCAGTTTTGAAATGCTCTTTTTGTGGAATCTGCAAGTGGATATTTGGCTAGTTTTGAGGATTTCGTTGGAAGCGGGAATTCATACAAATTGCAGACTGCAGCGTTCTGAGAAACATCTTTGTGATGTTTGTATTCAGGACAGAGAGTTGAACATTCCCTATCATAGAGCAGGTTGGAATCACTCCTTTTGTAGTATCTGGAAGTGGACATTTGGAGCGCTTTCAGGCCTATGTTGAAAAAGGAAATATCTTCCCATAACAACTAGACACAAGCATTCTCAGAAACTTGTTTGTGATGTGTGCCCTCTACTGACAGAGTTGAACCTTTCTTTTCATAGAGCAGTTTTGAAACACTCTTTTTGTAGAATCTGCAAGAGGATATTAGCATAGCTTTGAGGATTTCGTGGGAAACGGGATTGTCTTCAGGTAAAATCTAGACAGAAGCATTCTCAGAAACTTCTTTGGGATGTTTGCATTCAAGTCACAGTAGTAGAACATTCCCTTTGGTAGAGCAGGTTTGAAACACTCTTTTTGTAGTATCTGGAAGTGGACATTTGGAGCGCTTTCAGGCCTATGTTGGAAAGGGAAATATCTTCCCGTAACAACTAGGCAGAAGCATTCTCAGAAACTTATTTGAGATGTGTGTACTCAACTAAGAGAATTGAACCACCGTTTTGAAGGAGCAGTTTTGAAAGCCTCTTTTTCTGGAATCTGCAAGAGTATATTTGCCTAGCCTTGAGGATTTCGTTGGAAACGGGATTGTCTTCAGATAAAATCTAGACAGAAGCATTCTCAGAAACTTCTTTGGGATGTTTGCATTCAAGTCACAGAGTAGAACATTCCCTTTGGTAGAGCAGGTTTGAAACACTCTTTTTTTAGTATATGGAAGTGGACATTTGGAGCGCTTTCAGGCCTACGTTGGAAAAGGAAATATCTTCCCATAACAACTAGACAGAAGCATTCTCAGAAACTAGTTTCTGATGTGTGTCCTCAACTAACACAGTTGTACATTTCTTTAGACAGAACAGTTTTGAAACACTCTTTTTGTGGAATCTGCAAGTGGATATTGGGCTAGATTTGAGGATTTCGTTGGAAACGGGATTACATATAAAAAGCAGTCAGCAGCATTCTCAGAAAGTTCTTTGTGATGATTGCATTCAAGTCACAGAATTGAACATTCCCTTTCACAGAGCAGGTTTGAAACACTCTTTTTGTAGTGTGTGTAAGTGGACATTTGGAGCGCTTTCCGGCCTAAGGTGAAAAAGGACATATCTTCCCATAAAAACTAGACAGAAGCATTCTCAGAAACTTACTCGTGATGTGTGTCCTCAACTAAAGGAGTAGAACCTTTCTATTCATAGAGAAGTTTTGAAACGCTCTTTTTGTGGAATCTCCAAGTGGATATTTGGCTAGTGTTGAGGATTTCGTTGGAAGCGGGAATTCATACAAATTGCAGACTGCAGCGTTCTGAGAAACATCTTTGTGATGTTTGTATTCAGGACACAGAGATGAACATTCCCTATCATAGAGCAGGTTGGAATCACTCCTTTTGTAGTATCTGGAAGTGGACATTTGGAGCGCTTTCAGGCCTATGTTGAAAAAGGAAATATCTTCCCATAACAACTAGACACAAGCATTCTCAGAAACTTGTTTGTGATGTGTGCCCTCTACTGACAGAGTTGAACCTTTCTTTTCATAGAGCAGTTTTGAAACACTCTTTTTGTAGAATCCGCAAGAGCATATTTGCATAGCTTTGAGGATTTCGTGGGAAACGGGATTGTCTTCAGGTAAAATCTAGAAAGAAGCATTCTCAGAAACTTCTTTGGGATGTTTGCATTCAAGTCACAGAGTAGAACATTCCCTTTGGTAGAGCAGGTTTGAAACACTCTTTTTGTAGTATCTGGAAGTGGACATTTGGAGCGCTTTCAGGCCCATGTTGGAAAGGGAAATATCTTCCCGTAACAACTAGGCAGAAGCATTCTCAGAAACTTATTTGAGATGTGTGTACTCAACTAAGAGAATTGAACCACCGTTTTGAAGGAGCAGTTTTGAAACACTCTTTTTCTGGAATCTGCAAGAGTATATTTGCCTAGCCTTGAGGATTTCGTTGGAAACGGGATTGTCTTCAGAGAAAATCTAGACAGAAGCATTCTCAGAAACTTCTTTGGGATGCTTGCATTCAAGTCACAGAGTAGAACATTCCCTTTGGTAGAGCAGGTTTGAAACACTCTTTTTTTAGTATCTGGAAGTGGACATTTGGAGCGCTTTCAGGCCTACGTTGGAAAAGGAAATATCTTCCCATAACAACTAGACAGAAGCATTCTCAGAAACTAGTTTCTGATGTGTGTCCTCAACTAACACAGTTGAACATTTCTTTAGACAGAACAGTTTTGAAACACTCTTTTTGTGGAATCTGCAAGTGGCTATTTGGCTAGATTTGAGGATTTCGTTGGAAACGGGATTACATATAAAAAGCAGTCAGCGGCATTCTCAGAAAGTTCTTTGTGATGATTGCATTCAAGTCACAGAATTGAACATTCCCTTTCACAGAGCAGGTTTGAAACACTCTTTTTGTAGTGTGTGTAAGTGGACATTTGGAGCACTTACCGGCCTAAGGTGAAAAAGGAAATAATCTTCCCATAAAAACTAGACAGAAGCATTCTCAGAAACTTACTCGTGATGTGTGTCCTCAACTAAAGGAGTAGAACCTTTCTTTTCATAGAGAAGTTTTGAAACGCTCTTTTTGTGGAATCTGCAAGTGGATATTTGGCTAGTTTTGAGGATTTCGTTGGAAGCGGGAATTCATACAAATTGCAGACTGCAGCGTTCTGAGAAACATCTTTGTGATGTTTGTATTCAGGACACAGAGTTGAACATTCCCTATCATAGAGCAGGTTGGAATCACTCCTTTTGTAGTATCTGGAAGTGGACATTTGGAGCGCTTTCAGGCCTATGTTGGAAAAGGAAATATCTTCCCATAACAACTAGACAGAAGCATTCTCAGAAACTTATTTGAGATGTGTGTACTCAACTAAGAGAATTGAACCACCGTTTTGAAGGAGCAGTTTTGAAACTCTCTTTTTCTGGAATCTGCAAGTGGATATTTGGCTAGCTTTGGGGATTTCGCTGGAAGCGGGAATACATATAAAAAGCACACAGCAGCGTTCTGAGAAACTGCTTTCTGATGTTTGCATTCAAGTCAAAAGTTGAACACTCCCTTTCATAGAGCAGTCTTGAAACACCCCTTTTGTAGTATCTGGAACTGGACTTTTGGAGCGATTTCAGGGCTAAGGTGAAAAAGGAAATATCTTCCCATAAAAACTGGACAGAAGCATTCTCAGAAACTTGGTTATGCTGTATCTACTCAACTAACAAAGTTGAACCTTTCTTTTGATAGAGCAGTTTTGAAATGGTCTTTTTGTGGAATCTGCAAGTGGATATTTGGCTAGTTTTGAGGATTTCGTTGGAAGCGGGAATTCATACAAATTGCAGACTGCAGCGTTCTGAGAAACATCTTTGTGATGTTTGTATTCAGGACACAGAGTTGAACATTCCCTATCATAGAGCAGGTTGGAATCACTCCTTTTGTAGTATCTGGAAGTGGACATTTGGAGCGCTTTCAGGCCTATTTTGGAAAGGGAAATATCTTCCCGTAACAACTATGCAGAAGCATTCTCAGAAACTTGTTTGTGATGTGTGCCCTCTACTGACAGAGTTGAACCTTTCTTTTCATAGAGCAGTTTTGAAACACTCTTTTTGTAGAATCTGCAAGAGGATATTTGCATAGCTTTGAGGATTTCGTGGGAAACGGGATTGTCTTCAGGTAAAATCTAGACAGAAGCATTCTCAGAAACTTCTTTGGGATGTTTGCATTCAAGTCACAGAGTAGAACATTCCCTTTGGTAGAGCAGGTTTGAAACACTCTTTTTGTAGTATCTGGAAGTGGACATTTGGAGCGCTTTCAGGCCCATGTTGGAAAAGGAAATATCTTCCCGTAACAACTAGGCAGAAGCATTCTCAGAAACTTATTTGAGATGTGTGTACTCAACTAAGAGAATTGAACCACCGTTTTGAAGGAGCAGTTTTGAAACACTCTTTTTCTGGAATCTGCAAGAGTATATTTGCCTAGCCTTGAGGATTTCGTTGGAAACGGGATTGTCTTCAGAGAAAATCTAGACAGAAGCATTCTCAGAAACTTCTTTGGGATGTTTGCATTCAAGTCACAGAGTAGAACATTCCCTTTGGTAGAGCAGGTTTGAAACACTCTTTTTTTAGTATATGGAAGTGGACATTTTGATCGCTTTCAGGCCTACGTTGGAAAAGGAAATATCTTCCCATAACAACTAGACAGAAGCATTCTCAGAAACTAGTTTCTGATGTGTGTCCTCAACTAACACAGTTGAACATTTCTTTAGACAGAACAGTTTTGAAACACTCTTTTTGTGGAATCTGCAAGTGGCTATTTGGCTAGATTTGAGGATTTCGTTGGAAACGGGATTACATATAAAAAGCAGTCAGCAGCATTCTCAGAAAGTTCTTTGTGATGATTGCATTCAAGTCACAGAATTGAACATTCCCTTTCACAGAGCAGGTTTGAAACACTCTTTTTGTAGTGTGTGTAAGTGGACATTTGGAACCCTTACCGGCCTAAGGTGAAAAAGGAAATATCTTCCCATAAAAACTAGACAGAAGCATTCTCAGAAACTTACTCGTGATGTGTGTCCTCAACTAAAGGAGTAGAACCTTTCTTTTCATAGAGAAGTTTTGAAACGCTCTTTTTGTGGAATCTGCAAGTGGATATTTGGCTAGTTTTGAGGATTTCGTTGGAAGCGGGAATTCATACAAATTGCAGACTGCAGCGTTCTGAGAAACATCTTTGTGATGTTTGTATTCAGGACACAGATTTGAACATTCCCTATCATAGAGCAGGTTTGAATCACTCCTTTTGTAGTATCTGGAAGTGGACATTTGGAGCGCTTTCAGGCCTATGTTGGAAAAGGAAATATCTTCCCATAACAACTAGACAGAAGCATTCTCAGAAACTTATTTGAGATGTGTGTACTCAACTAAGAGAATTGAACCACCGTTTTGAAGGAGCAGTTTTGAAACACTCTTTTTCTGGAATCTGCAAGTGGATATTTGGCTAGCTTTGGGGATTTCGCTGGAAGCGGGAATACATATAAAAAGCACACAGCAGCGTTCTGAGAAACTGCTTTCTGATGTTTGCATTCAAGTCAAAAGTTGAACACTCCCTTTCATAGAGCAGTCTTGAAACACCCCTTTTGTAGTATCTGGAACTGGACTTTTGGAGCGATTTCAGGGCTAAGGTGAAAAAGGAAATATCTTCCCATAAAAACTGGACAGAAGCATTCTCAGAAACTTGGTTATGCTGTATCTACTCAACTAACAAAGTTGAACCTTTCTTTTGATAGAGCAGTTTTGAAATGGTCTTTTTGTGGAATCTGCAAGTGGATATTTGGCTAGTTTTGAGGATTTCGTTGGAAGGGGGAATTCATACAAATTGCAGACTGCAGCGTTCTGAGAAACATCTTTGTGATGTTTGTATTCAGGACACAGAGTTGAACATTCCCTATCATAGAGCAGGTTGGAATCACTCCTTTTGTAGTATCTGGAAGTGGACATTTGGAGCGCTTTCAGGCCTATGTTGGAAAAGGAAATATCTTCCCATAACAACTAGACAGAAGCATTCTCAGAAACTTATTTGAGATGTGTCTACTCAACTAAGAGAATTGAACCACCGTTTTGAAGGAGCAGTTTTGAAACACTCTTTTTCTGGAATCTGCAAGTGGATATTTGGCTAGCTTTGGGGATTTCGCTGGAAGCGGGAATACATATAAAAAGCACACAGCAGCGTTCTGAGAAACTGCTTTCTGATGTTTGCATTCAAGTCAAAAGTTGAACACTCCCTTTCATAGAGCAGTCCTGAAACACCCCTTTTGTAGTATCTGGAACTGGACTTTTGGAGCGATTTCAGGGCTAAGGTGAAAAAGGAAATATCTTCCCATAAAAACTGGACAGAAGCATTCTCAGAAACTTGTTTATGCTGTATCTACTCAACTAACATAGTTGAACCTTTCTTTTGATAGAGCAGTTTTGAAATGCTCTTTTTGTGGAATCTGCAAGTGGATATTTGGCTAGTTTTGAGGATTTCGTTGGAAGCGGGAATTCATACAAATTGCAGACTGCAGCGTTCTGAGAAACATCTTTGTGATGTTTGTATTCAGGACAGAGAGTTGAACATTCCCTATCATAGAGCAGGTTGGAATCACTCCTTTTGTAGTATCTGGAAGTGGACATTTGGAGCGCTTTCAGGCCTATGTTGAAAAAGGAAATATCTTCCCATAACAACTAGACACAAGCATTCTCAGAAACTTGTTTGTGATGTGTGCCCTCTACTGACAGAGTTGAACCTTTCTTTTCATAGAGCAGTTTTGAAACACTCTTTTTGTAGAATCTGCAAGAGGATATTTGCATAGCTTTGAGGATTTCGTGGGAAACGGGATTGTCTTCAGGTAAAATCTAGACAGAAGCATTCTCAGAAACTTCTTTGGGATGTTTGCATTCAAGTCACAGAGTAGAACATTCCCTTTGGTAGAGCAGGTTTGAAACACTCTTTTTGTTGTATCTGGAAGTGGACATTTGGAGCGCTTTCAGGCCTATGTTGGAAAGGGAAATATCTTCCCGTAACAACTAGGCAGAAGCATTCTCAGAAACTTATTTGAGATGTGTGTACTCAACTAAGAGAATTGAACCACCGTTTTGAAGGAGCAGTTTTGAAACACTCTTTTTCTGGAATCTGCAAGAGGATATTTGCCTAGCCTTGAGGATTTCGTTGGAAACGGGATTGTCTTCAGATCAAATCTAGACAGAAGCATTCTCAGAAACTTCTTTGGGATGTTTGCATTCAAGTCACAGAGTAGAACATTCCCTTTGGTAGAGCAGGTTTGAAACACTCTTTTTGTAGTATCTGGAAGTGGACATTTGGAGCGCTTTCAGGCCTATGTTGGAAAGGGAAATATCTTCCCGTAACAACTAGGCAGAAGCATTCTCAGAAACTTATTTGAGATGTGTGTACTCAACTAAGAGAATTGAACCACCGTTTTGAAGGAGCAGTTTTGAAACACTCTTTTTCTGGAATGTGCAAGAGGATATTTGCCTAGCCTTGAGGATTTCGTTGGAAACGGGATTGTCTTCAGATCAAATCTAGACAGAAGCATTCTCAGAAACTTCTTTGGGATGTTTGTATTCAAGTCACAGAGTAGAACATTCCCTTTGGTAGAGCAGGTTTGAAACACTCTTTTTTTAGTATATGGAAGTGGACATTTGGAGCGCTTTCAGGCCTACGTTGGAAAAGGAAATATCTTCCCATAACAACTAGACAGAAGCATTCTCAGAAACTAGTTTCTGATGTGTGTCCTCAACTAACACAGTTGAACTTTTCTTTAGACAGAAGAGTTTTGAAACACTCTTTTTGTGGAATCTGCAAGTGGATATTTGGCTAGATTTGAGGATGTCGTTGGAAACGGGATTACATATAAAAAGCAGTCAGCAGCATTCTCAGAAAGTTCTTTGTGATGATTGCATTCAAGTCACAGAATTGAACATTCCCTTTCACAGAGCAGGTTTGAAACACTCTTTTTGTAGTGTGTGTAAGTGGACATTTGGAGCGCTTTCTGGCCTAAGGTGAACAAGGAAATATCTTCCCATAAAAACTAGACAGAAGCATCCTCAGAAACTTACTCGTGATGTGTGTCCTCAACTAAAGGAGTAGAACCTTTCTATTCATAGAGAAGTTTTGAAATGCTCTTTTTGTGGAATCTCCAAGTGGATATTTGGCTAGTTTTGAGGATTTCGTTGGAAGCAGGAATTCATACAAATTGCAGACTGCAGCGTTCTGAGAAACTGCTTTCTGATGTTTGCATTCAAGTCAAAAGTTGAACACTCCCTTTCATAGAGCAGTCCTGAAACACCCCTTTTGTAGTATCTGGAACTGGACTTTTGGAGCGCTTTCAGGGCTAAGGTGAAAAAGGAAATATCTTCCCATAAAAACTGGACAGAAGCATTCTCAGAAACTTGTTTATGCTGTATCTACTCAACTAACAAAGTTGAACCTTTCTTTTGATAGAGCAGTTTTGAAATGCTCTTTTTGTGGAATCTGCAAGTGGATATTTGGCTAGTTTTGAGGATTTCGTTGGAAGCGGGAATTCATACAAATTGCAGACTGCAGCGTTCTGAGAAACATCTTTGTGATGTTTGTATTCAGGACACAGAGTTGAACATTCCCTATCATAGAGCAGGTTGGAATCACTCCTTTTGTAGTATCTGGAAGTGGACATTTGGAGCGCTTTCAGGCCTATTTTGGAAAGGGAAATATCTTCCCGTAACAACTATGCAGAAGCATTCTCAGAAACTTGTTTGTGATGTGTGCCCTCTACTGACAGAGTTGAACCTTTCTTTTCATAGAGCAGTTTTGAAACACTCTTTTTGTAGAATCTGCAAGAGGATATTTGCATAGCTTTGAGGATTTCGTGGGAAACGGGATTGTCTTCAGGTAAAATCTAGACAGAAGCATTCTCAGAAACTTCTTTGGGATGTTTGCATTCAAGTCACAGAGTAGAACATTCCCTTTGGTAGAGCAGGTTTGAAACACTCTTTTTGTAGTATCTGGAAGTGGACATTTGGAGCGCTTTCAGGCCCATGTTGGAAAAGGAAATATCTTCCCGTAACAACTAGGCAGAAGCATTCTCAGAAACTTATTTGAGATGTGTGTACTCAACTAAGAGAATTGAACCACCGTTTTGAAGGAGCAGTTTTGAAACACTCTTTTTCTGGAATCTGCAAGAGTATATTTGCCTAGCCTTGAGGATTTCGTTGGAAACGGGATTGTCTTCAGAGAAAATCTAGACAGAAGCATTCTCAGAAACTTCTTTGGGATGTTTGCATTCAAGTCACAGAGTAGAACATTCCCTTTGGTAGAGCAGGTTTGAAACACTCTTTTTTTAGTATATGGAAGTGGACATTTGGATCGCTTTCAGGCCTACGTTGGAAAAGGAAATATCTTCCCATAACAACTAGACAGAAGCATTCTCAGAAACTAGTTTCTGATGTGTGTCCTCAACTAACACAGTTGAACATTTCTTTAGACAGAACAGTTTTGAAACACTCTTTTTGTGGAATCTGCAAGTGGCTATTTGGCTAGATTTGAGGATTTCGTTGGAAACGGGATTACATATAAAAAGCAGTCAGCAGCATTCTCAGAAAGTTCTTTGTGATGATTGCATTCAAGTCACAGAATTGAACATTCCCTTTCACAGAGCAGGTTTGAAACACTCTTTTTGTAGTGTGTGTAAGTGGACATTTGGAGCACTTTACCGGCCTAAGGTGAAAAAGGAAATATCTTCCCATAAAAACTAGACAGAAGCATTCTCAGAAACTTACTCGTGATGTGTGTCCTCAACTAAAGGAGTAGAACCTTTCTTTTCATAGAGAAGTTTTGAAACGCTCTTTTTGTGGAATCTGCAAGTGGATATTTGGCTAGTTTTGAGGATTTCGTTGGAAGCGGGAATTCATACAAATTGCAGACTGCAGCGTTCTGAGAAACATCTTTGTGATGTTTGTATTCAGGACACAGAGTTGAACATTCCCTATCATAGAGCAGGTTTGAATCACTCCTTTTGTAGTATCTGGAAGTGGACATTTGGAGCGCTTTCAGGCCTATGTTGGAAAAGGAAATATCTTCCCATAACAACTAGACAGAAGCATTCTCAGAAACTTATTTGAGATGTGTGTACTCAACTAAGAGAATTGAACCACCGTTTTGAAGGAGCAGTTTTGAAACACTCTTTTTCTGGAATCTGCAAGTGGATATTTGGCTAGCTTTGGGGATTTCGCTGGAAGCGGGAATACATATAAAAAGCACACAGCAGCGTTCTGAGAAACTGCTTTCTGATGTTTGCATTCAAGTCAAAAGTTGAACACTCCCTTTCATAGAGCAGTCCTGAAACACCCCTTTTGTAGTATCTGGAACTGGACTTTTGGAGCGATTTCAGGGCTAAGGTGAAAAAGGAAATATCTTCCCATAAAAACTGGACAGAAGCATTCTCAGAAACTTGTTTATGCTGTATCTACTCAACTAACAAAGTTGAACCTTTCTTTTGATAGAGCAGTTTTGAAATGCTCTTTTTGTGGAATCTGCAAGTGGATATTTGGCTAGTTTTGAGGATTTCGTTGGAAGCGGGAATTCATACAAATTGCAGACTGCAGCGTTCTGAGAAACATCTTTGTGATGTTTGTATTCAGGACAGAGAGTTGAACATTCCCTATCATAGAGCAGGTTGGAATCACTCCTTTTGTAGTATCTGGAAGTGGACATTTGGAGCGCTTTCAGGACTATGTTGAAAAAGGAAATATCTTCCCATAACAACTAGACACAAGCATTCTCAGAAACTTGTTTGTGATGTGTGCCCTCTACTGACAGAGTTGAACCTTTCTTTTCATAGAGCAGTTTTGAAACACTCTTTTTGTAGAATCTGCAAGAGGATATTTGCATAGCTTTGAGGATTTCGTGGGAAACGGGATTGTCTTCAGGTAAAATCTAGACAGAAGCATTCTCAGAAACTTCTTTGGGATGTTTGCATTCAAGTCACAGAGTAGAACATTCCCTTTGGTAGAGCAGGTTTGAAACACTCTTTTTGTAGTATCTGGAAGTGGACATTTGGAGCGCTTTCAGGCCCATGTTGGAAAGGGAAATATCTTCCCGTAACAACTAGGCAGAAGCATTCTCAGAAACTTATTTGAGATGTGTGTACTCAACTAAGAGAATTGAACCACCGTTTTGAAGGAGCAGTTTTGAAACACTCTTTTTCTGGAATCTGCAAGAGTATATTTGCCTAGCCTTGAGGATTTCGTTGGAAACGGGATTGTCTTCAGAGAAAATCTAGACAGAAGCATTCTCAGAAACTTCTTTGGGATGTTTGCATTCAAGTCACAGAGTAGAACATTCCCTTTGGTAGAGCAGGTTTGAAACACTCTTTTTTTAGTATATGGAAGTGGACATTTGGATCGCTTTCAGGCCTACGTTGGAAAAGGAAATATCTTCCCATAACAACTAGACAGAAGCATTCTCAGAAACTAGTTTCTGATGTGTGTCCTCAACTAACACAGTTGAACATTTCTTTAGACAGAACAGTTTTGAAACACTCTTTTTGTGGAATCTGCAAGTGGCTATTTGGCTAGATTTGAGGATTTCGTTGGAAACGGGATTACATATAAAAAGCAGTCAGCAGCATTCTCAGAAAGTTCTTTGTGATGATTGCATTCAAGTCACAGAATTGAACATTCCCTTTCACAGAGCAGGTTTGAAACACTCTTTTTGTAGTGTGTGTAAGTGGACATTTGGAGCACTTACCGGCCTAAGGTGAAAAAGGAAATATCTTCCCATAAAAACTAGACAGAAGCATTCTCAGAAACTTACTCGTGATGTGTGTCCTCAACTAAAGGAGTAGAACCTTTCTTTTCATAGAGAAGTTTTGAAACGCTCTTTTTGTGGAATCTGCAAGTGGATATTTGGCTAGTTTTGAGGATTTCGTTGGAAGCGGGAATTCATACAAATTGCAGACTGCAGCGTTCTGAGAAACATCTTTGTGATGTTTGTATTCAGGACACAGAGTTGAACATTCCCTATCATAGAGCAGGTTTGAATCACTCCTTTTGTAGTATCTGGAAGTGGACATTTGGAGCGCTTTCAGGCCTATGTTGGAAAAGGAAATATCTTCCCATAACAACTAGACAGAAGCATTCTCAGAAACTTATTTGAGATGTGTGTACTCAACTAAGAGAATTGAACCACCGTTTTGAAGGAGCAGTTTTGAAACTCTCTTTTTCTGGAATCTGCAAGTGGATATTTGGCTAGCTTTGGGGATTTCGCTGGAAGCGGGAATACATATAAAAAGCACACAGCAGCGTTCTGAGAAACTGCTTTCTGATGTTTGCATTCAAGTCAAAAGTTGAACACTCCCTTTCATAGAGCAGTCTTGAAACACCCCTTTTGTAGTATCTGGAACTGGACTTTTGGAGCGATTTCAGGGCTAAGGTGAAAAAGGAAATATCTTCCCATAAAAACTGGACAGAAGCATTCTCAGAAACTTGTTTATGCTGTATCTACTCAACTAACAAAGTTGAACCTTTCTTTTGATAGAGCAGTTTTGAAATGGTCTTTTTGTGGAATCTGCAAGTGGATATTTGGCTAGTTTTGAGGATTTCGTTGGAAGCGGGAATTCATACAAATTGCAGACTGCAGCGTTCTGAGAAACATCTTTGTGATGTTTGTATTCAGGACACAGAGTTGAACATTCCCTATCATAGAGCAGGTTGGAATCACTCCTTTTGTAGTATCTGGAAGTGGACATTTGGAGCGCTTTCAGGCCTATGTTGGAAAGGGAAATATCTTCCCATAACAACTAGACAGAAGCATTCTCAGAAACTTATTTGAGATGTGTGTACTCAACTAAGAGAATTGAACCACCGTTTTGAAGGAGCAGTTTTGAAACACTCTTTTTCTGGAATCTGCAAGTGGATATTTGGCTAGCTTTGGGGATTTCGCTGGAAGCGGGAATACATATAAAAAGCACACAGCAGCGTTCTGAGAAACTGCTTTCTGATGTTTGCATTCAAGTCAAAAGTTGAACACTCCCTTTCATAGAGCAGTCTTGAAACACCCCTTTTGTAGTATCTGGAACTGGACATTTGGAGCGCTTTCAGGGCTAAGGTGAAAAAGGAAATATCTTCCCATAAAAACTGGACAGAAGCATTCTCAGAAACTTGTTTATGCTGTATCTACTCAACTAACAAAGTTGAACCTTTCTTTTGATAGAGCAGTTTTGAAATGCTCTTTTTGTGGAATCTGCAAGTGGATATTTGGCTAGGTTTGAGGATTTCGTTGGAAGCGGGAATTCATACAAATTGCAGACTGCAGCGTTCTGAGAAACATCTTTGTGATGTTTGTATTCAGGACAGAGAGTTGAACATTCCCTATCATAGAGCAGGTTGGAATCACTCCTTTTTTAGTATCTGGAAGTGGACATTTGGAGCGCTTTCAGGCCTATGTTGAAAAAGGAAATATCTTCCCATAACAACTAGACAGAAGCATTCTCAGAAACTTATTTGAGATGTGTGTACTCAACTAAGAGAATTGAACCACCGTTTTGAAGGAGCAGTTTTGAAACTCTCTTTTTCTGGAATCTGCAAGTGGATATTTGGCTAGCTTTGGGGATTTCGCTGGAAGCGGGAATACATATAAAAAGCACACAGCAGCGTTCTGAGAAACTGCTTTCTGATGTTTGCATTCAAGTCAAAAGTTGAACACTCCCTTTCATAGAGCAGTCTTGAAACACCCCTTTTGTAGTATCTGGAACTGGACTTTTGGAGCGATTTCAGGGCTAAGGTGAAAAAGGAAATATCTTCCCATAAAAACTGGACAGAAGCATTCTCAGAAACTTGTTTATGCTGTATCTACTCAACTAACAAAGTTGAACCTTTCTTTTGATAGAGCAGTTTTGAAATGGTCTTTTTGTGGAATCTGCAAGTGGATATTTGGCTAGTTTTGAGGATTTCGTTGGAAGCGGGAATTCATACAAATTGCAGACTGCAGCGTTCTGAGTAAACATCTTTGTGATGTTTTTATTCAGGACACAGAGTTGAACATTCCCTGTCCTAGAGCAGGTTGGAATCACTCCTTTTGTAGTATCTGGAAGTGGACATTTGGAGCGCTTTCAGGCCTATTTTGGAAAGGGAAATATCTTCCCATAACAACTATGCAGAAGCATTCTCAGAAACTTGTTTGTGATGTGTGCCCTCTACTGACAGAGTTGAACCTTTCTTTTCATAGAGCAGTTTTGAAACACTCTTTTTGTAGAATCTGCAAGAGGATATTTGCATAGCTTTGAGGATTTCGTGGGAAACGGGATTGTCTTCAGGTAAAATCTAGACAGAAGCATTCTCAGAAACTTCTTTGGGATGTTTGCATTCAAGTCACAGAGTAGAACATTCCCTTTGGTAGAGCAGGTTTGAAACACTCTTTTTGTAGTATCTGGAAGTGGACATTTGGAGCGCTTTCAGGCCCATGTTGGAAAGGGAAATATCTTCCCGTAACAACTAGGCAGAAGCATTCTCTGAAACTTTTTTGAGATGTGTGTACTCAACTAAGTAGAATTGAACCACCGTTTTGAAGGAGCAGTTTTGAAACACTCTTTTTCTGGAATCTGCTAGAGGATATTTGCCTAGCTTTGAGGATTTCGTTGGAAACCGGATTGTCTTCAGATAAAATCTAGACAGAAGCATTCTCAGAAACTTCTTTGGGATGTTTGTATTCAAGTCACAGAGTAGAACATTCCCTTTGGTAGAGCAGGTTTGAAACACTCTTTTTTTAGTATATGGAAATGGACATTTGGAGCGCTTTCAGGCCTACGTTGGAAAAGGAAATATCTTCCCATAACAACTAGACAGAAGCATTCTCAGAAACTAGTTTCTGATGTGTGTCCTCAACTAACACAGTTGAACTTTTCTTTAGACAGAACAGTTTTGAAACACTCTTTTTGTGGAATCTGCAAGTGGCTATTTGGCTAGATTTGAGGATTTCGTTGGAAACGGGATTACATATAAAAAGCAGACAGCAGCATTCTCAGAAAGTTCTTTGTGATGACTGCATTCAAGTCACAGAATTGAACATTCCCTTTCACAGAGCAGGTTTGAAACACTCTTTTTGTAGTGTGTGTAAGTGGACATTTGGAGCGCTTTCCGACCTAAGGTGAAAAAGGAAATATCTTCCCATAAAAACTAGACAGAAGCATTCTCAGAAACTTACTCGTGATGTGTGTCCTCAACTAAAGGAGTAGAAGCTTTCTATTCATAGAGAAGTTTTGAAACGCTCTTTTTGTGGAATCTCCAAGTGGATATTTGGCTAGTGTTGAGGATTTCGTTGGAAGCGGGAATTCATACAAATTGCAGACTGCAGCGTTCTGAGAAACATCTTTGTGATGTTTGTATTCAGGACACAGAGATGAACATTCCCTATCATAGAGCAGGTTGGAATCACTCCTTTTGTAGTATCTGGAAGTGGACATTTGGAGCGCTTTCAGGCCTATGTTGAAAAAGGAAATATCTTCCCATAACAACT
The DNA here is from genome assembly GCF_000001405.40 of Homo sapiens. Taxonomy (NCBI): domain Eukaryota; kingdom Metazoa; phylum Chordata; class Mammalia; order Primates; family Hominidae; genus Homo; species Homo sapiens. The sequence continues at coordinate 17,221,458 of NC_000018.10, forward strand.
AGACACAAGCATTCTCAGAAACTTGTTTGTGATGTGTGCCCTCTACTGACAGAGTTGAACCTTTCTTTTCATAGAGCAGTTTTGAAACACTCTTTTTGTAGAATTCTGCAAGAGGATATTTGCATAGCTTTGAGGATTTCGTGGGAAACGGGATTGTGTTCAGGTAAAATCTAGACAGAAGCATTCTCAGAAACTTCTTTGGGATGTTTGCATTCAAGTCACAGAGTAGAACATTCCCTTTGGTAGAGCAGGTTTGAAACACTCTTTTTGTAGTATCTGGAAGTGGACATTTGGAGCGCTTTCAGGCCCATGTTGGAAAGGGAAATATCTTCCCGTAACAACTAGGCAGAAGCATTCTCAGAAACTTATTTGAGATGTGTGTACTCAACTAAGAGAATTGAACCACCGTTTTGAAGGAGCAGTTTTGAAACACTCTTTTTCTGGAATCTGCAAGAGTATATTTGCCTAGCCTTGAGGATTTCGTTGGAAACGGGATTGTCTTCAGAGAAAATCTAGACAGAAGCATTCTCAGAAACTTCTTTGGGATGCTTGCATTCAAGTCACAGAGTAGAACATTCCCTTTGGTAGAGCAGGTTTGAAACACTCTTTTTGTAGTATCTGGAAGTGGACATTTGGAGCGCTTTCAGGCCTACGTTGGAAAAGGAAATATCTTCCCATAACAACTAGACAGAGAAGCATTCTCAGAAACTAGTTTCTGATGTGTGTCCTCAACTAACACAGTTGAACTTTTCTTTAGACAGAACAGTTTTGAAACACTCTTTTTGTGGAATCTGCAAGTGGCTATTTGGCTAGATTTGAGGATTTCGTTGGAAACGGGATTACATATAAAAAGCAGTCAGCAGCATTCTCAGAAAGTTCTTTGTGATGATTGCATTCAAGTCACAGAATTGAACATTCCCTTTCACAGAGCAGGTTTGAAACACTCTTTTTGTAGTGTGTGTAAGTGGACATTTGGAGCACTTACCGGCCTAAGGTGAAAAAGGAAATATCTTCCCATAAAAACTAGACAGAAGCATTCTCAGAAACTTACTCGTGATGTGTGTCCTCAACTAAAGGAGTAGAACCTTTCTTTTCATAGAGAAGTTTTGAAACGCTCTTTTTGTGGAATCTGCAAGTGGATATTTGGCTAGTTTTGAGGATTTCGTTGGAAGCGGGAATTCATACAAATTGCAGACTGCAGCGTTCTGAGAAACATCTTTGTGATGTTTGTATTCAGGACACAGAGTTGAACATTCCCTATCATAGAGCAGGTTTGAATCACTCCTTTTGTAGTATCTGGAAGTGGACATTTGGAGCGCTTTCAGGCCTATGTTGGAAAAGGAAATATCTTCCCATAACAACTAGACAGAAGCATTCTCAGAAACTTATTTGAGATGTGTGTACTCAACTAAGAGAATTGAACCACCGTTTTGAAGGAGCAGTTTTGAAACTCTCTTTTTCTGGAATCTGCAAGTGGATATTTGGCTAGCTTTGGGGATTTCGCTGGAAGCGGGAATACATATAAAAAGCACACAGCAGCGTTCTGAGAAACTGCTTTCTGATGTTTGCATTCAAGTCAAAAGTTGAACACTCCCTTTCATAGAGCAGTCCTGAAACACCCCTTTTGTAGTATCTGGAACTGGACTTTTGGAGCGATTTCAGGGCTAAGGTGAAAAAGGAAATATCTTCCCATAAAAACTGGACAGAAGCATTCTCAGAAACTTGTTTATGCTGTATCTACTCAACTAACAAAGTTGAACCTTTCTTTTGATAGAGCAGTTTTGAAATGGTCTTTTTGTGGAATCTGCAAGTGGATATTTGGCTAGTTTTGAGGATTTCGTTGGAAGCGGGAATTCATACAAATTGCAGACTGCAGCGTTCTGAGAAACATCTTTGTGATGTTTGTATTCAGGACACAGAGTTGAACATTCCCTATCATAGAGCAGGTTGGAATCACTCCTTTTGTAGTATCTGGAAGTGGACATTTGGAGCGCTTTCAGGCCTATTTTGGAAAGGGAAATATCTTCCCGTAACAACTATGCAGAAGCATTCTCAGAAACTTGTTTGTGATGTTGTGCCCTCTACTGACAGAGTTGAACCTTTCTTTTCATAGAGCAGTTTTGAAACACTCTTTTTGTAGAATCTGCAAGAGGATATTTGCATAGCTTTGAGGATTTCGTGGGAAACGGGATTGTCTTCAGGTAAAATCTAGACAGAAGCATTCTCAGAAACTTCTTTGGGATGTTTGCATTCAAGTCACAGAGTAGAACATTCCCTTTGGTAGAGCAGGTTTGAAACACTCTTTTTGTAGTATCTGGAAGTGGACATTTGGAGCGCTTTCAGGCCCATGTTGGAAAGGGAAATATCTTCCCGTAACAACTAGGCAGAAGCATTCTCAGAAACTTATTTGAGATGTGTGTACTCAACTAAGAGAATTGAACCACCGTTTTGAAGGAGCAGTTTTGAAACACTCTTTTTCTGGAATCTGCAAGAGGATATTTGCCTAGCCTTGAGGATTTCGTTGGAAACGGGATTGTCTTCAGAGAAAATCTAGACAGAAGCATTCTCAGAAACTTCTTTGGGATGCTTGCATTCAAGTCACAGAGTAGAACATTCCCTTTGGTAGAGCAGGTTTGAAACACTCTTTTTGTAGTATCTGGAAGTGGACATTTGGAGCGCTTTCAGGCCTACGTTGGAAAAGGAAATATCTTCCCATAACAACTAGACAGAAGCATTCTCAGAAACTAGTTTCTGATGTGTGTCCTCAACTAACACAGTTGAACATTTCTTTAGACAGAACAGTTTTGAAACACTCTTTTTGTGGAATCTGCAAGTGGCTATTTGGCTAGATTTGAGGATTTCGTTGGAAACGGGATTACATATAAAAAGCAGTCAGCAGCATTCTCAGAAAGTTCTTTGTGATGATTGCATTCAAGTCACAGAATTGAACATTCCCTTTCACAGAGCAGGTTTGAAACACTCTTTTTGTAGTGTGTGTAAGTGGACATTTGGAGCACTTACCGGCCTAAGGTGAAAAAGGAAATAATCTTCCCATAAAAACTAGACAGAAGCATTCTCAGAAACTTACTCGTGATGTGTGTCCTCAACTAAAGGAGTAGAACCTTTCTTTTCATAGAGAAGTTTTGAAACGCTCTTTTTGTGGAATCTGCAAGTGGATATTTGGCTAGTTTGGAGGATTTCGTTGGAAGCGGGAATTCATACAAATTGCAGACTGCAGCGTTCTGAGAAACATCTTTGTGATGTTTGTATTCAGGACACAGAGTTGAACGTTCCCTATCATAGAGCAGGTTTGAATCACTCCTTTTGTAGTATCTGGAAGTGGACATTTGGAGCGCTTTCCGGCCTCAGGTGAAAAAGGAAATATCTTCCCATAAAAACTAGACAGAAGCATTCTCAGAAACTTATTTGAGATGTGTGTACTCAACTAAGAGAATTGAACCACCGTTTTGAAGGAGCAGTTTTGAAACACTCTTTTTCTGGAATCTGCAAGTGGATATTTGGCTAGCTTTGGGGATTTCGCTGGAAGCGGGAATACATATAAAAAGCACACAGCAGCGTTCTAAGAAACTGCTTTCTGATGTTTGCATTCAAGTCAAAAGTTGAACACTCCCTTTCATAGAGCAGTCCTGAAACACTCCTTTTGTAGTATCTGGAACTGGACTTTTGGAGCGCTTTCAGGGCTAAGGTGAAAAAGGAAATATCTTCCCATAAAAACTGGACAGAAGCATTCTCAGAAACTTGTTTATGCTGTATCTACTCAACTAACAAAGTTGAACCTTTCTTTTGATAGAGCAATTTTGAAATGCTCTTTTTGTGGAATCTGCAAGTGGATATTTGGCTAGTTTTGAGGATTTCGTTGGAAACGGGAATTCATACAAATTGCAGACTGCAGCGTTCTGAGAAACATCTTTGTGATGTTTGTATTCAGGACAGAGAGTTGAACATTCCCTATCATAGAGCAGGTTGGAATCACTCCTTTTGTAGTATCTGGAAGTGGACATTTGGAGCGCTTTCAGGCCTATGTTGAAAAAGGAAATATCTTCCCATAACAACTAGACACAAGCATTCTCAGAAACTTGTTTGTGATGTGTGTACTCAACTAAGAGAATTGAACCACCGTTTTGAAGGAGCAGTTTTGAAACACTCTTTTTCTGGAATCTGCAAGTGGATATTTGGTTAGATTTGAGGATTTCGTTGGAAACGGGATTACATATAAAAAGCAGACAGCAGCGTTCTGAGAAACTGCTTTCTGATGTTTCCATTGAAGTCAAAAGTTGAACACTCCCTTTCATAGAGCAGTCCTGAAACACTCCTTTTGTAGTATCTGGAACTGGACTTTTGGAGCGCTTTCAGGGCTAAGGTGAAAAAGGAAATATCTTCCCATAAAAACTGGACAGAAGCATTCTCAGAAACTTGTTTATGCTGTATCTACTCAACTAACAAAGTTGAACCTTTCTTTTGATAGAGCAGTTTTGAAATGCTCTTTTTGTGGAATCTGCAAGTGGATATTTGGCTAGTTTTGAGGATTTCGCTGGAAGCGGGAATTCATACAAATTGCAGACTGCAGCGTTCTGAGAAACATCTTTGTGATGTTTGTATTCAGGACACAGAGTTGAACATTCCCTATCATAGAGCAGGTTGGAATCACTCCTTTTGTAGTATCTGGAAGTGGACATTTGGAGCGCTTTCAGGCCTATGTTGAAAAAGGAAATATCTTCCCATAACAACTAGACACAAGCATTCTCAGAAACTTATTTGAGATGTGTGTACTCAACTAAGAGAATTGAACCACCGTTTTGAAGGAGCAGTTTTGAAACACTCTTTTTCTGGAATCTGCAAGTGGATATTTGGCTAGCTTTGGGGATTTCGCTGGAAGCGGGAATACATATAAAAAGCACACAGCAGCGTTCTGAGAAACTGCTTTGTGATGTTTGCATTCAAGTCAAAAGTTGAACACTCCCTTTCATAGAGCAGTCCTGAAACACTCCTTTTGTAGTATCTGGAACTGGACTTTTGGAGCGCTTTCAGGGCTAAGGTGAAAAAGGAAATATCTTCCCATAAAAACTGGACAGAAGCATTCTCAGAAACTTGTTTATGCTGTATCTACTCAACTAACAAAGTTGAACCTTTCTTTTGATAGAGCAGTTTTGAAATGCTCTTTTTGTGGAATCTGCAAGTGGATATTTGGCTAGTTTTGAGGATTTCGTTGGAAGCGGGAATTCATACAAATTGCAGACTGCAGCGTTCTGAGAAACATCTTTGTGATGTTTGTATTCAGGACAGAGAGTTGAACATTCCCTATCATAGAGCAGGTTGGAATCACTCCTTTTGTAGTATCTGGAAGTGGACATTTGCAGCGCTTTCTGGCCTATGTTGAAAAAGGAAATATCTTCCCATAACAACTAGACACAAGCATTCTCAGAAACTTGTTTGTGATGTGTGCCCTCTACTGACAGAGTTGAACCTTTCTTTTCATAGAGCAGTTTTGAAACACTCTTTTTGTAGAATCTGCAAGAGGATATTTGCATAGCTTTGAGGATTTCGTGGGAAACGGGATTGTCTTCAGGTAAAATCTAGACAGAAGCATTCTCAGAAACTTCTTTGGGATGTTTGCATTCAAGTCACAGGGTAGAACATTCCCTTTGGTAGAGCAGGTTTGAAACACTCTTTTTGTAGTATCTGGAAGTGGACATTTGGAGCGCTTTCAGGCCCATGTTGGAAAGGGAAATATCTTCCCGTAACAACTAGGCAGAAGCATTCTCAGAAACTTATTTGAGATGTGTGTACTCAACTAAGAGAATTGAACCACCGTTTTGAAGGAGCAGTTTTGAAACACTCTTTTTCTGGAATCTGCAAGAGGATATTTGCCTAGCCTTGAGGATTTCGTTGGAAACGGGATTGTCTTCAGATCAAATCTAGACAGAAGCATTCTCAGAAACTTCTTTGGGATGTTTGCATTCAAGTCACAGAGTAGAACATTCCCTTTGGTAGAGCAGGTTTGAAACACTCTTTTTTTAGTATATGGAAGTGGACATTTGGAGCGCTTTCAGGCCTACGTTGGAAAAGGAAATATCTTCCCATAACAACTAGACAGAAGCATTCTCAGAAACTAGTTTCTGATGTGTGTCCTCAACTAACACAGTTGAACATTTCTTTAGACAGAACAGTTTTGAAACACTCTTTTTGTGGAATCTGCAAGTGGCTATTTGGCTAGATTTGAGGATTTCGTTGGAAACGGGATTACATATAAAAAGCAGACAGCAGCATTCTCAGAAAGTTCTTTGTGATGATTGCATTCAAGTCACAGAATTGAACATTCCCTTTCACAGAGCAGGTTTGAAACACTCTTTTTGTAGTGTGTGTAAGTGGACATTTGGAGCACTTTCCGGCCTAAGGTGAAAAAGGAAATATCTTCCCATAAAAACTAGACAGAAGCATTCTCAGAAACTTACTCGTGATGTGTGTCCTCAACTAAAGGAGTAGAACCTTCCTTTTCATAGAGAAGTTTTGAAACGCTCTTTTTGTGGAATCTGCAAGTGGATATTTGGCTAGTTTTGAGGATTTCGTTGGAAGCGGGAATTCATACAAATTGCAGACTGCAGCGTTCTGAGAAACATCTTTGTGATGTTTGTATTCAGGACACAGAGTTGAACATTCCCTATCATAGAGCAGGTTGGAATCACTCCTTTTGTAGTATCTGGAAGTGGACATTTGGAGCGCTTTCAGGCCTATGTTGGAAAAGGAAATATCTTCCCATAACAACTAGACAGAAGCATTCTCAGAAACTTATTTGAGATGTGTGTACTCAACTAAGAGAATTGAACCACCGTTTTGAAGGAGCAGTTTTGAAACACTCTTTTTCTGGAATCTGCAAGTGGATATTTGGCTAGCTTTGGGGATTTCGCTGGAAGCGGGAATACATATAAAAAGCACACAGCAGCGTTCTGAGAAACTGCTTTCTGATGTTTGCATTCAAGTCAAAAGTTGAACACTCCCTTTCATAGAGCAGTCTTGAAACACCCCTTTTGTAGTATGTGGAACTGGACATTTGGAGCGCTTTCAGGGCTAAGGTGAAAAAGGAAATATCTTCCCATAAAAACTGGACAGAAGCATTCTCAGAAACTTGTTTATGCTGTATCTACTCAACTAACAATGTTGAACCTTTCTTTTGATAGAGCAGTTTTGAAATGCTCTTTTTGTGGAATCTGCAAGTGGATATTTGGCTAGTTTTGAGGATTTCGTTGGAAGCGGGAATTCATACAAATTGCAGACTGCAGCGTTCTGAGAAACATCTTTGTGATGTTTGTATTCAGGACACAGAGATGAACATTCCCTATCATAGAGCAGGTTGGAATCACTCCTTTTGTAGTATCTGAAAGTGGACATTTGGAGCGCTTTCAGGCCTATGTTGAAAAAGGAAATATCTTCCCATAACAACTAGACACAAGCATTCTCAGAAACTTGTTTGTGATGTGTGCCCTCTACTGACAGAGTTGAACCTTTCTTTTCATAGAGCAGTTTTGAAACACTCTTTTTGTAGAATCCGCAAGAGGATATTTGCATAGCTTTGAGGATTTCGTGGGAAACGGGATTGTCTTCAGGTAAAATCTAGACAGAAGCATTCTCAGAAACTTCTTTGGGATGTTTGCATTCAAGTCACAGAGCAGAACATTCCCTTTGGTAGAGCAGGTTTGAAACACTCTTTTTGTAGTATCTGGAAGTGGACATTTGGAGCGCTTTCAGGCCTATGTTGGAAAGGGAAATATCTTCACGTAACAACTAGGCAGAAGCATTCTCAGAAAGTTATTTGAGATGTGTGTACTCAACTAAGAGAATTGAACCACCGTTTTCAAGGAGCAGTTTTGAAACACTCTTTCTCTGGAATCTGCAAGAGGATATTTGCCTAGCCTTGAGGATTTCGTTGGAAACGGGATTGTCTTCAGATCAAATCTAGACAGAAGCATTCTCAGAAACTTCTTTGGGATGTTTGCATTCAAGTCACAGAGTAGAACATTCCCTTTGGTAGAGCAGGTTTGAAACACTCTTTTTGTAGTATCTGGAAGTGGACATTTGGAGCGCTTTCAGGCCTACGTTGGAAAAGGAAATATCTTCCCATAACAACTAGACAGAAGCATTCTCAGAAACTAGTTTCTGATGTGTGTCCTCAACTAACACAGTTGAACATTTCTTTAGACAGAACAGTTTTGAAACACTCTTTTTGTGGAATCTGCAAGTGGCTATTTGGCTAGATTTGAGGATTTCGTTGGAAACGGGATTACATATAAAAAGCAGTCAGCAGCATTCTCAGAAAGTTCTTTGTGATGATTGCATTCAAGTCACAGAATTGAACATTCCCTTTCACAGAGCAGGTTTGAAAGACTCTTTTTGTAGTGTGTGTAAGTGGACATTTGGAGCACTTACCGGCCTAAGGTGAAAAAGGAAATATCTTCCCATAAAAACTAGACAGAAGCATTCTCAGAAACTTACTCGTGATGTGTGTCCTCAACTAAAGGAGTAGAACCTTTCTTTTCATAGAGAAGTTTTGAAACGCTCTTTTTGTGGAATCTGCAAGTGGATATTTGGCTAGTTTTGAGGATTTCGTTGGAAGCGGGAATTCATACAAATTGCAGACTGCAGCGTTCTGAGAAACATCTTTGTGATGTTTGTATTCAGGACACAGAGTTGAACATTCCCTATCATAGAGCAGGTTGGAATCACTCCTTTTGTAGTATCTGGAAGTGGACATTTGGAGCGCTTTCAGGCCTATGTTGGAAAAGGAAATATCTTCCCATAACAACTAGACAGAAGCATTCTCAGAAACTTATTTGAGATGTGTGTACTCAACTAAGAGAATTGAACCACCGTTTTGAAGGAGCAGTTTTGAAACTCTCTTTTTCTGGAATCTGCAAGTGGATATTTGGCTAGCTTTGGGGATTTCGCTGGAAGCGGGAATACATATAAAAAGCACACAGCAGCGTTCTGAGAAACTGCTTTCTGATGTTTGCATTCAAGTCAAAAGTTGAACACTCCCTTTCATAGAGCAGTCCTGAAACACCCCTTTTGTAGTATCTGGAACTGGACTTTTGGAGCGATTTCAGGGCTAAGGTGAAAAAGGAAATATCTTCCCATAAAAACTGGACAGAAGCATTCTCAGAAACTTGTTTATGCTGTATCTACTCAACTAACAAAGTTGAACCTTTCTTTTGATAGAGCAGGTTTTGAAATGGTCTTTTTGTGGAATCTGCAAGTGGATATTTGGCTAGTTTTGAGGATTTCATTGGAAGCGGGAATTCATACAAATTGCAGACTGCAGCGTTCTGAGAAACATCTTTGTGATGTTTGTATTCAGGACACAGAGTTGAACATTCCCTATCATAGAGCAGGTTGGAATCACTCCTTTTGTAGTATCTGGAAGTGGACATTTGGAGCGCTTTCAGGCCTATTTTGGAAAGGGAAATATCTTCCCGTAACAACTATGCAGAAGCATTCTCAGAAACTTGTTTGTGATGTGTGCCCTCTACTGACAGAGTTGAACCTTTCTTTTCATAGAGCAGTTTTGAAACACTCTTTTTGTAGAATCTGCAAGAGGATATTTGCATAGCTTTGAGGATTTCGTGGGAAACGGGATTGTCTTCAGGTAAAATCTAGACAGAAGCATTCTCAGAAACTTCTTTGGGATGTTTGCATTCAAGTCACAGAGTAGAACATTCCCTTTGGTAGAGCAGGTTTGAAACACTCTTTTTGTAGTATCTGGAAGTGGACATTTGGAGCGCTTTCAGGCCCATGTTGGAAAGGGAAATATCTTCCCGTAACAACTAGGCAGAAGCATTCTCAGAAACTTATTTGAGATGTGTGTACTCAACTAAGAGAATTGAACCACCGTTTTGAAGGAGCAGTTTTGAAACACTCTTTTTCTGGAATCTGCAAGAGTATATTTGCCTAGCCTTGAGGATTTCGTTGGAAACGGGATTGTCTTCAGAGAAAATCTAGACAGAAGCATTCTCAGAAACTTCTTTGGGATGTTTGCATTCAAGTCACAGAGTAGAACATTCCCTTTGGTAGAGCAGGTTTGAAACACTCTTTTTTTAGTATATGGAAGTGGACATTTGGAGCGCTTTCAGGCCTACGTTGGAAAAGGAAATATCTTCCCATAACAACTAGACAGAAGCATTCTCAGAAACTAGTTTCTGATGTGTGTCCTCAACTAACACAGTTGAACATTTCTTTACACAGAACAGTTTTGAAACACTCTTTTTGTGGAATCTGCAAGTGGCTATTTGGCTAGATTTGAGGATTTCGTTGGAAACGGGATTACATATAAAAAGCAGACAGCAGCATTCTCAGAAAGTTCTTTGTGATGATTGCATTCAAGTCACAGAATTGAACATTCCCTTTCACAGAGCAGGTTTGAAACACTCTTTTTGTAGTGTGTGTAAGTGGACATTTGGAGCACTTACCGGCCTAAGGTGAAAAAGGAAATATCTTCCCATAAAAACTAGACAGAAGCATTCTCAGAAACTTACTCGTGATGTGTGTCCTCAACTAAAGGAGTAGAACCTTTCTTTTCATAGAGAAGTTTTGAAACGCTCTTTTTGTGGAATCTGCAAGTGGATATTTGGCTAGTTTTGAGGATTTCGTTGGAAGCGGGAATTCATACAAATTGCAGACTGCAGCGTTCTGAGAAACATCGTTGTGATGTTTGTATTCAGGACACAGAGTTGAACATTCCCTATCATAGAGCAGGTTTGAATCACTCCTTTTGTAGTATCTGGAAGTGGACATTTGGAGCGCTTTCAGGCCTATGTTGGAAAAGGAAATATCTTCCCATAACAACTAGACAGAAGCATTCTCAGAAACTTATTTGAGATGTGTGTACTCAACTAAGAGAATTGAACCACCGTTTTGAAGGAGCAGTTTTGAAACACTCTTTTTCTGGAATCTGCAAGTGGATATTTGGCTAGCTTTGGGGATTTCGCTGGAAGCGGGAATACATATAAAAAGCACACAGCAGCGTTCTGAGAAACTGCTTTCTGATGTTTGCATTCAAGTCAAAAGTTGAACACTCCCTTTCATAGAGCAGTCTTGAAACACCCCTTTTGTAGTATCTGGAACTGGACATTTGGAGCGCTTTCAGGGCTAAGGTGAAAAAGGAAATATCTTCCCATAAAAACTGGACAGAAGCATTCTCAGAAACTTGTTTATGCTGTATCTACTCTACTAACAAAGTTGAACCTTTCTTTTGATAGAGCAGTTTTGAAATGGTCTTTTTGTGGAATCTCCAAGTGGATATTTGGCTAGTTTTGAGGATTTCGTTGGAAGCGGGAATTCATACAAATTGCAGACTGCAGCGTTCTGAGAAACATCTTTGTGATGTTTGTATTCAGGACACAGAGTTGAACTTTCCCTATCGTAGAGCAGGTTGGAATCACTCCTTTTGCAGTATCTGGAAGTGGACATTTGGAGCGCTTTCAGGCCTATTTTGGAAAGGGAAATATCTTCCCGTAACAACTAGGCAGAAGCATTCTCAGAAACTTATTTGAGATGTGTGTACTCAACTAAGAGAATTGAACCACCGTTTTGAAGGAGCAGATTTGAAACACTCTTTTTCTGGAATCTGCAAGAGTATATTTGCCTAGCCTTGAAGATTTCGTTGGAAACGGGATTGTCTTCAGATAAAATCTAGACAGAAGCATTCTCAGAAACTTCTTTGGGATGTTTGCATTCAAGTCACAGAGTAGAACATTCCCTTTGGTAGAGCAGGTTTGAAACACTCTTTTTTTAGTATATGGAAGTGGACATTTGGAGCGCTTTCAGGCCTACGTTGGAAAAGGAAATATCTTCCCATAACAACTAGACAGAAGCATTCTCAGAAACTAGTTTCTGATGTGTGTCCTCAACTAACACAGTTGAACATTTCTTTAGACAGAACAGTTTTGAAACACTCTTTTTGTGGAATCTGCAAGTGGCTATTTGGCTAGATTTGAGGATTTCGTTGGAAACGGGATTACATATAAAAAGCAGTCAGCGGCATTCTCAGAAAGTTCTTTGTGATGATTGCATTCAAGTCACAGAATTGAACATTCCCTTTCACAGAGCAGGTTTGAAACACTCTTTTTGTAGTGTGTGTAAGTGGACATTTGGAGCACTTACCGGCCTAAGGTGAAAAAGGAAATAATCTTCCCATAAAAACTAGACAGAAGCATTCTCAGAAACTTACTCGTGATGTGTGTCCTCAACTAAAGGAGTAGAACCTTTCTTTTCATAGAGAAGTTTTGAAACGCTCTTTTTGTGGAATCTGCAAGTGGATATTTGGCTAGTTTTGAGGATTTCGTTGGAAGCGGGAATTCATACAAATTGCAGACTGCAGCGTTCTGAGAAACATCTTTGTGATGTTTGTATTCAGGACACAGAGTTGAACATTCCCTATCATAGAGCAGGTTTGAATCACTCCTTTTGTAGTATCTGGAAGTGGACATTTGGAGCGCTTTCAGGCCTATGTTGGAAAAGGAAATATCTTCCCATAACAACTAGACAGAAGCATTCTCAGAAACTTATTTGAGATGTGTGTACTCAACTAAGAGAATTGAACCACCGTTTTGAAGGAGCAGTTTTGAAACTCTCTTTTTCTGGAATCTGCAAGTGGATATTTGGCTAGCTTTGGGGATTTCGCTGGAAGCGGGAATACATATAAAAAGCACACAGCAGCGTTCTGAGAAACTGCTTTCTGATGTTTGCATTCAAGTCAAAAGTTGAACACTCCCTTTCATAGAGCAGTCCTGAAACACCCCTTTTGTAGTATCTGGAACTGGACTTTTGGAGCGATTTCAGGGCTAAGGTGAAAAAGGAAATATCTTCCCATAAAAACTGGACAGAAGCATTCTCAGAAACTTGTTTATGCTGTATCTACTCAACTAACAAAGTTGAACCTTTCTTTTGATAGAGCAGTTTTGAAATGGTCTTTTTGTGGAATCTGCAAGTGGATATTTGGCTAGTTTTGAGGATTTCGTTGGAAGCGGGAATTCATACAAATTGCAGACTGCAGCGTTCTGAGAAACATCTTTGTGATGTTTGTATTCAGGACACAGAGTTGAACATTCCCTATCATAGAGCAGGTTGGAATCACTCCTTTTGTAGTATCTGGAAGTGGACATTTGGAGCGCTTTCAGGCCTATTTTGGAAAGGGAAATATCTTCCCGTAACAACTATGCAGAAGCATTCTCAGAAACTTGTTTGTGATGTGTGCCCTCTACTGACAGAGTTGAACCTTTCTTTTCATAGAGCAGTTTTGAAACACTCTTTTTGTAGAATCTGCAAGAGGATATTTGCATAGCTTTGAGGATTTCGTGGGAAACGGGATTGTCTTCAGGTAAAATCTAGACAGAAGCATTCTCAGAAACTTCTTTGGGATGTTTGCATTCAAGTCACAGAGTAGAACATTCCCTTTGGTAGAGCAGGTTTGAAACACTCTTTTTGTAGTATCTGGAAGTGGACATTTGGAGCGCTTTCAGGCCCATGTTGGAAAGGGAAATATCTTCCCGTAACAACTAGGCAGAAGCATTCTCAGAAACTTATTTGAGATGTGTGTACTCAACTAAGAGAATTGAACCACCGTTTTGAAGGAGCAGTTTTGAAACCCTCTTTTTCTGGAATCTGCAAGAGTATATTTGCCTAGCCTTGAGGATTTCGTTGGAAACGGGATTGTCTTCAGATAAAATCTAGACAGAAGCATTCTCAGAAACTTCTTTGGGATGTTTGCATTCAAGTCACAGAGTAGAACATTCCCTTTGGTAGAGCAGGTTTGAAACACTCTTTTTTTAGTATATGGAAGTGGACATTTGGAGCGCTTTCAGGCCTACGTTGGAAAAGGAAATATCTTCCCATAACAACTAGACAGAAGCATTCTCAGAAACTAGTTTCTGATGTGTGTCCTCAACTAACACAGTTGTACATTTCTTTATACAGAACAGTTTTGAAACACTCTTTTTGTGGAATCTGCAAGTGGATATTGGGCTAGATTTGAGGATTTCGTTGGAAACGGGATTACATATAAAAAGCAGACAGCAGCATTCTCAGAAAGTTCTTTGTGATGATTGCATTCAAGTCACAGAATTGAACATTCCCTTTCACAGAGCAGGTTTGAAACACTCTTTTTGTAGTGTGTGTAAGTGGACATTTGGAGCGCTTTCCGGCCTAAGGTGAAAAAGGACATATCTTCCCATAAAAACTAGACAGAAGCATTCTCAGAAACTTACTCGTGATGTGTGTCCTCAACTAAAGGAGTAGAACCTTTCTATTCATAGAGAAGTTTTGAAACGCTCTTTTTGTGGAATCTCCAAGTGGATATTTGGTTAGTTTTGAGGATTTCGTTGGAAGCGGGAATTCATACAAATTGCAGACTGCAGCGTTCTGAGAAACATCTTTGTGATGTTTGTATTCAAGACACAGAGATGAACATTCCCTATCATAGAGCAGGTTGGAATCACTCCTTTTGTAGTATCTGGAAGTGGACATTTGGAGCGCTTTCAGGCCTATGTTGAAAAAGGAAATATCTTCCCATAACAACTAGACACATGCATTCTCAGAAACTTGTTTGTGATGTGTGCCCTCTACTGACAGAGTTGAACCTTTCTTTTCATAGAGCAGTTTTGAAACACTCTTTTTGTAGAATCCGCAAGAGGATATTTGCATAGCTTTGAGGATTTCGTGGGAAACGGGATTGTCTTCAGGTAAAATCTAGACAGAAGCATTCTCAGAAACTTCTTTGGGATGTTTGCATTCAAGTCACAGAGTAGAACATTCCCTTTGGTAGAGCAGGTTTGAAACACTCTTTTTGTAGTATCTGGAAGTGGACATTTGGAGCGCTTTCAGGCCTATGTTGGAAAGGGAAATATCTTCCCGTAACAACTAGGCAGAAGCATTCTCAGAAACTTATTTGAGATGTGTGTACTCAACTAAGAGAATTGAACCACCGTTTTGAAGGAGCAGTTTTGAAACACTCTTTTTCTGGAATCTGCAAGAGGATATTTGCCTAGCTTTGAGGATTTCGTTGGAAACGGGATTGTCTTCAGATCAAATCTAGACAGAAGCATTCTCAGAAACTTCTTTGGGATGTTTGCATTCAAGTCACAGAGTAGAACATTCCCTTTGGTAGAGCAGGTGTGAAACACTCTTTTTTTAGTATATGGAAGTGGACATTTGGAGCGCTTTCAGGCCTACGTTGGAAAAGGAAATATCTTCCCATAACAACTAGACAGAAGCATTCTCAGAAACTAGTTTCTGATGTGTGTCCTCAACTAACACAGTTGAACATTTCTTTAGACAGAACAGTTTTGAAACTCTCTTTTTGTGGAATCTGCAAGTGGCTATTTGGCTAGATTTGAGGATTTCGTTGGAAACGGGATTACATATAAAAAGCAGACAGCAGCATTCTCAGAAAGTTCTTTGTGATGATTGCATTCAAGTCACAGAATTGAACATTCCCTTTCACAGAGCAGGTTTGAAAGACTCTTTTTGTAGTGTGTGTAAGTGGACATTTGGAGCACTTACCGGCCTAAGGTGAAAAAGGAAATATCTTCCCATAAAAACTAGACAGAAGCATTCTCAGAAACTTACTCGTGATGTGTGTCCTCAACTAAAGGAGTAGAACCTTTCTTTTCATAGAGAAGTTTTGAAACGCTCTTTTTGTGGAATCTGCAAGTGGATATTTGGCTAGTTTGGAGGATTTCGTTGGAAGCGGGAATTCATACAAATTGCAGACTGCAGCGTTCTGAGAAACATCTTTGTGATGTTTGTATTCAGGACACAGAGTTGAACATTCCCTATAATAGAGCAGGTTGGAATCACTCCTTTTGTAGTATCTGGAAGTGGACATTTGGAGCGCTTTCAGGCCTATGTTGAAAAAGGAAATATCTTCCCATAACAACTAGACAGAAGCATTCTCAGAAACTTGTTTGTGATGTGTGCCCTCTACTGACACAGTTGAATCTTTCTTTTCATAGAGCAGTTTCGAAACACTCTTTTTGTAGAATCTGCAAGAGGATATTTGCATAGCTTTGAGGATTTCGTGGGAAACGGGATTGTCTTCAGGTAAAATCTAGACAGAAGCATTCTCAGAAACTTCTTTGGGATGTTTGCATTCAAGTCACAGAGTAGAACATTCCCTTTGGTAGAGCAGGTTTGAAACACTCTTTTTGTAGTGTGTGTAAGTGGACATTTGGAGCGCTTTCTGGCCTACCTTGGAAAAGGAAATATCTTCCCATAACAACTAGACAGAAGCATTCTCAGAAACTAGTTTCTGATGTGTGTCCTCAACTAACACAGTTGAACTTTTCTTTAGACAGAACAGTTTTGAAACACTCTTTTTGTGGAATCTGCAAGTGGATATTTGGCTAGATTTGAGGATTTCGTTGGAAACGGGATTACATATAAAAAGCAGACAGCAGCATTCTCACAAAGTTCTTTGTGATGATTGCATTCAAGTCACAGAATTGAACATTCCCTTTCACAGAGCAGGTTTGAAACACTCTTTTTGTAGTGTGTGTAAGTGGACATTTGGAGCGCTTTCCGGCCTAAGGTGGAAAAGGAAATATCTTCCCATAAAAACTAGACAGAAGCATTCTCAGAAACTTACTCGTGATGTGTGTCCTCAACTAAAGGAGTAGAACCTTTCTATTCATAGAGAAGTTTTGAAACGCTCTTTTTGTGGAATCTCCAAGTGGATATTTGGCTAGTTTCGAGGATTTCGTTGGAAGCGGGAATTCATACAAATTGCAGACTGCAGCGTTCTGAGAAACATCTTTGTGATGTTTGTATTCAGGACACAGAGATGAACATTCCCTATCATAGAGCAGGTTGGAATCACTCCTTTTGTAGTATCTGGAAGTGGACATTTGGAGCGCTTTCAGGCCTATGTTGAAAAAGGAAATATCTTCCCATAACAACTAGACACAAGCATTCTCAGAAACTTGTTTGTGATGTGTGCCCTCTACTGACAGAGTTGAACCTTTCTTTTCATAGAGCAGTTTTGAAACACTCTTTTTGTAGAATCTGCAAGAGGATATTTGCATAGCTTTGAGGATTTCGTGGGAAACGGGATTGTCTTCAGGTAAAATCTAGACAGAAGCATTCTCAGAAACTTCTTTGGGATGTTTGCATTCAAGTCACAGAGTAGAACATTCCCTTTGGTAGAGCAGGTTTGAAACACTCTTTTTGTAGTATCTGGAAGTGGACATTTGGAGCGCTTTCAGGCCTATGTTGGAAAGGGAAATATCTTCCCGTAACAACTAGGCAGAAGCATTCTCAGAAACTTATTTGAGATGTGTGTACTCAACTAAGAGAATTGAACCACCGTTTTGAAGGAGCAGTTTTGAAACACTCTTTTTCTGGAATCTGCAAGAGGATATTTGCCTAGCCTTGAGGATTTCGTTGGAAACGGGATTGTCTTCAGATCAAATCTAGACAGAAGCATTCTCAGAAACTTCTTTGGGATGTTTGCATTCAAGTCACAGAGTAGAACATTCCCTTTGGTAGAGCAGGTTTGAAACACTCTTTTTTTAGTATATGGAAGTGGACATTTGGAGCGCATTCAGGCCTACGTTGGAAAAGGAAATATCTTCCCATAACAACTAGACAGAAGCATTCTCAGAAACTAGTTTCTGATGTGTGTCCTCAACTAACACAGTTGTACATTTCTTTAGACAGAACAGTTTTGAAACACTCTTTTTGTGGAATCTGCAAGTGGCTATTTGGCTAGATTTGAGGATTTCGTTGGAAACGGGATTACATATAAAAAGCAGTCAGCAGCATTCTCAGAAAGTTCTTTGTGATGATTGCATTCAAGTCACAGAATTGAACATTCCCTTTCACAGAGCAGGTTTGAAATACTCTTTTTTAGTGTGTGTAATTGGACATTTGGAGCACTTTCCGGCCTAAGGTGAAAAAGGAAATATCTTCCCATAAAAACTAGACAGAAGCATTCTCAGAAACTTACTCGTGATGTGTGTCCTCCACTAAATGAGTAGAACCTTTCTTTTCATAGAGAAGTTTTGAAACGCTCTTTTTGTAGAATCTGCAAGAGGATATTTGCATAGCTTTGAGGATTTCGTGGGAAACGGGATTGTCTTCAGGTAAAATCTAGACAGAAGCATTCTGAGAAACTTCTTTGGGATGTTTGCATTCAAGTCACAGAGTAGAACATTCCCTTTGGTAGAGCAGGTTTGAAACACTCATTTTGTATTATCTGGAAGTGGACATTTGGAGCGCTTTCAGGCCTATGTTGGAAAGGGAAATATCTTCCCGTAACAACTAGGCAGAAGCATTCTCAGAAACTTATTTGAGATGTGTGTACTCAACTAAGAGAATTGAACCACCGTTTTGAAGGAGCAGTTTTGAAACACTCTTTTTCTGGAATCTGCAAGAGTATATTTGCCTAGCCTTGAGGATTTCGTTGGAAACGGGATTGTCTTCAGAGAAAATCTAGACAGAAGCATTCTCAGAAACTTCTTTGGGATGTTTGCATTCAAGTCACAGAGTAGAACATTCCCTTTGGTAGAGCAGGTTTGAAACACTCTTTTTTTAGTATATGGAAGTGGACATTTGGAGCGCTTTCAGGCCTACGTTGGAAAAGGAAATATCTTCCCATAACAACTAGACAGAAGCATTCTCAGAAACTAGTTTCTGATGTGTGTCCTCAACTAACACAGTTGAACTTTTCTTTAGACAGAACAGTTTTGAAACACTCTTTTTGTGGAATCTGCAAGTGGCTATTTGGCTAGATTTGAGGATTTCGTTGGAAACGGGATTACATATAAAAAGCAGACAGCAGCATTCTCAGAAAGTTCTTTGTGATGACTGCATTCAAGTCACAGAATTGAACATTCCCTTTCACAGAGCAGGTTTGAAACACTCTTTTTGTAGTGTGTGTAAGTGGACATTTGGAGCGCTTTCCGGCCTAAGGTGAAAAAGGAAATATCTTCCCATAAAAACTAGACAGAAGCGTTCTCAGAAACTTACTCGTGATGTGTGTCCTCAACTAAAGGAGTAGAAGCTTTCTATTCATAGAGAAGTTTTGAAACGCTCTTTTTGTGGAATCTCCAAGTGGATATTTGGCTAGTTTTGAGGATTTCGTTGGAAGCGGGAATTCATACAAATTGCAGACTGCAGCGTTCTGAGAAACATCTTTGTGATGTTTGTATTCAGGACACAGAGATGAAAATTCCCTATCATAGAGCAGGTTGGAATCACTCCTTTTGTAGTATCTGGAAGTGGACATTTGGAGCGCTTTCAGGCCTATGTTGAAAAAGGAAATATCTTCCCATAACAACTAGACACAAGCATTCTCAGAAACTTGTTTGTGATGTGTGCCCTCTACTGACAGAGTTGAACCTTTCTTTTCATAGAGCAGTTTTGAAACACTCTTTTTGTAGAATCTGCAAGAGGATATTTGCATAGCTTTGAGGATTTCGTGGGAAACGGGATTGTCTTCAGGTAAAATCTAGACAGAAGCATTCTCAGAAACTTCTTTGGGATGTTTGCATTCAAGTCACAGAGTAGAACATTCCCTTTGGTAGAGCAGGTTTGAAACACTCTTTTTGTAGTATCTGGAAGTGGACATTTGGAGCGCTTTCAGGCCCATGTTGGAAAGGGAAATATCTTCCCGTAACAACTAGGCAGAAGCATTCTCAGAAACTTATTTGAGATGTGTGTACTCAACTAAGAGAATTGAACCACCGTTTTGAAGGAGCAGTTTTGAAACACTCTTTTTCTGGAATCTGCAAGAGTATATTTGCCTAGCCTTGAGGATTTCGTTGGAAACGGGATTGTCTTCAGAGAAAATCTAGACAGAAGCATTCTCAGAAACTTCTTTGGGATGTTTGCATTCAAGTCACAGAGTAGAACATTCCCTTTGGTAGAGCAGGTTTGAAACACTCTTTTTTTAGTATATGGAAGTGGACATTTGGAGCGCTTTCAGGCCTACGTTGGAAAAGGAAATATCTTCCCATAACAACTAGACAGAAGCATTCTCAGAAACTAGTTTCTGCTGTGTGTCCTCAACTAACACAGTTGAACATTTCTATAGACAAAACAGTTTTGAAACACTCTTTTTGTGGAATCTGCAAGTGGCTATTTGGCTAGATTTGAGGATTTCGTTGGAAACGGGATTACATATAAAAAGCAGTCAGCAGCATTCTCAGAAACTTCTTTGTGATGATTGCATTCAAGTCACAGAATTGAACATTCCCTTTCACAGAGCAGGTTTGAAACACTCTTTTTGTAGTGTGTGTAAGTGGACATTTGGAGCGCTTTCCGGCCTAAGGTGAACAAGGAAATATCTTCCCATAAAAACTAGACAGAAGCATTCTCAGAAACTTACTCGTGATGTGTGTCCTCAACTAAAGGAGTAGAACCTTTCTTTTCATAGAGAAGTTTTGAAACGCTCTTTTTGTGGAATCTGCAAGTGGATATTTGGCTAGTTTGGAGGATTTCGTTGGAAGCGGGAATTCATACAAGATGCAGACTGCAGCGTTCTGAGAAACATCTTTGTGATGTTTGTATTCAGGACACAGAGTTGAACATTCCCTATCATAGAGCAGGTTTGAATCACTCCTTTTGTAGTATCTGGAAGTGGACATTTGGAGCGCTTTCAGGCCTATGTTGGAAAAGGAAATATCTTCCCATAACAACTAGACAGAAGCATTCCCAGAAACTTATTTGAGATGTGTGTACTCAACTAAGAGAATTGAACCACCGTTTTGAGGGAGCAGTTTGGAAACACTCTTTTTCTGGAATCTGCAAGTGGATATTTGGCTAGCTTTGGGGATTTCGCTGGAAGCGGGAATACATATAAAAAGCACACAGCAGCGTTCTGAGAAACTGCTTTCTGATGTTTGCATTCAAGTCAAAAGTTGAACACTCCCTTTCATAGAGCAGTCTTGAAACACCCCTTTTGTAGTATCTGGAACTGGAAATTTGGAGCGCTTTCAGGGCTAAGGTGAAAAAGGAAATATCTTCCCATAAAAACTGGACAGAAGCATTCTCAGAAACTTGTTTATGCTGTATCTACTCAACTAACAAAGTTGAACCTTTCTTTTGATAGAGCAGTTTTGAAATGGTCTTTTTGTGGAATCTGCAAGTGGATATTTGGCTAGTTTTGAGGATTTCGTTGGAAGCGGGAATTCATACAAATTGCAGACTGCAGCGTTCTGAGAAACATCTTTGTGATGTTTGTATTCAGGACACAGAGTTGAACATTCCCTATCATAGAGCAGGTTGGAATCACTCCTTTTGTAGTATCTGGAAGTGGACATTTGGAGCGCTTTCAGGCCTATTTTGGAAAGGGAAATATCTTCCCGTAACAACTATGCAGAAGCATTCTCAGAAACTTGTTAGTGATGTGTGCCCTCTACTGACAGAGTTGAACCTTTCTTTTCATAGAGCAGTTTTGAAACACTCTTTTTGTAGAATCTGCAAGAGGATATTTGCATAGCTTTGAGGATTTCGTGGGAAACGGGATTGTCTTCAGGTAAAATCTAGACAGAAGCATTCTCAGAAACTTCTTTGGGATGTTTGCATTCAAGTCACAGAGTAGAACATTCCCTTTGGTAGAGCAGGTTTGAAACACTCTTTTTGTAGTATCTGGAAGTGGACATTTGGAGCGCTTTCAGGCCTATGTTGGAAAGGGAAATATCTTCCCGTAACAACTAGGCAGAAGCATTCTCAGAAACTTATTTGAGATGTGTGTACTCAACTAAGAGAATTGAACCACCGTTTTGAAGGAGCAGTTTTGAAACACTCTTTTTCTGGAATCTGCAAGAGGATATTTGCCTAGCCTTGAGGATTTCGTTGGAAACGGGATTGTCTTCAGATCAAATCTAGACAGAAGCATTCTCAGAAACTTCTTTGGGATGTTTGCATTCAAGTCACAGAGTAGAACATTCCCTTTGGTAGAGCAGGTTTGAAACACTCTTTTTTTAGTATATGGAAGTGGACATTTGGAGCGCTTTCAGGCCTACGTTGAAAAAGGAAATATCTTCCCATAACAACTAGACAGAAGCATTCTCAGCAACTAGTTTCTGATGTGTGTCCTCAACTAACACAGTTGAACATTTCTTTAGACAGAACAGTTTTGAAACACTCTTTTTGTGGAATCTGCAAGTGGCTATTTGGCTAGATTTGAGGATTTCGTTGGAAACGGGATTACATATAAAAAGCAGACAGCAGCATTCTCAGAAAGTTCTTTGTGATGATTGCATTCAAGTCACAGAATTGAACATTCCCTTTCACAGAGCAGGTTTGAAACACTCTTTTTGAAGTGTGTGTAAGTGGACATTTGGAGCACTTTCCCGCCTAAGGTGAAAAAGGAAATATCTTCCCATAAAAACTAGACAGAAGCATTCTCAGAAACTTACTCGTGATGTGTGTCCTCAACTAAAGGAGTAGAACCTTTCTATTCATAGAGAAGTTTTGAAACGCTCTTTTTGTGGAATCTCCAAGTGGATATTTGGCTAGTTTTGAGGATTTCCGTTGGAAGCGGGAATTCATACAAATTGCAGACTGCAGCGTTCTGAGAAACATCTTTGTGATGTTTGTATTCAAGACACAGAGATGAACATTCCCTATCATAGAGCAGGTTGGAATCACTCCTTTTGTAGTATCTGGAAGTGGACATTTGGAGCGCTTTCAGGCCTATGTTGAAAAAGGAAATATCTTCCCATAACAACTAGACACAAGCATTCTCAGAAACTTGTTTGTGATGTGTGCCCTCTACTGACAGAGTTGAACCTTTCTTTTCATAGAGCAGTTTTGAAACACTCTTTTTGTAGAATCTGCAAGAGGATATTTGCATAGCTTTGAGGATTTCGTGGGAAACGGGATTGCCTTCAGGTAAAATCTAGACAGAAGCATTCTCAGAAACTTCTTTGGGATGTTTGCATTCAAGTCACAGAGTAGAACATTCCCTTTGGTAGAGCAGGTTTGAAACCCTCCTTTTGTAGTATCTGGAAGTGGACATTTGGAGCGCTTTCAGGCCCATGTTGGAAAGGGAAATATCTTCCCGTAACAACTAGGCAGAAGCATTCTCAGAAACTTATTTGAGATGTGTGTACTCAACTAAGAGAATTGAACCACCGTTTTGAAGGCGCAGTTTTGAAACACTCTTTTTCTGGAATCTGCAAGAGTATATTTGCCTAGCCTTGAGGATTTCGTTGGAAACGGGATTGTCTTCAGATAAAATCTAGACAGAAGCATTCTCAGAAACTTCTTTGGGATGTTTGCATTCAAGTCACAGAGTAGAACATTCCCTTTGGTAGAGCAGATTTGAAACACTCTTTTTTTAGTATATGGAAGTGGACATTTGGAGCGCTTTCAGGCCTACGTTGGAAAAGGAAATATCTTCCCATAACAACTAAACAGAAGCATTCTCAGAAACTAGTTTCTGATGTGTGTCCTCAACTAACACAGTTGAACTTTTCTTTAGACAGAACAGTTTTGAAACACTCTTTTTGTGGAATCTGCAAGTGGCTATTTGGCTAGATTTGAGGATTTCGTTGGAAACGGGATTACATATAAAAAGCAGACAGCAGCATTCTCAGAAAGTTCTTTGTGATGACTGCATTCAAGTCACAGAATTGAACATTCCCTTTCACAGAGCAGGTTTGAAACACTCTTTTTGTAGTGTGTGTAAGTGGACATTTGGAGCGCTTTCCGGCCTAAGGTGAAAAAGGAAATATCTTCCCATAAAAACTAGACAGAAGCGTTCTCAGAAACTTACTCGAGATGTGTGTCCTCAACTAAAGGAGTAGAAGCTTTCTATTCATAGAGAAGTTTTGAAACGCTCTTTTTGTGGAATCTCCAAGTGGATATTTGGCTAGTTTTGAGGATTTCGTTGGAAGCGGGAATTCATACAAATTGCAGACTGCAGCGTTCTGAGAAACATCTTTGTGATGTTTGTATTCAGGACACAGAGATGAAAATTCCCTATCATAGAGCAGGTTGGAATCACTCCTTTTGTAGTATCTGGAAGTGGACATTTGGAGCGCTTTCAGGCCTATGTTGAAAAAGGAAATATCTTCCCATAACAACTAGACACAAGCATTCTCAGAAACTTATTTGAGATGTGTGTACTCAACTAAGAGAATTGAACCACCGTTTTGAAGGAGCAGTTTTGAAACACTCTTTTTCTGGAATCTGCAAGTGGATATTTGGCTAGCTTTGGGGATTTCGCTGGAAGCGGGAATACATATAAAAAGCACACAGCAGCGTTCTGAGAAACTGCTTTCTGATGTTTGCATTCAAGTCAAAAGTTGAACACTCCCTTTCATAGAGCAGTCTTGAAACACCCCTTTTGTAGTATCGGGAACTGGACATTTGGAGCGCTTTCAGGGCTAAGGTGAAAAAGGAAATATCTTCCCATAAAAACTGGACAGAAGCATTCTCAGAAACTTGTTTATGCTATATCTACTCAACTAACAAAGTTGAACCTTTCTTTTGATAGAGCAGTTTGAAATGCTCTTTTTGTGGAATCTGCAAGTGGATATTTGGCTAGGTTTGAGGATTTCGTTGGAAGCGGGAATTCATACAAATTGCAGACTGCAGCGTTCTGAGAAACGTCTTTGTGATGTTTGTATTCAGGACACAGAGTTGAACATTCCCTATCATCGAGCAGGTTGGAATCACTCCTTTTGTAGTATCTGGAAGTGGACATTTGGAGCGCTTTCAGGCCTATGTTGAAAAAGGAAATATCTTCCCATAACAACTAGACAGAAGCATTCTCAGAAACTTATTTGAGATGTGTGTACTCAACTAAGAGAATTGAACCACCGTTTTGAAGGAGCAGTTTTGAAACACTCTTTTTCTGGAATCTGCAAGTGGATATTTGGCTAGCTTTGGGGATTTCGCTGGAAGCGGGAATACATATAAAAAGCACACAGCAGCGTTCTGAGAAACTGCTTTCTGATGTTTGCATTCAAGTCAAAAGTTGAACACTCCCTTTCATAGAGCAGTCCTGAAACACTCCTTTTGTAGTATCTGGAACTGGACTTTTGGAGCGCTTTCAGGGCTAAGGTGAAAAAGGAAATATCTTCCCATAAAAACTGGACAGAAGCATTCTCAGAAACTTGTTTATGCTGTATCTACTCAACTAACAAAGTTGAACCTTTCTTTTGATAGAGCAGTTTTGAAATGCTCTTTTTGTGGAATCTGCAAGTGGATATTTGGCTAGTTTTGAGGATTTCGTTGGAAGCGGGAATTCATACAAATTGCAGACTGCAGCGTTCTGAGAAACATCTTTGTGATGTTTGTATTCAGGACACAGAGTTGAACATTCCCTATCATAGAGCAGGTTGGAATCACTCCTTTGTAGTATCTGGAAGTGGACATTTGGAACGCTTTCAGGCCTATGTTGAAAAAGGAAATATCTTCCCATAACAACTAGACACAAGCATTCTCAGCAAACTTGTTTGTGATGTGTGCCCTCTACTGACAGAGTTGAACCTTTCTTTTCATAGAGCAGTTTTGAAACACTCTTTTTGTAGAATCTGCAAGAGGATATTTGCATAGCTTTGAGGATTTCGTGGGAAACGGGATTGTCTTCAGGTAAAATCTAGACAGAAGCATTCTCAGAAACTTCTTTGGGATGTTTGCATTCAAGTCACAGAGTAGAACATTCCCTTTGGTAGAGCAGGTTTGAAACACTCTTTTTGTAGTATCTGGAAGTGGACATTTGGAGCGCTTTCAGGCCTATGTTGGAAAGGGAAATATCTTCCCGTAACAACTAGGCAGAAGCATTCTCAGAAACTTATTTGAGATGTGTGTACTCAACTAAGAGAATTGAACCACGGTTTTGAAGGAGCAGTTTTGAAACACTCTTTTTCTGGAATCTGCAAGAGGATATTTGCCTAGCCTTGAGGATTTCGTTGGAAACGGGATTGTCTTCAGATCAAATCTGGACAGAAGCATTCTCAGAAACTTCTTTGGGATGTTTGCATTCAAGTCACAGAGTAGAACATTCCCTTTGGTAGAGCAGGTTTGAAACACTCTTTTTTTAGTATATGGAAGTGGACATTTGGAGCGCTTTCAGGCCTACGTTGGAAAAGGAAATATCTTCCCATAACAACTAGACAGAAGCATTCTCAGAAACTAGTTTCTGATGTGTGTCCTCAACTAACACAGTTGAACATTTCTTTAGACAGAACAGTTTTGAAACACTCTTTTTGTGGTATCTGCAAGTGGCTATTTGGCTAGATTTGAGGATTTCGTTGGAAACGGGATTACATATAAAAAGCAGACAGCAGCATTCTCAGAAACTTCTTTGTGATGATTGAATTCAAGTCACAGTATTGAACATTCCCTTTCACAGAGCAGGTTTGAAACACTCTTTGTATAGTGTGTGTAAGTGGACATTTGGAGCACTTTCCGGCCTAAGGTGAAAAAGGAAATATCTTCCCATAAAAACTAGACAGAAGCATTCTCAGAAACTTACTCGTGATGTGTGTCCTCAACTAAAGGAGTAGAACCTTTCTTTTCATAGAGAAGTTTTGAAACGCTCTTTTTGTGGAATCTGCAAGTGGATATTTGGCTAGTTTTGAGGATTTCGTTGGAAGCGGGAATTCATACAAATTGCAGACTGCAGCGTTCTGAGAAACATCTTTGTGATGTTTGTATTCAGGACACAGAGTTGAACATTCCCTATCATAGAGCAGGTTTGAATCACTCCTTTTGTAGTATCTGGAAGTGGACATTTGGAGCGCTTTCAGGCCTATGTTGGAAAAGGAAATATCTTCCCATAACAACTAGACAGAAGCATTCTCAGAAACTTATTTGAGATGTGTGTACTCAACTAAGAGAATTGAACCACCGTTTTGAAGGAGCAGTTTTGAAACTCTCTTTTTCTGGAATCTGCAAGTGGATATTTGGCTAGCTTTGGGGATTTCGCTGGAAGCGGGAATACATATAAAAAGCACACAGCAGCGTTCTGAGAAACTGCTTTCTGATGTTTGCATTCAAGTCAAAAGTTGAACACTCCCTTTCATAGAGCAGTCTTGAAACACCCCTTTTGTAGTATCTGGAACTGGACTTTTGGAGCGATTTCAGGGCTAAGGTGAAAAAGGAAATATCTTCCCATAAAAACTGGACAGAAGCATTCTCAGAAACTTGTTTATGCTGTATCTACTCAACTAACAAAGTTGAACCTTTCTTTTGATAGAGCAGTTTTGAAATGGTCTTTTTGTGGAATCTGCAAGTGGATATTTGGCTAGTTTTGAGGATTTCGTTGGAAGCGGGAATTCATACAAATTGCAGACTGCAGCGTTCTGAGAAACATCTTTGTGATGTTTGTATTCAGGACACAGAGTTGAACATTCCCTATCATAGAGCAGGTTGGAATCACTCCTTTTGTAGTATCTGGAAGTGGACATTTGGAGCGCTTTCAGGCCTATTTTGGAAAGGGAAATATCTTCCCGTAACAACTATGCAGAAGCATTCTCAGAAACTTGTTTGTGATGTGTGCCCTCTACTGACAGAGTTGAACCTTTCTTTTCATAGAGCAGTTTTGAAACACTCTTTTTGTAGAATCTGCAAGAGGATATTTGCATAGCTTTGAGGATTTCGTGGGAAACGGGATTGTCTTCAGGTAAAATCTAGACAGAAGCATTCTCAGAAACTTCTTTGGGATGTTTGCATTCAAGTCACAGAGTAGAACATTCCCTTTGGTAGAGCAGGTTTGAAACACTCTTTTTGTAGTATCTGGAAGTGGACATTTGGAGCGCTTTCAGGCCCATGTTGGAAAGGGAAATATCTTCCCGTAACAACTAGGCAGAAGCATTCTCAGAAACTTATTTGAGATGTGTGTACTCAACTAAGAGAATTGAACCACCGTTTTGAAGGAGCAGTTTTGAAACACTCTTTTTCTGGAATCTGCAAGAGTATATTTGCCTAGCCTTGAGGATTTCGTTGGAAACGGGATTGTCTTCAGAGAAAATCTAGACAGAAGCATTCTCAGAAACTTCTTTGGGATGCTTGCATTCAAGTCACAGAGTAGAACATTCCCTTTAGTAGAGCAGGTTTGAAACACTCTTTTTGTAGTATCTGGAAGTGGACATTTGGAGCGCTTTCAGGCCTACGTTGGAAAAGGAAATATCTTCCCATAACAACTAGACAGAAGCATTCTCAGAAACTAGTTTCTGATGTGTGTCCTCAACTAACAGAGTTGAACATTTCTTTAGACAGAACAGTTTTGAAACACTCTTTTTGTGGAATCTGCAAGTGGCTATTTGGCTAGATTTGAGGATTTCGTTGGAAACGGGATTACATATAAAAAGCAGCCAGCAGCATTCTCAGAAAGTTCTTTGTGATGATTGCATTCAAGTCACAGAATTGAACATTCCCTTTCACAGAGCAGGTTTGAAACACTCTTTTTGTAGTGTGTGTAAGTGGACATTTGGAGCACTTACCGGCCTAAGGTGAAAAAGGAAATAATCTTCCCATAAAAACTAGACAGAAGCATTCTCAGAAACTTACTCGTGATGTGTGTCCTCAACTAAAGGAGTAGAACCTTTCTTTTCATAGAGAAGTTTTGAAACGCTCTTTTTGTGGAATCTGCAAGTGGATATTTGGCTAGTTTGGAGGATTTCGTTGGAAGCGGGAATTCATACAAATTGCAGACTGCAGCGTTCTGAGAAACATCTTTGTGATGTTTGTATTCAGGACACAGAGTTGAACATTCCCTATCATAGAGCAGGTTTGAATCACTCCTTTTCTAGTATCTGGAAGTGGACATTTGGAGCGCTTTCAGGCCTATGTTGGAAAAGGAAATATCTTCCCATAACAAATAGACAGAAGCATTCTCAGAAACTTATTTGAGATGTGTGTACTCAACTAAGAGAATTGAACCACCGTTTTGAAGGAGCAGTTTTGAAACACTCTTTTTCTGGAATCTGCAAGTGGATATTTGGCTAGCTTGGGGATTTCGCTGGAAGCGGGAATACATATAAAAAGCACACAGCAGCGTTCTGAGCAAACTGCTTTCTGATGTTTGCATTCAAGTCAAAAGTTGAACACTCCCTTTCATAGAGCAGTCTTGAAACACCCCTTTTGTAGTATCTGGAACTGGACTTTTGGAGCGATTTCAGGGCTAAGGTGAAAAAGGAAATATCTTCCCATAAAAACTGGACAGAAGCATTCTCAGAAACTTGTTTATGCTGTATCTACTCAACTAACAAAGTTGAACCTTTCTTTTGATAGAGCAGTTTTGAAATGGTCTTTTTGTGGAATCTGCAAGTGGATATTTGGCTAGTTTTGAGGATTTCGTTGGAAGCGGGAATTCATACAAATTGCAGACTGCAGCGTTCTGAGAAACATCTTTGTGATGTTTGTATTCAGGACACAGAGTTGAACATTCCCTATCATAGAGCAGGTTGGAATCACTCCTTTTGTAGTATCTGGAAGTGGACATTTGGAGCGCTTTCAGGCCTATTTTGGAAAGGGAAATATCTTCCCGTAACAACTATGCAGAAGCATTCTCAGAAACTTGTTTGTGATGTGTGCCCTCTACTGACAGAGTTGAACCTTTCTTTTCATAGAGCAGTTTTGAAACACTCTTTTTGTAGAATCTGCAAGAGGATATTTGCATAGCTTTGAGGATTTCGTGGGAAACGGGATTGTCTTCAGGTAAAATCTAGACAGAAGCATTCTCAGAAACTTCTTTGGGATGTTTGCATTCAAGTCACAGAGTAGAACATTCCCTTTGGTAGAGCAGGTTTGAAACACTCTTTTTGTAGTATCTGGAAGTGGACATTTGGAGCGCTTTCAGGCCCATGTTGGAAAGGGAAATATCTTCCCGTAACAACTAGGCAGAAGCATTCTCAGAAACTTATTTGAGATGTGTGTACTCAACTAAGAGAATTGAACCACCGTTTTGAAGGAGCAGTTTTGAAACACTCTTTTTCTGGAATCTGCAAGAGTATATTTGCCTAGCCTTGAGGATTTCGTTGGAAACGGGATTGTCTTCAGAGAAAATCTAGACAGAAGCATTCTCAGAAACTTCTTTGGGATGCTTGCATTCAAGTCACAGAGTAGAACATTCCCTTTGGTAGAGCAGGTTTGAAACACTCTTTTTGTAGTATCTGGAAGTGGACATTTGGAGCGCTTTCAGGCCTACGTTGGAAAAGGAAATATCTTCCCATAACAACTAGACAGAAGCATTCTCAGAAACTAGTTTCTGATGTGTGTCCTCAACTAACACAAGTTGAACATTTCTTTAGACAGAACAGTTTTGAAACACTCTTTTTGTGGAATCTGCAAGTGGCTATTTGGCTAGATTTGAGGATTTCGTTGGAAACGGGATTACATATAAAAAGCAGTCAGCAGCATTCTCAGAAAGTTCTTTGTGATGATTGCATTCAAGTCACAGAATTGAACATTCCCTTTCACAGAGCAGGTTTGAAACACTCTTTTTGTAGTGTGTGTAAGTGGACATTTGGAGCGCTTTCCGGCCTAAGGTGAAAAAGGAAATATCTTCCCATAAAAACTAGACAGAAGCATTCTCAGAAACTTACTCGTGATGTGTGTCCTCAACTAAAGGAGTAGAACCTTTCTTTTCATAGAGAAGTTTTGAAACGCTCTTTTTGTGGAATCTGCAAGTGGATATTTGGCTAGTTTTGAGGATTTCGTTGGAAGCGGGAATTCATACAAATTGCAGACTGCAGCGTTCTGAGAAACATCTTTGTGATGTTTGTATTCAGGACACAGAGTTGAACATTCCCTATCATAGAGCAGGTTGGAATCACTCCTTTTGTAGTATCTGGAAGTGGACATTTCTAGCGCTTTCAGGCATATGTTGAAAAAGGAAATATCTTCCCATAACAACTAGACAGAGGCATTCTCAGAAACTTGTTTGTGATGTGTGCCCTCTACTGACACAGTTGAACCTTTCTTTTCATAGAGCACTTTCGAAACACTCTTTTTGTAGAATTTGCAAGAGGATATTTGCATAGCTTTGAGGATTTCGTGGGAAACGGGATTGTCTTCAGGTAAAATCTAGACAGAAGCATTCTCAGAAACTTCTTTGGGATGTTTGCATTCAAGGCACAGAGTAGAACATTCCCTTTGGTAGAGCAGGTTTGAAACCCTCTTTTTGTAGTATCTGGAAGTGGACATTTGGAGAGCTTTCAGGCCCATGTTGGAAAGGGAAATATCTTCCCGTAACAACTAGGCAGAAGCATTCTCAGAAACTTATTTGAGATGTGTGTACTCAACTAAGAGAATTGAACCACCGTTTTGAAGGAGGAGTTTGGAAACACTCTTTTTCTGGAATCTGCAAGAGGATATTTGCCTAGCTTTGAGGATTTCGTTGGAAAAGGGATTGTCTTCAGATCAAATCTAGACAGAAGCATTCTCAGAAACTTCTTTGGGATGTTTGCATTCAAGTCACAGAGTAGAACATTCCTTTGGTAGAGCAGGTTTGAAACACTCTTTTTTTAGTATATGGAAGTGGACATTTGGAGCGCTTTCAGGCCTACGTTGGAAAAGGAAATATCTTCCCATAACAACTAGACAGAAGCATTCTCAGAAACTAGTTTCTGATGTGTGTCCTCAACTAACACAGTTGTACATTTCTTTAGACAGAACAGTTTTGAAACACTCTTTTTGTGGAATCTGCAAGTGGATATTTGGCTAGATTTGAGCATTTCGTTGGAAACGGGATTACATACAAAAAGCAGACAGCGGCATTCTCAGAAAGTTCTTTGTGATGATTGCATTCAAGTCACAGAATTGAACATTCCCTTTCACAGAGCAGGTTTGAAACACTCTTTTTGTAGTGTGTGTAAGCGGACATTTGGAGCGCTTTCCGGCCTAAGGTGAAAAAGGAAATATCTTCCCATAAAAACTAGACAGAAGCATTCTCAGAAACTTACTCGTGATGTGTGTACTCAAGTAAAGGAGTAGAAACTTTCTTTTCATAGAGAAGTTTTGAAACGCTCTTTTTGTGGAATCTGCAAGTGGATATTTGGCTAGTTTTGAGGATTTCGTTGGAAGCGGGAATTCATACAAATTGCAGACTGCAGCGTTCTGAGAAACATCTTTGTGATGTTTGTATTCAGGACACAGAGTTGAACATTCCCTATCATAGAGCAGGTTGGAATCACTCCTTTTGTAGTATCTGGAAGTGGACATTTGGAGCGCTTTCAGGCCTATGTTGGAAAAGGAAATATCTTCCCATAACAAATAGACAGAAGCATTCTCAGAAACTTATTTGAGATGTGTGTACTCAACTAAGAGAATTGAACCACCGTTTTGAAGGAGCAATTTTGAAACACTCTTTTTCTGGAATCTGCAAGTGGATATCTGGCTAGCTTTGGGGATTTCGCTGGAAGCGGGAATACATATAAAAAGCACACAGCAGCGTTCTGAGAAACTTCTTTCTGATGTTCGCATTCAAGTCAAAAGTTGAACACTCCCTTTCATAGAGCAGTCTTGAAACTCCCCTTTTGTGGTATCTGGAAGTGGACATTTGGAGTGCTTTCAGGGCTAAGGTGAAAAAGGAAATATCTTCCCATAAAAACTGGACAGAAGCATTCTCAGAAACTTGTTTATGCTGTATCTACTCAACTAACAAAGTTGAACCTTTCTTTTGATAGAGCAGTTTTGAAATGCTCTTTTTGTGGAGTCTGCAAGTGGATATTTGGTTAGTTTTGAGGATTTCTTTGGAAGCGGGAATTCATACAAATTGCAGACTGCAGCGTTCTGAGAAACATCTTTGTGATGTTTGTATTCAGGACACAGAGTTGAACATTCCCTATCATAGAGGAGGTTGGAATCACTCCTTTTGTAGTATCTGGAAGTGGACATTTGGAGCGCTTTCAGGCCTATGTTGAAAAAGGAAATATCTTCCCATAACAAGTAGACACAAGCATTCTCAGAAACTTGTTTGTGATGTGTGCCCTCTACTGACAGAGTTGAACCTTTCTTTTCATAGAGCAGTTTTGAAACACTCTTTTTGTAGAATCTGCAAGAGGATATTTGCATAGCTTTGAGGATTTCGTGGGAAACGGGATTGTCTTCAGGTAAAATCTAGACAGAAGCATTCTCAGAAACTTCTTTGGGATGTTTGCATTCAAGTCACAGAGCAGAACATTCCCTTTGGTAGAGCAGGTTTGAAACACTCTTTTTGTAGTATCTGGAAGTGGACATTTGGAGCGCTTTCAGGCCTATGTTGGAAAGGGAAATATCTTCCCATAACAACTAGGCAGAAGCATTCTCAGAAACTTATTTGAGATGTGTGTACTCAACTAAGAGAATTGAACCACCGTTTTGAAGGAGCAGTTTTGAAACACTCTTTTTCTGGAATCTGCAAGAGGATATTTGCCTAGCCTTGAGGATTTCGTTGGAAACGGGATTGTCTTCAGATCAAATCTAGACAGAAGCATTCTCAGAAACTTCTTTGGGATGTTTGCATTCAAGTCACAGAGTAGAACATTCCCTTTGGTAGAGCAGGTTTGAAACACTCTTTTTTTAGTATATGGAAGTGGACATTTGGAGCGCTTTCAGGCCTACGTTGGAAAAGGAAATATCTTCCCATAACAACTAGACAGAAGCATTCTCAGAAACTAGTTTCTGATGTGTGTCCTCAACTAACACAGTTGAACATTTCTTTAGACAGAACAGTTTTGAAACACTCTTTTTGTGGAATCTGCAAGTGGCTATTTGGCTAGATTTGAGGATTTCGTTGGAAACGGGATTACATATAAAAAGCAGACAGCAGCATTCTCAGAAAGTTCTTTGTGATGATTGCATTCAAGTCACAGAATTGAACATTCCCTTTCACAGAGCAGGTTTGAAACACTCTTTTTGTAGTGTGTGTAAGTGGACATTTGGAGCACTTTCCGGCCTAAGGTGAAAAAGGAAATATCTTCCCATAAAAACTAGACAGAAGCATTCTCAGAAACTTACTCGTGATGTGTGTCCTCAACTAAAGGAGTAGAACCTTTGTTTTCATAGAGAAGTTTGGAAACGTTCTTTTTGTGGAATCTGCAAGTGGATATTTGGCTAGTTTGGAGGATTTCGTTGGAAGCGGGAATTCATACAAATTGCAGACTGCAGCGTTCTGAGAAACATCTTTGTGATGTTTGTATTCAGGACACAGAGTTGAACATTCCCTATCATAGAGCAGGTTGGAATCACTCCTTTTGTAGTATCTGGAAGTGGACATTTGGAGCGCTTTCAGGCCTATGTTGGAAAAGGAAATATCTTCCCATAACAACTAGACAGAAGCATTCTCAGAAACTTATTTGAGATGTGTGTACTCAACTAAGAGAATTGAACCACCGTTTTGAAGGAGCAGTTTTGAAACACTCTTTTTCTGGAATCTGCAAGTGGATATTTGGCTAGCTTTGGGGATTTCGCTGGAAGCGGGAATACATATAAAAAGCACACAGCAGCGTTCTGAGAAACTGCTTTCTGATGTTTGCATTCAAGTCAAAAGTTGAACACTCCCTTTCATAGAGCAGTCTTGAAACACCCCTTTTGTAGTATCTGGAACTGGACTTTTGAAGCGCTTTCAGGGCTAAGGTGAAAAAGGAAATATCTTCCCATAAAAACTGGACAGAAGCATTCTCAGAAACTTGTTTATGCTGTATCTACTCAACTAACAAAGTTGAACCTTTCTTTTGATAGAGCAGTTTTGAAATGCTCTTTTTGTGGAATCTGCAAGTGGATATTTGGCTAGTTTTGAGGATTTCGCTGGAAGCGGGAATTCATACAAATTGCAGACTGCAGCGTTCTGAGAAACATCTTTGTGATGTTTGTATTCAGGACAGAGAGTTGAACATTCCCTATCATAGAGCAGGTTGGAATCACTCCTTTTGTAGTATCTGGAAGTGGACATTTGGAGCGCTTTCAGGCCTATGTTGAAAAAGGAAATATCTTCCCATAACAACTAGACACAAGCATTCTCAGAAACTTGTTTGTGATGTGTGCCCTCTACTGACAGAGTTGAACCTTTCTTTTCATAGAGCAGTTTTGAAACACTCTTTTTGTAGAATCTGCAAGAGGATATTTGCATAGCTTTGAGGATTTCGTGGGAAACGGGATTGTCTTCAGGTAAAATCTAGACAGAAGCATTCTCAGAAACTTCTTTGGGATGTTTGCATTCAAGTCACAGAGTAGAACATTCCCTTTGGTAGAGCAGGTTTGAAACACTCTTTTTGTAGTATCTGGAAGTGGACATTTGGAGCGCTTTCAGGCCCATGTTGGAAAGGGAAATATCTTCCCGTAACAACTAGGCAGAAGCATTCTCAGAAACTTATTTGAGATGTGTGTACTCAACTAAGAGAATTGAACCACCGTTTTGAAGGAGCAGTTTTGAAACACTCTTTTTCTGGAATCTGCAAGAGTATATTTGCCTAGCCTTGAGGATTTCGTTGGAAACGGGATTGTCTTCAGAGAAAATCTAGACAGAAGCATTCTCAGAAACTTCTTTGGGATGTTTGCATTCAAGTCACAGAGTAGAACATTCCCTTTGGTAGAGCAGGTTTGAAACACTCTTTTTTTAGTATATGGAAGTGGACATTTGGAGCGCTTTCAGGCCTACGTTGGAAAAGGAAATATCTTCCCATAACAACTAGACAGAAGCATTCTCAGAAACTAGTTTCTGATGTGTGTCCTCAACTAACACAGTTGAACATTTCTTTAGACAGAACAGTTTTGAAACACTCTTTTTGTGGAATCTGCAAGTGGCTATTTGGCTAGATTTGAGGATTTCGTTGGAAACGGGATTACATATAAAAAGCAGTCAGCAGCATTCTCAGAAAGTTCTTTGTGATGATTGCATTCAAGTCACAGAATTGAACATTCCCTTTCACAGAGCAGGTTTGAAACACTCTTTTTGTAGTGTGTGTAAGTGGACATTTGGAGCACTTACCGGCCTAAGGTGAAAAAGGAAATATCTTCCCATAAAAACTAGACAGAAGCATCCTCAGAAACTTACTCGTGATGTGTTTCCTCAACTAAAGGAGTAGAACCTTTCTATTCATAGAGAAGTTTTGAAACGCTCTTTTTGTGGAATCTCCAAGTGGATATTTGGCTAGTTTTGAGGATTTCGTTGGAAGCGGGAATTCATACAAATTGCAGACTGCAGCGTTCTGAGAAACATCTTTGTGATGTTTGTATTCAGGACACAGAGTTGAACATTCCCTATCATAGAGCAGGTTGGAATCACTCCTTTTGTAGTATCTGGAAGTGGACATTTGGAGCGCTTTCAGGCCTATGTTGGAAAAGGAAATATCTTCCCATAACAACTAGACAGAAGCATTCTCAGAAACTTATTTGAGATGTGTGTACTCAACTAAGAGAATTGAACCACCGTTTTGAAGGAGCAGTTTTGAAACTCTCTTTTTCTGGAATCTGCAAGTGGATATTTGGCTAGCTTTGGGGATTTCGCTGGAAGCGGGAATACATATAAAAAGCACACAGCCAGCGTTCTGAGAAACTGCTTTCTGATGTTTGCATTCAAGTCAAAAGTTGAACACTCCCTTTCATAGAGCAGTCTTGAAACACCCCTTTTGTAGTATCTGGAACTGGACTTTTGGAGCGATTTCAGGGCTAAGGTGAAAAAGGAAATATCTTCCCATAAAAACTGGACAGAGCATTCTCAGAAACTTGTTTATGCTGTATCTACTCAACTAACAAAGTTGAACCTTTCTTTTGATAGAGCAGTTTTGAAATGGTCTTTTTGTGGAATCTGCAAGTGGATATTTGGCTAGTTTTGAGGATTTCGTTGGAAGCGGGAATTCATACAAATTGCAGACTGCAGCGTTCTGAGAAACATCTTTGTGATGTTTTTATTCAGGACACAGAGTTGAACATTCCCTGTCCTAGAGCAGGTTGGAATCACTTCTTTTGTAGTATCTGGAAGTGGACATTTGGAGCGCTTTCAGGCCTATTTTGGAAAGGGAAATATCTTCCCATAACAACTATGCAGAAGCATTCTCAGAAACTTGTTTGTGATGTGTGCCCTCTACTGACAGAGTTGA
Source organism: Homo sapiens (assembly GCF_000001405.40). Lineage (NCBI taxonomy): Eukaryota > Metazoa > Chordata > Mammalia > Primates > Hominidae > Homo > Homo sapiens. The sequence continues at coordinate 17,258,501 of NC_000018.10, forward strand.
ACCTTTCTTTTCATAGAGCAGTTTTGAAACTCTCTTTTTGTAGAATCTGCAAGAGGATATTTGCATAGCTTTGAGGATTTCGTGGGAAACGGGATTGTCTTCAGGTAAAATCTAGACAGAAGCATTCTCAGAAACTTCTTTGGGATGTTTGCATTCAAGTCACAGAGTAGAACATTCCCTTTGGTAGAGCAGGTTTGAAACACTCTTTTTGTAGTATCTGGAAGTGGACATTTGGAGCGCTTTCAGGCCTATGTTGGAAAGGGAAATATCTTCCCGTAACAACTAGGCAGAAGCATTCTCAGAAACTTATTTGAGATGTGTGTACTCAACTAACAGAATTGAACCACCGTTTTGAAGGAGCAGTTTTGAAACACTCTTTTTCTGGAATCTGCAAGAGGATATTTGCCTAGCCTTGAGGATTTCGTTGGAAACGGGATTGTCTTCAGATCAAATCTAGACAGAAGCATTCTCAGAAACTTCTTTGGGATGTTTGCATTCAAGTCACAGAGTAGAACATTCCCTTTGGTAGAGCAGGTTTGAAACACTCTTTTTTTAGTATATGGAAGTGGACATTTGGAGCGCTTTCAGGCCTACGTTGGAAAAGGAAATATCTTCCCATAACAACTAGACAGAAGCATTCTCAGAAACTAGTTTCTGATGTGTGTCCTCAACTAACACAGTTGAACATTTCTTTAGACAGAACAGTTTTGAAACACTCTTTTTGTGGAATCTGCAAGTGGCTATTTTGCTAGATTTGAGGATTTCGTTGGAAACGGGATTACATATAAAAAGCAGACAGCAGCATTCTCAGAAAGTTCTTTGTGATGATTGCATTCAAGTCACAGAATTGAACATTCCCTTTCACAGAGCAGGTTTGAAACACTCTTTTTGTAGTGTGTGTAAGTGGACATTTGGAGCACTTTCCGGCCTAAGGTGAACAAGGAAATATCTTCCCATAAAAACTAGACAGAAGCATTCTCAGAAACTTACTCGTGATGTGTGTCCTCAACTAAAGGAGTAGAACCTTTCTTTTCATAGAGAAGTTTTGAAACGCTCTTTTTGTGGAATCTGCAAGTGGATATTTGGCTAGTTTTGAGGATTTCGTTGGAAGCGGGAATTCATACAAATTGCAGACTGCAGCGTTCTGAGAAACATCTTTGTGATGTTTGTATTCAGGACACAGAGTTGAACATTCCCTATCATAGAGCAGGTTGGAATCACTCCTTTTGTAGTATCTGGAAGTGGACATTTGGAGCGCTTTCAGGCCTATGTTGGAAAAGGAAATATCTTCCCATAACAACTAGACAGAAGCATTCTCAGAAACTTCTTTGAGATGTGTGTACTCAACTAAGAGAATTGAACCACCGTTTTGAAGGAGCAGTTTTGAAACACTCTTTTTCTGGAATCTGCAAGTGGATATTTGGCTGGCTTTGGGGATTTCGCTGGAAGCGGGAATACATATAAAAAGCACACAGCAGCGTTCTGAGAAACTGCTTTCTGATGTTTGCATTCAAGTCAAAAGTTGAACACTCCCTTTCATAGAGCAGTCCTGAAACACTCCTTTTGTAGTATCTGGAACTGGACTTTTGGAGCGCTTTCAGGGCTAAGGTGAAAAAGGAAATATCTTCCCATAAAAACTGGACAGAAGCATTCTCAGAAACTTGTTTATGCTGTATCTACTCAACTAACAAAGTTGAACCTTTCTTTTGATAGAGCAGTTTTGAAATGCTCTTTTTGTGGAATCTGCAAGTGGATATTTGGCTAGTTTGGAGGATTTCGTTGGAAGCGGGAATTCATACAAATTGCAGACTGCAGCGTTCTGAGAAACATCTTTGTGATGTTTGTATTCAGGACAGAGAGTTGAACATTCCCTATCATAGAGCAGGTTGGAATCACTCCTTTTGTAGTATCTGGAAGTGGACATTTGGAGCGCTTTCTGGCCTATGTTGAAAAAGGAAATATCTTCCCATAACAACTAGACACAAGCATTCTCAGAAACTTGTTTGTGATGTGTGCCCTCTACTGACAGAGTTGAACCTTTCTTTTCATAGAGCAGTTTTGAAACACTCTTTTTGTAGAATCTGCAAGAGGATATTTGCATAGCTTTGAGGATTTCGTGGGAAACGGGATTGTCTTCAGGTAAAATCTAGACAGAAGCATTCTCAGAAACTTCTTTGGGATGTTTGCATTCAAGTCACAGAGTAGAACATTCCCTTTGGTAGAGCAGGTTTGAAACACTCTTTTTGTAGTATCTGGAAGTGGACATTTGGAGCGCTTTCAGGCCTATGTTGGAAAGGGAAATATCTTCCGGTAACAACTAGGCAGAAGCATTCTCAGAAACTTATTTGAGATGTGTGTACTCAACTAAGAGAATTGAACCACCGTTTTGAAGGAGCAGTTTTGAAACACTCTTTTTCTGGAATCTGCAAGAGGATATTTGCCTAGCTTTGAGGATTTCGTTGGAAACGGGATTGTGTTCAGATCAAATCTAGACAGAAGCATTCTCAGAAACTTCTTTGGGATGTTTGCATTCAAGTCACAGAGTAGAACATTCCCTTTGGTAGAGCAGGTGTGAAACACTCTTTTTTTAGTATATGGAAGTGGACATTTGGAGCGCTTTCAGGCCTACGTTGGAAAACGAAATATCTTCCCATAACAACTAGACAGAAGCATTCTCAGAAACTAGTTTCTGATGTGTGTCCTCAACTAACACAGTTGAACATTTCTTTAGACAGAACAGTTTTGAAACTCTCTTTTTGTGGAATCTGCAAGTGGCTATTTGGCTAGATTTGAGGATTTCGTTGGAAACGGGATTACATATAAAAAGCAGACAGCAGCATTCTCAGAAAGTTCTTTGTGATGATTGCATTCAAGTCACAGAATTGAACATTCCCTTTCACAGAGCAGGTTTGAAACACTCTTTTTGTAGTGTGTGTAAGTGGACATTTGGAGCACTTTCCGGCCTAAGGTGAGAAAGGAAATATCTTCCCATAAAAACTAGACAGAAGCATTCTCAGAAACTTACTCGTGATGTGTGTCCTCAACTAAAGGAGTAGAACCTTTCTTTCATAGAGAAGTTTTGAAACGCTCTTTTTGTGGAATCTGCAAGTGGATATTTGGCTAGTTTGGAGGATTTCGTTGGAAGCGGGAATTCATACAAATTGCAGACTGCAGCGTTCTGAGAAACATCTTTGTGATGTTTGTATTCAGGACACAGAGTTGAACATTCCCTATCATAGAGCAGGTTGGAATCACTCCTTTTGTAGTATCTGGAAGTGGACATTTGGAGCGCTTTCAGGCCCTATGTTGGAAAAGGAAATATCTTCCCATAACAACTAGACAGAAGCATTCTCAGAAACTTATTTGAGATGTGTGTACTCAACTAAGAGAATTGAACCACCGTTTTGAAGGAGCAGTTTTGAAACACTCTTTTTCTGGAATCTGCAAGTGGATATTTGGCTAGCTTTGGGGATTTCGCTGGAAGCGGGAATACATATAAAAAGCACACAGCAGCGTTCTGAGAAACTGCTTTCTGATGTTTGCATTCAAGTCAAAAGTTGAACACTCCCTTTCATAGTGCAGTCCTGAAACACTTCTTTTGTAGTATCTGGAACTGGACTTTTGGAGCGCTTTCAGGGCTAAGGTGAAAAAGGAAATATCTTCCCATAAAAACTGGACAGAAGCATTCTCAGAAACTTGTTTAAGCTGTATCTACTCAACTAACAAAGTTGAAACTTTCTTTTGATAGAGCAGTTTTGAAATGCTCTTTTTGTGGAATCTGCAAGTGGATATTTGGCTAGTTTTGAGGATTTCGTTGGAAGCGGGAATTCATACAAATTTCAGACTGCAGCGTTCTGAGAAACATCTTTGTGATGTTTGTATTCAAGACACAGAGATGAACATTCCCTATCATAGAGCAGGTTGGAATCACTCCTTTTGTAGTATCTGGAAGTGGACATTTGGAGCGCTTTCAGGCCTATGTTGAAAAAGGAAATATCTTCCCATAACAACTAGACACAAGCATTCTCAGAAACTTGTTTGTGATGTGTGCCCTCTACTGACAGAGTTGAACCTTTCTTTTCATAGAGCAGTTTTGAAACACTCTTTTTGTAGAATCCGCAAGAGGATATTTGCATAGCTTGGAGGATTTCGTGGGAAACGGGATTGTCTTCAGGTAAAATCTAGACAGAAAGCATTCTCAGAAACTTCTTTGGGATGTTTGCATTCAAGTCACAGAGTAGAACATTCCCTTTGGTAGAGCAGGTTTGAAACACTCTTTTTGTAGTATCTGGAAGTGGACATTTGGAGCGCTTTCAGGCCCATGTTGGAAAGGGAAATATCTTCCCGTAACAACTAGGCAGAGCATTCTCAGAAACTTATTTGAGATGTGTGTACTCAACTAAGAGAATTGAACCACCGTTTTGAAGGAGCAGTTTTGAAACACTCTTTTTCTGGAATCTGCAAGAGTATATTTGCCTAGCCTTGAGGATTTCGTTGGAAACGGGATTGTCTTCAGAGAAAATCTAGACAGAAGCATTCTCAGAAACTTCTTTGGGATGTTTGCATTCAAGTCACAGAGTAGAACATTCCCTTTGGTAGAGCAGGTTTGAAACACTCTTTTTGTAGTATCTGGAAGTGGACATTTGGAGCGCTTTCAGGCCTACGTTGGAAAAGGAAATATCTTCCCATAACAACTAGACAGAAGCATTCTCAGAAACTAGTTTCTGATGTGTGTCCTCAACTAACACAGTTGAACATTTCTTTAGACAGAACAGTTTTGAAACACTCTTTTTGTGGAATCTGCAAGTGGCTATTTGGCTAGATTTGAGGATTTCGTTGGAAACGGGATTACATATAAAAAGCAGTCAGCAGCATTCTCAGAAAGTTCTTTGTGATGATTGCATTCAAGTCACAGAATTGAACATTCCCTTTCACAGAGCAGGTTTGAAACACTCTTTTTGTAGTGTGTGTAAGTGGACATTTGGAGCACTTACCGGCCTAAGGTGAAAAAGGAAATATCTTCCCATAAAAACTAGACAGAAGCATTCTCAGAAACTTACTCGTGATGTGTGTCCTCAACTAAAGGAGTAGAACCTTTCTTTTCATAGAGAAGTTTTGAAACGCTCTTTTTGTGGAATCTGCAAGTGGATATTTGGCTAGTTTTGAGGATTTCGTTGGAAGCGGGAATTCATACAAATTGCAGACTGCAGCGTTCTGAGAAACATCTTTGTGATGTTTGTTTTCAGGACACAGAGTTGAACATTCCCTATCATAGAGCAGGTTTGAATCACTCCTTTTGTAGTATCTGGAAGTGGACATTTGGAGCGCTTTCAGGCCTATGTTGGAAAAGGAAATATCTTCCCATAACAACTAGACAGAAGCATTCTCAGAAACTTATTTGAGATGTGTCTACTCAACTAAGAGAATTGAACCACCGTTTTGAAGGAGCAGTTTTGAAACACTCTTTTTCTGGAATCTGCAAGTGGATATTTGGCTAGCTTTGGGGATTTCGCTGGAAGCGGGAATACATATAAAAAGCACACAGCAGCGTTCTGAGAAACTGCTTTCTGATGTTTGCATTCAAGTCAAAAGTTGAACACTCCCTTTCATAGAGCAGTCTTGAAACACCCCTTTTGTAGTATCTGGAACTGGACTTTTGGAGCGATTTTAGGGCTAAGGTGAAAAAGGAAATATCTTCCCATAAAAACTGGACAGAAGCATTCTCAGAAACTTGTTTATGCTGTATCTACTCAACTAACAAAGTTGAACCTTTCTTTTGATAGAGCAGTTTTGAAATGGTCTTTTTGTGGAATCTGCAAGTGGATATTTGGCTAGTTTTGAGGATTTCGTTGGAAGCGGGAATTCATACAAATTGCAGACTGCAGCGTTCTGAGAAACATCTTTGTGATGTTTGTATTCAGGACACAGAGTTGAACATTCCCTATCATAGAGCAGGTTGGAATCACTCCTTTTGTAGTATCTGGAAGTGGACATTTGGAGCGCTTTCAGGCCTATTTTGGAAAGGGAAATATCTTCCCGTAACAACTATGCAGAAGCATTCTCAGAAACTTGTTTGTGATGTGTGCCCTCTACTGACAGAGTTGAACCTTTCTTTTCATAGAGCAGTTTTGAAACACTCTTTTTGTAGAATCTGCAAGAGGATATTTGCATAGCTTTGAGGATTTCGTGGGAAACGGGATTGTCTTCAGGTAAAATCTAGACAGAAGCATTCTCAGAAACTTCTTTGGGATGTTTGCATTCAAGTCACAGAGTAGAACATTCCCTTTGGTAGAGCAGGTTTGAAACACTCTTTTTGTAGTATCTGGAAGTGGACATTTGGAGCGCTTTCAGGCCCATGTTGGAAAGGGAAATATCTTCCCGTAACAACTAGGCAGAAGCATTCTCAGAAACTTATTTGAGATGTGTGTACTCAACTAAGAGAATTGAACCACCGTTTTGAAGGAGCAGTTTTGAAACACTCTTTTTCTGGAATCTGCAAGAGTATATTTGCCTAGCCTTGAGGATTTCGTTGGAAACGGGATTGTCTCAGAGAAAATCTAGACAGAAGCATTCTCAGAAACTTCTTTGGGATGTTTGCATTCAAGTCACAGAGTAGAACATTCACTTTGGTAGAGCAGGTTTGAAACACTCTTTTTGTAGTGTGTGTAAGTGGACATTTGGAGCGCTTTCAGGCCTACGTTGGAAAAGGAAATATCTTCCCATAACAACTAGACAGAAGCATTCTCAGAAACTAGTTTCTGATGTGTGTCCTCAACTAACACAGTTGAACATTTCTTTAGACAGAACAGTTTTGAAACACTCTTTTTGTGGAATCTGCAAGTGGATATTTGGCTAGATTTGAGGATTTCGTTGGAAACGGGATTACATATAAAAAGCAGACAGCAGCATTCTCAGAAACTTCTTTGTGATGATTGCATTCAAGTCACAGAATTGAACATTCCCTTTCACAGAGCAGGTTTGAAACACTCTTTTTGTAGTGTGTGTAAGTGGACATTTGGAGCGCTTTCCGGCCTAAGGTGAAAAAGGAAATATCTTCCCATAAAAACTAGACAGAAGCATTCTCAGAAACTTACTCGTGATGTGTGTCCTCAACTAAAGGAGTAGAACCTTTCTTTTCATAGAGAAGTTTTGAAACGCTCTTTTTGTGGAATCTGCAAGTGGATATTTGGCTAGTTTTGAGGATTTCGTTGGAAGCGGGAATTCATACAAATTGCAGACTGCAGCGTTCTGAGAAACATCTTTGTGATGTTTGTATTCAGGACACAGAGTTGAACATTCCCTATCATAGAGCAGGTTTGAATCACTCCTTTTGTAGTATCTGGAAGTGGACATTTGGAGCGCTTTCAGGCCTATGTTGGAAAAGGAAATATCTTCCCATAACAACTAGACAGAAGCATTCTCAGAAACTTATTTGAGATGTGTGTACTCAACTAAGAGAATTGAACCACCGTTTTGAAGGAGCAGTTTTGAAACTCTCTTTTTCTGGAATCTGCAAGTGGATATTTGGCTAGCTTTGGGGATTTCGCTGGAAGCGGGAATACATATAAAAAGCACACAGCAGCGTTCTGAGAAACTGCTTTCTGATGTTTGCATTCAAGTCAAAAGTTGAACACTCCCTTTCATAGAGCAGTCCTGAAACACCCCTTTTGTAGTATCTGGAACTGGACTTTTGGAGCGATTTCAGGGCTAAGGTGAAAAAGGAAATATCTTCCCATAAAAACTGGACAGAAGCATTCTCAGAAACTTGTTTATGCTGTATCTACTCAACTAACAAAGTTGAACCTTTCTTTTGATAGAGCAGTTTTGAAATGGTCTTTTTGTGGAATCTGCAAGTGGATATTTGGCTAGTTTTGAGGATTTCGTTGGAAGCGGGAATTCATACAAATTGCAGACTGCAGCGTTCTGAGAAACATCTTTGTGATGTTTGTATTCAGGACACAGAGTTGAACATTCCCTATCATAGAGCAGGTTGGAATCACTCCTTTTGTAGTATCTGGAAGTGGACATTTGGAGCGCTTTCAGGCCTATTTTGGAAAGGGAAATATCTTCCCGTAACAACTATGCAGAAGCATTCTCAGAAACTTGTTTGTGATGTGTGCCCTCTACTGACAGAGTTGAACCTTTCTTTTCATAGAGCAGTTTTGAAACACTCTTTTTGTAGAATCTGCAAGAGGATATTTGCATAGCTTTGAGGATTTCGTGGGAAACGGGATTGTCTTCAGGTAAAATCTAGACAGAAGCATTCTCAGAAACTTCTTTGGGATGTTTGCATTCAAGTCACAGAGTAGAACATTCCCTTTGGTAGAGCAGGTTTGAAACACTCTTTTTGTAGTATCTGGAAGTGGACATTTGGAGCGCTTTCAGGCCCATGTTGGAAAGGGAAATATCTTCCCGTAACAACTAGGCAGAAGCATTCTCAGAAACTTATTTGAGATGTGTGTACTCAACTAAGAGAATTGAACCACCGTTTTGAAGGAGCAGTTTTGAAACACTCTTTTTCTGGAATCTGCAAGAGTATATTTGCCTAGCCTTGAGGATTTCGTTGGAAACGGGATTGTCTTCAGAGAAAATCTAGACAGAAGCATTCTCAGAAACTTCTTTGGGATGTTTGCATTCAAGTCACAGAGTAGAACATTCCCTTTGGTAGAGCAGGTTTGAAACACTCTTTTTGTAGTATCTGGAAGTGGACATTTGGAGCGCTTTCAGGCCTACGTTGGAAAAGGAAATATCTTCCCATAACAACTAGACAGAAGCATTCTCAGAAACTAGTTTCTGATGTGTGTCCTCAACTAACACAGTTGAACATTTCTTTAGACAGAACAGTTTTGAAACACTCTTTTTGTGGAATCTGCAAGTGGCTATTTGGCTAGATTTGAGGATTTCGTTGGAAACGGGATTACATATAAAAAGCAGTCAGCAGCATTCTCAGAAAGTTCTTTGTGATGATTGCATTCAAGTCACAGAATTGAACATTCCCTTTCACAGAGCAGGTTTGAAACACTCTTTTTGTAGTGTGTGTAAGTGGACATTTGGAGCACTTACCGGCCTAAGGTGAAAAAGGAAATATCTTCCCATAAAAACTAGACAGAAGCATTCTCAGAAACTTACTCGTGATGTGTGTCCTCAACTAAAGGAGTAGAACCTTTCTTTTCATAGAGAAGTTTTGAAACGCTCTTTTTGTGGAATCTGCAAGTGGATATTTGGCTAGTTTTGAGGATTTCGTTGGAAGCGGGAATTCATACAAATTGCAGACTGCAGCGTTCTGAGAAACATCTTTGTGATGTTTGTATTCAGGACACAGAGTTGAACATTCCCTATCATAGAGCAGGTTTGAATCACTCCTTTTGTAGTATCTGGAAGTGGACATTTGGAGCGCTTTCAGGCCTATGTTGGAAAAGGAAATATCTTCCCATAACAACTAGACAGAAGCATTCTCAGAAACTTATTTGAGATGTGTGTACTCAACTAAGAGAATTGAACCACCGTTTTGAAGGAGCAGTTTTGAAACTCTCTTTTTCTGGAATCTGCAAGTGGATATTTGGCTAGCTTTGGGGATTTCGCTGGAAGCGGGAATACATATAAAAAGCACACAGCAGCGTTCTGAGAAACTGCTTTCTGATGTTTGCATTCAAGTCAAAAGTTGAACACTCCCTTTCATAGAGCAGTCCTGAAACACCCCTTTGGTAGTATCTGGAACTGGACTTTTGGAGCGATTTCAGGGCTAAGGTGAAAAAGGAAATATCTTCCCATAAAAACTGGACAGAAGCATTCTCAGAAACTTGTTTATGCTGTATCTACTCAACTAACAAAGTTGAACCTTTCTTTTGATAGAGCAGTTTTGAAATGGTCTTTTTGTGGAATCTGCAAGTGGATATTTGGCTAGTTTTGAGGATTTCGTTGGAAGCGGGAATTCATACAAATTGCAGACTGCAGCGTTCTGAGAAACATCTTTGTGATGTTTGTATTCAGGACACAGAGTTGAACATTCCCTATCATAGAGCAGGTTGGAATCACTCCTTTTGTAGTATCTGGAAGTGGACATTTGGAGCGCTTTCAGGCCTATTTTGGAAAGGGAAATATCTTCCCGTAACAACTATGCAGAAGCATTCTCAGAAACTTGTTTGTGATGTGTGCCCTCTACTGACAGAGTTGAACCTTTCTTTTCATAGAGCAGTTTTGAAACACTCTTTTTGTAGAATCTGCAAGAGGATATTTGCATAGCTTTGAGGATTTCGTGGGAAACGGGATTGTCTTCAGGTAAAATCTAGACAGAAGCGTTCTCAGAAACTTCTTTGGGATGTTTGCATTCAAGTCACAGAGTAGAACATTCCCTTTGGTAGAGCAGGTTTGAAACACTCTTTTTGTAGTATCTGGAAGTGGACATTTGGAGCGCTTTCAGGCCCATGTTGGAAAGGGAAATATCTTCCCGTAACAACTAGGCAGAAGCATTCTCAGAAACTTATTTGAGATGTGTGTACTCAACTAAGAGAATTGAACCACCGTTTTGAAGGCGCAGTTTTGAAACACTCTTTTTCTGGAATCTGCAAGAGTATATTTGCCTAGCCTTGAGGATTTCGTTGGAAACGGGATTGTCTTCAGAGAAAATCTAGACAGAAGCATTCTCAGAAACTTCTTTGGGATGCTTGCATTCAAGTCACAGAGTAGAACATTCCCTTTGGTAGAGCAGGTTTGAAACACTCTTTTTGTAGTATCTGGAAGTGGACATTTGGAGCGCTTTCAGGCCTACGTTGGAAAAGGAAATATCTTCCCATAACAACTAGACAGAAGCATTCTCAGAAACTAGTTTCTGATGTGTGTCCTCAACTAACACAGTTGAACATTTCTTTAGACAGAACAGTTTTGAAACACTCTTTTTGTGGAATCTGCAAGTGGCTATTTGGCTAGATTTGAGGATTTCGTTGGAAACGGGATTACATATAAAAAGCAGCCAGCGGCATTCTCAGAAAGTTCTTTGTGATGATTGCATTCAAGTCACAGAATTGAACATTCCCTTTCACAGAGCAGGTTTGAAACACTCTTTTTGTAGTGTGTGTAAGTGGACATTTGGAGCACTTACCGGCCTAAGGTGAAAAAGGAAATAATCTTCCCATAAAAACTAGACAGAAGCATTCTCAGAAACTTACTCGTGATGTGTGTCCTCAACTAAAGGAGTAGAACCTTTCTTTTCATAGAGAAGTTTTGAAACGCTCTTTTTGTGGAATCTGCAAGTGGATATTTGGCTAGTTTTGAGGATTTCGTTGGAAGCGGGAATTCATACAAATTGCAGACTGCAGCGTTCTGAGAAACAACTTTGTGATGTTTGTATTCAGGACACAGAGTTGAACATTCCCTATCATAGAGCAGGTTTGAATCACTCCTTTTGTAGTATCTGGAAGTGGACATTTGGAGCGCTTTCAGGCCTATGTTGGAAAAGGAAATATCTTCCCATAACAACTAGACAGAAGCATTCTCAGAAACTTATTTGAGATGTGTGTACTCAACTAAGAGAATTGAACCACCGTTTTGAAGGAGCAGTTTTGAAACTCTCTTTTTCTGGAATCTGCAAGTGGATATTTGGCTAGCTTTGGGGATTTCGCTGGAAGCGGGAATACATATAAAAAGCACACAGCAGCGTTCTGAGAAACTGCTTTCTGATGTTTGCATTCAAGTCAAAAGTTGAACACTCCCTTTCATAGAGCAGTCCTGAAACACCCCTTTTGTAGTATCTGGAACTGGACTTTTGGAGCGATTTCAGGGCTAAGGTGAAAAAGGAAATATCTTCCCATAAAAACTGGACAGAAGCATTCTCAGAAACTTGTTTATGCTGTATCTACTCAACTAACAAAGTTGAACCTTTCTTTTGATAGAGCAGTTTTGAAATGGTCTTTTTGTGGAATCTGCAAGTGGATATTTGGCTAGTTTTGAGGATTTCGTTGGAAGCGGGAATTCATACAAATTGCAGACTGCAGCGTTCTGAGAAACATCTTTGTGATGTTTGTATTCAGGACACAGAGTTGAACATTCCCTATCATAGAGCAGGTTGGAATCACTCCTTTTGTAGTATCTGGAAGTGGACATTTGGAGCGCTTTCAGGCCTATTTTGGAAAGGGAAATATCTTCCCGTAACAACTATGCAGAAGCATTCTCAGAAACTTGTTTGTGATGTGTGCCCTCTACTGACAGAGTTGAACCTTTCTTTTCATAGAGCAGTTTTGAAACACTCTTTTTGTAGAATCTGCAAGAGGATATTTGCATAGCTTTGAGGATTTCGTGGGAAACGGGATTGTCTTCAGGTAAAATCTAGACAGAAGCATTCTCAGAAAACTTCTTTGGGATGTTTGCATTCAAGTCACAGAGTAGAACATTCCCTTTGGTAGAGTAGGTTTGAAACACTCTTTTTGTAGTATCTGGAAGTGGACATTTGGAGCGCTTTCAGGCCCATGTTGGAAAGGGAAATATCTTCCCGTAACAACTAGGCAGAAGCATTCTCAGAAACTTATTTGAGATGTGTGTACTCAACTAAGAGAATTGAACCACCGTTTTGAAGGAGCAGTTTTGAAACACTCTTTTTCTGGAATCTGCAAGAGTATATTTGCCTAGCCTTGAGGATTTCGTTGGAAACGGGATTGTCTTCAGAGAAAATCTAGACAGAAGTATTCTCAGAAACTTCTTTGGGATGTTTGCATTCAAGTCACAGAGTAGAACATTCCCTTTGGTAGAGCAGGTTTGAAACACTCTTTTTGTAGTATCTGGAAGTGGACATTTGGAGCGCTTTCAGGCCTACGTTGGAAAAGGAAATATCTTCCCATAACAACTAGACAGAAGCATTCTCAGAAACTAGTTTCTGATGTGTGTCCTCAACTAACACAGTTGAACATTTCTTTAGACAGAACAGTTTTGAAACACTCTTTTTGTGGAATCTGCAAGTGGCTATTTGGCTAGATTTGAGGATTTCGTTGGAAACGGGATTACATATAAAAAGCAGTCAGCAGCATTCTCAGAAAGTTCTTTGTGATGATTGCATTCAAGTCACAGAATTGAACATTCCCTTTCACAGAGCAGGTTTGAAACACTCTTTTTGTAGTGTGTGTAAGTGGACATTTGGAGCACTTACCGGCCTAAGGTGAAAAAGGAAATATCTTCCCATAAAAACTAGACAGAAGCATTCTCAGAAACTTACTCGTGATGTGTGTCCTCAACTAAAGGAGTAGAACCTTTCTTTTCATAGAGAAGTTTTGAAACGCTCTTTTTGTGGAATCTGCAAGTGGATATTTGGCTAGTTTTGAGGATTTCGTTGGAAGCGGGAATTCATACAAATTGCAGACTGCAGCGTTCTGAGAAACATCTTTGTGATGTTTGTATTCAGGACACAGAGTTGAACATTCCCTATCATAGAGCAGGTTTGAATCACTCCTTTTGTAGTATCTGGAAGTGGACATTTGGAGCGCTTTCAGGCCTATGTTGGAAAAGGAAATATCTTCCCATAACAACTAGACAGAAGCATTCTCAGAAACTTATTTGAGATGTGTGTACTCAACTAAGAGAATTGAACCACCGTTTTGAAGGAGCAGTTTTGAAACACTCTTTTTCTGGAATCTGCAAGTGGATATTTGGCTAGCTTTGGGGATTTCGCTGGAAGCGGGAATACATATAAAAAGCACACAGCAGCGTTCTGAGAAACTGCTTTCTGATGTTTGCATTCAAGTCAAAAGTTGAACACTCCCTTTCATAGTGCAGTCCTGAAACACTCCTTTTGTAGTATCTGGAACTGGACTTTTGGAGCGCTTTCAGGGCTAAGGTGAAAAAGGAAATATCTTCCCATAAAAACTGGACAGAAGCATTCTCAGAAACTTGTTTATGATGTATCTACTCAACTAACAAAGTTGAACCTTTCTTTTGATAGAGCAGTTTTGAAATGCTCTTTTTGTGGAATCTGCAAGTGGATATTTGGCTAGTTTTGAGGATTTCGTTGGAAGCGGGAATTCATACAAATTGCAGACTGCAGCGTTATGAGAAACATCTTTGTGATGTTTGTATTCAGGACACAGAGATGAACATTCCCTATCAGAGCAGGTTGGAATCACTCCTTTTGTAGTATCTGGAAGTGGACATTTGGAGCGCTTTCAGGCCTATGTTGAAAAAGGAAATATCTTCCCATAACAACTAGACACAAGCATTCTCAGAAACTTGTTTGTGATGTGTGCCCTCTACTGACAGAGTTGAACCTTTCTTTTCATAGAGCAGTTTTGAAACACTCTTTTTGTAGAATCTGCAAGAGGATATTTGCATAGCTTTGAGGATTTCGTGGGAAACGGGATTGTCTTCAGGTAAAATCTAGACAGAAGCATTCTCAGAAACTTCTTCGGGATGTTTGCATTCAAGTCACAGAGTAGAACATTCCCTTTGGTAGAGCAGGTTTCAAACACTCTTTTTGTAGTATCTGGAAGTGGACATTTGGAGCGCTTTCAGGCCTATGTTGGAAAGGGAAATATCTTCCCGTAACAACTAGGCAGAAGCATTCTCAGAAACTTATTTGAGATGTGTGTACTCAACTAAGAGAATTGAACCACCGTTTTGAAGGAGCAGTTTTGAAACACTCTTTTTCTGGAATCTGCAAGAGTATATTTGCCTAGCCTTGAGGATTTCGTTGGAAACGGGATTGTCTTCAGAGAAAATCTAGACAGAAGCATTCTCAGAAACTTCTTTGGGATGTTTGCATTCAAGTCACAGAGTAGAACATTCCCTTTGGTAGAGCAGGTTTGAAACACTCTTTTTGTAGTATCTGGAAGTGGACATTTGGAGCGCTTTCAGGCCTACGTTGGAAAAGGAAATATCTTCCCATAACAACTAGACAGAAGCATTCTCAGAAACTAGTTTCTGATGTGTGTCCTCAACTAACACAGTTGAACATTTCTTTAGACAGAACAGTTTTGAAACACTCTTTTTGTGGAATCTGCAAGTGGCTATTTGGCTAGATTTGAGGATTTCGTTGGAAACGGGATTACATATAAAAAGCAGTCAGCAGCATTCTCAGAAAGTTCTTTGTGATGATTGCATTCAAGTCACAGAATTGAACATTCCCTTTCACAGAGCAGGTTTGAAACACTCTTTTTGTAGTGTGTGTAAGTGGACATTTGGAGCACTTACCGGCCTAAGGTGAAAAAGGAAATATCTTCCCATAAAAACTAGACAGAAGCATTCTCAGAAACTTACTCGTGATGTGTGTCCTCAACTAAAGGAGTAGAACCTTTCTTTTCATAGAGAAGTTTTGAAACGCTCTTTTTGTGGAATCTGCAAGTGGATATTTGGCTAGTTTTGAGGATTTCGTTGGAAGCGGGAATTCATACAAATTGCAGACTGCAGCGTTCTGAGAAACATCTTTGTGATGTTTGTATTCAGGACACAGAGTTGAACATTCCCTATCATAGAGCAGGTTTGAATCACTCCTTTTGTAGTATCTGGAAGTGGACATTTGGAGCGCTTTCAGGCCTATGTTGGAAAAGGAAATATCTTCCCATAACAACTAGACAGAAGCATTCTCAGAAACTTATTTGAGATGTGTGTACTCAACTTAGAGAATTGAACCACCGTTTTGAAGGAGCAGTTTTGAAACACTCTTTTTCTGGAATCTGCAAGTGGATATTTGGCTAGCTTTGGGGATTTCGCTGGAAGCGGGAATACATATAAAAAGCACACAGCAGCGTTCTGAGAAACTGCTTTCTGATGTTTGCATTCAAGTCAAAAGTTGAACACTCCCTTTCATAGAGCAGTCCTGAAACACTCCTTTTGTAGTATCTGGAACTGGACTTTTGGAGCGCTTTCAGGGCTAAGGTGAAAAAGGAAATATCTTCCCATAAAAACTGGACAGAAGCATTCTCAGAAACTTGTTTATGCTGTATCTACTCAACTAACAAAGTTGAACCTTTCTTTTGATAGAGCAGTTTTGAAATGCTCTTTTTGTGGAATCTGCAAGTGGATATTTGGCTAGTTTTGAGGATTTCGTTGGAAGCGGGAATTCATACAAATTGCAGACTGCAGCGTTCTGAGTAAACATCTTTGTGATGTTTGTATTCAGGACACAGAGATGAACATTCCCTATCATAGAGCAGGTTGGAATCACTCCTTTTGTAGTATCTGGAAGTGGACATTTGGAGCGCTTTCAGGCCTATGTTGATAAAGGAAATATCTTCCCATAACAACTAGACACAAGCATTCTCAGAAACTTGTTTGTGATGTGTGCCCTCTACTGACAGAGTTGAACCTTTCTTTTCATAGAGCAGTTTTGAAACACTCTTTTTGTAGAATCTGCAAGAGGATATTTGCATAGCTTTGAGGATTTCGTGGGAAACGGGATTGTCTTCAGGTAAAATCTAGACAGAAGCATTCTCAGAAACTTCTTTGGGATGTTTGCATTCAAGTCACAGAGTAGAACATTCCCTTTGGTAGAGCAGGTTTGAAACCCTCTTTTTGTAGTATCTGGAAGTGGACATTTGGAGCGCTTTCAGGCCCATGTTGGAAAGGGAAATATCTTCCCGTAACAACTAGGCAGAAGCATTCTCAGAAACTTATTTGAGATGTGTGTACTCAACTAAGAGAATTGAACCACCGTTTTGAAGGAGCAGTTTTGAAACACTCTTTTTCTGGAATCTGCAAGAGTATATTTGCCTAGCCTTGAGGATTTCGTTGGAAACGGGATTGTCTTCAGATAAAATCTAGACAGAAGCATTCTCAGAAACTTCTTTGGGATGTTTGCATTCAAGTCACAGAGTAGAACATTCCCTTTGGTAGAGCAGGTTTGAAACACTCTTTTTTTAGTATATGGAAGTGGACATTTGGAGCGCTTTCAGGCCTACGTTGGAAAAGGAAATATCTTCCCATAACAACTAGACAGAAGCATTCTCAGAAACTAGTTTCTGATGTGTGTCCTCAACTAACACAGTTGTACATTTCTTTAGACAGAACAGTTTTGAAACACTCTTTTTGTGGAATCTGCAAGTGGATATTGGGCTAGATTTGAGGATTTCGTTGGAAACGGGATTACATATAAAAAGCAGTCAGCAGCATTCTCAGAAAGTTCTTTGTGATGATTGCATTCAAGTCAGATAATTGAACATTCCCCTTCACAGAGCAGGTTTGAAACACTCTTTTTGTAGTGTGTGTAAGTGGACATTTGGAGCGCTTTCTGGCCTAAGGTGAAAAAGGACATATCTTCCCATAAAAACTAGACAGAAGCATTCTCAGAAACTTACTCGTGATGTGTTTCCTCAACTAAAGGAGTAGAACCTTTCTATTCATAGAGAAGTTTTGAAATGCTCTTTTTGTGGAATCTCCAAGTGGATATTTGGCTAGTTTTGAGGATTTCGTTGGAAGCGGGAATTCATACAAATTGCAGACTGCAGCGTTCTGAGAAACATCTTTGTGATGTTTGTATTCAGGACACAGAGATGAACATTCCCTATCATAGAGCAGGTTGGAATCACTCCTTTTGTAGTATCTGGAAGTGGACATTTGGAGCGCTTTCAGGCCTATGTTGAAAAAGGAAATATCTTCCCGTAACAACTAGACACAAGCATTCTCAGAAACTTGTTTGTGATGTGTGCCCTCTACTGACAGAGTTGAACCTTTCTTTTCATAGAGCAGTTTTGAAACACTCTTTTTGTAGAATCTGCAAGAGGATATTTGCATAGCTTTGAGGATTTAGTGGGAAACGGGATTGTCTTCAGGTAAAATCTAGACAGAAGCATTCTCAGAAACTTCTTTGGGATGTTTGCATTCAAGTCACAGAGTAGAACATTCCCTTTGGTAGAGCAGGTTTGAAACCCTCTTTTTGTAGTATCTGGAAGTGGACATTCGGAGCGCTATCAGGCCCATGTTGGAAAGGGAAATATCTTCCCATAACAACTAGGCAGAAGCATTCTCAGAAACTTATTTGAGATGTGTGTACTCAACTAAGAGAATTGAACCACCGTTTTGAAGGAGCAGTTTTGAAACACTCTTTTTCTGGAATCTGCAAGAGTATATTTGCCTAGCCTTGAGGATTTCGTTGGAAACGGGATTGTCTTCAGATCAAATCTAGACAGAAGCATTCTCAGAAACTTCTTTGGGATGTTTGCATTCAAGTCACAGAGTAGAACATTCCCTTTGGTAGAGCAGGTTTGAAACACTCTTTTTTTAGTATATGGAAGTGGACATTTGGAGCGCTTTCAGGCCTACGTTGGAAAAGGAAATATCTTCCCATAACAACTAGACAGAAGCATTCTCAGAAACTAGTTTCTGATGTGTGTCCTCAACTAACACAGTTGAACTTTTCTTTAGACAGAACAGTTTTGAAACACTCTTTTTGTGGAATCTGCAAGTGGATATTGGGCTAGATTTGAGGATTTCGTTGGAAACGGGATTACATATAAAAAGCAGACAGCAGCATTCTCAGAAAGTTCTTTGTGATGATTGCATTCAAGTCACAGAATTGAACATTCCCTTTCACAGAGCAGGTTTGAAACACTCTTTTTGTAGTGTGTGTAAGTGGACATTTGGAGCGCTTTCCGGCCTAAGGTGAAAAAGGAAATATCTTCCCATAAAAACTAGACAGAAGAATTCTCAGAAACTTACTCGTGATGTGTGTCCTCAACTAAAGGAGTAGAACCTTTCTATTCATAGAGGAGTTTTGAAATGCTCTTTTTGTGGAATCTCCAAGTGGATATTTGGCTAGTTTTGAGGATTTCGTTGGAAGCGGGAATTCATACAAATTGCAGACTGCAGCGTTCTGAGAAACATCTTTGTGATGTTTGTATTCAGGACACAGAGATGAACATTCCCTATCATAGAGCAGGTTGGAATCACTCCTTTTGTAGTATCTGGAAGTGGACATTTGGAGCGCTTTCAGGCCTATGTTGAAAAAGGAAATATCTTCCCATAACAACTAGACACAAGCATTCTCAGAAACTTGTTTGTGATGTGTGCCCTCTACTGACAGAGTTGAACCTTTCTTTTCATAGAGCAGTTTTGAAACACTCTTTTATAGAATCCGCAAGAGGATATTTGCATAGCTTTGAGGATTTCGTGGGAAACGGGATTGTCTTCAGGTAAAATCTAGACAGAAGCATTCTCAGAAACTTCTTTGGGATGTTTGCATTCAAGTCACAGAGTAGAACATTCCCTTTGGTAGAGCAGGTTTGAAACACTCTTTTTGTAGTATCTGGAAGTGGACATTTGGAGCGCTTTCAGGCCTATGTTGGAAAGGGAAATATCTTCCCGTAACAACTAGGCAGAAGCATTCTCAGAAACTTATTTGAGATGTGTGTACTCAACTAAGAGAATTGAATCACCGTTTTGAAGGAGCAGTTTTGAAACACTCTTTTTCTGGAATCTGCAAGAGGATATTTGCCTAGCCTTGAGGATTTCGTTGGAAACGGGATTGTCTTCAGATCAAATCTAGACAGAAGCATTCTCAGAAACTTCTTTGGGATGTTTGCATTCAAGTCACAGAGTAGAACATTCCCTTTGGTAGAGCAGGTTTGAAACACTCTTTTTTTAGTATATGGAAGTGGACATTTGGAGCGCTTTCAGGCCTACGTTGGAAAAGGAAATATCTTCCCATAACAACTAGACAGAAGCATTCTCAGAAACTAGTTTCTGATGTGTGTCCTCAACTAACACAGTTGAACATTTCTTTAGACAGAACAGTTTTGAAACACTCTTTTTGTGGAATCTGCAAGTGGCTATTTGGCTAGATTTGAGGATTTCGTTGGAAACGGGATTACATATAAAAAGCAGACAGCAGCATTCTCAGAAAGTTCTTTGTGATGATTGCATTCAAGTCACAGAATTGAACATTCCCTTTCACAGAGCAGGTTTGAAACACTCTTTTTGTAGTGTGTGTAAGTGGACATTTGGAGCACTTTCCGGCCTAAGGTGAAAAAGGAAATATCTTCCCATAAAAACTAGACAGAAGCATTCTCAGAAACTTACTCGTGATGTGTGTCCTCAACTAAAGGAGTAGAACCTTCCTTTTCATAGAGAAGTTTTGAAACACTCTTTTTGTGGAATCTGCAAGTGGATATTTGGCTAGTTTTGAGGATTTCGTTGGAAGCGGGAATTCATACAAATTGCAGACTGCAGCGTTCTGAGAAACATCTTTGTGATGTTTGTATTCAGGACACAGAGTTGAACATTCCCTATCATAGAGCAGGTTTGAATCACTCCTTTTGTAGTATCTGTAAGTGGACATTTGGAGCGCTTTCAGGCCTATGTTGGAAAAGGAAATATCTTCCCATAACAACTAGACAGAAGCATTCTCAGAAACTTATTTGAGATGTGTGTACTCAACTAAGAGAATTGAACCACCGTTTTGAAGGAGCAGTTTTGAAACACTCTTTTTCTGGAATCTGCAAGTGGATATTTGGCTAGCTTTGGGGATTTCGCTGGAAGCGGGAATACATATAAAAAGCACACAGCAGCGTTCTGAGAAACTGCTTTCTGATGTTTGCATTCAAGTCAAAAGTTGAACACTCCCTTTCATAGAGCAGTCTTGAAACACCCCTTTTGTAGTATCTGGAACTGGACTTTTGGAGCGCTTTCAGGGCTAAGGTGAAAAAGGAAATATCTTCCCATAAAAACTGGACAGAAGCATTCTCAGAAACTTGTTTATGCTGTATCTACTCAACTAACAAAGTTGAACCTTTCTTTTGATAGAGCAGTTTTGAAATGCTCTTTTTGTGGAATCTGCAAGTGGATATTTGGCTAGTTTTGAGGATTTCGCTGGAAGCGGGAATTCATACAAATTGCAGACTGCAGCGTTCTGAGAAACATCTTTGTGATGTTTGTATTCAGGACAGAGAGTTGAACATTCCCTATCATAGAGCAGGTTGGAATCACTCCTTTTATAGTATCTGGAAGTGGACATTTGGAGCGCTTTCAGGCCTATGTTGAAAAAGGAAATATCTTCCCATAACAACTAGACACAAACATTCTCAGAAACTTATTTGAGATGTGTGTACTCAACTAAGAATTGAACCACCGTTTTGAAGGAGCAGTTTTGAAACACTCTTTTTCTGGAATCTGCAAGTGGATATTTGGCTAGCTTTGGGGATTTCGCTGGAAGCGGGAATACATATAAAAAGCACACAGCAGCGTTATGAGAAACTTCTTTCTGATGTTCGCATTCAAGTCAAAATTTGAACACTCCCTTTCGTAGAGCAGTCTTGAAACTCCCCTTTTGTGGTATCTGGAAGTGGACATTTGGAGTGCTTTCAGGGCTAGGGTGAAAAAGGAAATATCTTCCCATAAAAACTGGACAGAAGCATTCTCAGAAACTTGTTTATGCTGTATCTACTCAGCTAACAAAGTTGAACCTTTCTTTTGATAGAGCAGTTTTGAAATGCTCTTTTTGTGGAGTCTGCAAGTGGATATTTGGTTAGTTTTGAGGATTTCTTTGGAAGCGGGAATTCATACAAATTGCAGACTGCAGCGTTCTGAGAAACATCTTTGTGATGTTTGTATTCAGGACACAGAGTTGAACATTCCCTATCATAGAGCAGGTTGGAATCACTCCTTTTGTAGTATCTGGAAGTGGACATTTGGAGCGCTTTCAGGCCTATGTTGAAAAGGAAATATCTTCCCATAACAAGTAGACACAAGCATTCTCAGAAACTTATTTGAGATGTGTGTACTCAACTAAGAGAATTGAACCACCGTTTTGAAGGAGCAGTTTTGAAACTCTCTTTTTCTGGAATCTGCAAGTGGATATTTGGCTAGCTTTGGGGATTTCGCTGGAAGCGGGAATACATATAAAAAGCACACAGCAGCGTTCTGAGAAACTGCTTTCTGATGTTTGCATTCAAGTCAAAAGTTGAACACTCCCTTTCATAGAGCAGTCTTGAAACACCCCTTTTGTAGTATCTGGAACTGGACTTTTGGAGCGATTTCAGGGCTAAGGTGAAAAAGGAAATATCTTCCCATAAAAACTGGACAGAAGCATTCTCAGAAACTTGGTTATGCTGTATCTACTCAACTAACAAAGTTGAACCTTTCTTTTGATAGAGCAGTTTTGAAATGGTCTTTTTGTGGAATCTGCAAGTGGATATTTGGCTAGTTTTGAGGATTTCGTTGGAAGCGGGAATTCATACAATTTGCAGACTGCAGCGTTCTGAGAAACATCTTTGTGATGTTTGTATTCAGGACACAGAGTTGAACGTTCCCTATAATAGAGCAGGTTGGAATCACTCCTTTTGTAGTATCTGGAAGTGGACATTTGGAGCGCTTTCAGGCCTATGTTGAAAAAGGAAATATCTTCCCATAACAACTAGACAGAAGCATTCTCAGAAACTTGTTGGTGATGTGTTTCCTCTACTGACAGAGTTGAACCTTTCTTTTCATAGAGCAGTTTCGAAACACTCTTTTTGTAGAATCTGCAAGAGGATATTTGCATAGCTCTGAGGATTTCGTGGGAAACGGGATTGTCTTCAGGTAAAATCTAGACAGAAGCATTCTCAGAAACTTCTTCGGGATGTTTGCATTCAAGTCACAGAGTAGAACATTCCCTTTGGTAGAGCAGGTTTGAAACACTCTTTTTGTAGTATCTGGAAGTGGACATTTGTTGCGCTTTCAGGCCTATGTTGGAAACGGAAATATCTTCCCGTAACAACTAGGCAGAAGCATTCTCAGAAACTTATTTGAGATATGTGTACTCAACTAAGAGAATTGAACCACCGTTTTGAAGGAGCAGTTTGGAAACACTCTTTTTCTGGAATCTGCAAGAGGATATTTGCCTAGCTTTGAGGATTTCGTTGGAAAAGGGATTGTCTTCAGATCAAATCTAGACAGAAGCATTCTCAGAAACTTCTTTGGGATGTTTGCATTCAAGTCACAGAGTAGAACATTCCTTTGGTAGAGTAGGTTTGAAACACTCTTTTTTTAGTATATGGAAGTGCACATTTGGAGCGCTTTCAGGCCTACGTTGGAAAAGGAAATATCTTCCCATAACAACTAGACAGAAGCATTCTCAGAAACTAGTTTCTGATGTGTGTCCTCAACTAACACAGTTGAACATTTCTTTAGACAGAACAGTTTTGAAACACTCTTTTTGTGGAATCTGCAAGTGGCTATTTGGCTAGATTTGAGGATTTCGTTGGAAACGGGATTACATATAAAAAGCAGACAGCAGCATTCTCAGAAACTTCTTTGTGATGATTGCATTCAAGTCACAGAATTGAACATTCCCTTTCACAGAGCAGGTTTGAAACACTCTTTTTGTAGTGTGTGTAAGTGGACATTTGGAGCGCTTTCCGGCCTAAGGTGAACAAGGAAATATCTTCCCATAAAAACTAGACAGAAGCATTCTCAGAAACTTACTCATGATGTGTGTCCTCAACTAAAGGAGTAGAACCTTTCTTTTCATAGAGAAGTTTTGAAACGCTCTTTTTGTGGAATCTGCAAGTGGATATTTGGCTAGTTTGGAGGATTTCGTTGGAAGCGGGAATTCATACAAGATGCAGACTGCAGCGTTCTGAGAAACATCTTTGTGATGTTTGTATTCAGGACACAGAGTTGAACATTCCCTATCATAGAGCAGGTTTGAATCACTCCTTTTGTAGTATCTGGAAGTGGACATTTGGAGCGCTTTCAGGCCTATGTTGGAAAAGGAAATATCTTCCCATAACAACTAGACAGAAGCATTCCCAGAAACTTATTTGAGATGTGTGTACTCAACTAAGAGAATTGAACCACCGTTTTGAAGGAGCAGTTTGGAAACACTCTTTTTCTGGAATCTGCAAGTGGATATTTGGCTAGCTTTGGGGATTTCGCTGGAAGCGGGAATACATATAAAAAGCACACAGCAGCGTTCTGAGAAACTGCTTTCTGATGTTTGCATTCAAGTCAAAAGTTGAACACTCCCTTTCATAGAGCAGTCTTGAAACACCCCTTTTGTAGTATCTGGAACTGGAAATTTGGAGCGCTTTCAGGGCTAAGGTGAAAAAGGAAATATCTTCCCATAAAAACTGGACAGAAGCATTCTCAGAAACTTGTTTATGCTGTATCTACTCAACTAACAAAGTTGAACCTTTCTTTTGATAGAGCAGTTTTGAAATGCTCTTTTTGTGGAATCTGCAAGTGGATATTTGGCTAGTTTTGAGGATTTCGCTGGAAGCGGGAATTCATACAAATTGCAGACTGCAGCGTTCTGAGAAACATCTTTGTGATGTTTGTATTCAGGACAGAGAGTTGAACATTCCCTATCATAGAGCAGGTTGGAATCACTCCTTTTGTAGTATCTGGAAGTGGACATTTGGAGCGCTTTCAGCCTATGTTGAAAAAGGAAATATCTTCCCATAACAACTAGACACAAGCATTCTCAGAAACTTATTTGAGATGTGTGTACTCAACTAAGAGAATTGAACCACCGTTTTGAAGGAGCAGTTTTGAAACACTCTTTTTCTGGAATCTGCAAGTGGATATTTGGCTAGCTTTGGGGATTTCGCTGGAAGCGGGAATACATATAAAAAGCACACAGCAGCGTTCTGAGAAACTGCTTTCTGATGTTTGCATTCAAGTCAAAAGTTGAACACTCCCTTTCATAGAGCAGTCCTGAAACACCCCTTTTGTAGTATCTGGAACTGGACTTTTGGAGCGATTTCAGGGCTAAGGTGAAAAAGGAAATATCTTCCCATAAAAACTGGACAGAAGCATTCTCAGAAACTTGTTTATGCTGTATCTACTCAACTAACAAAGTTGAACCTTTCTTTTGATAGAGCAGTTTTGAAATGGTCTTTTTGTGGAATCTGCAAGTGGATATTTGGCTAGTTTTGAGGATTTCGTTGGAAGCGGGAATTCATACAAATTGCAGACTGCAGCGTTCTGAGAAACATCTTTGTGATGTTTGTATTCAGGACACAGAGTTGAACATTCCCTATCATAGAGCAGGTTGGAATCACTCCTTTTGTAGTATCTGGAAGTGGACATTTGGAGCGCTTTCAGGCCTATTTTGGAAAGGGAAATATCTTCCCGTAACAACTATGCAGAAGCATTCTCAGAAACTTGTTTGTGATGTGTGCCCTCTACTGACAGAGTTGAACCTTTCTTTTCATAGAGCAGTTTTGAAACACTCTTTTTGTAGAATCTGCAAGAGGATATTTGCATAGCTTTGAGGATTTCGTGGGAAACGGGATTGTCTTCAGGTAAAATCTAGACAGAAGCATTCTCAGAAACTTCTTTGGGATGTTTGCATTCAAGTCACAGAGTAGAACATTCCCTTTGGTAGAGCAGGTTTGAAACACTCTTTTTGTAGTATCTGGAAGTGGAC
Source organism: Homo sapiens (assembly GCF_000001405.40). Classification (NCBI taxonomy): domain Eukaryota; kingdom Metazoa; phylum Chordata; class Mammalia; order Primates; family Hominidae; genus Homo; species Homo sapiens. The sequence continues at coordinate 17,283,819 of NC_000018.10, forward strand.
ATTTGGAGCGCTTTCAGGCCCATGTTGGAAAGGGAAATATCTTCCCGTAACAACTAGGCAGAAGCATTCTCAGAAACTTATTTGAGATGTGTGTACTCAACTAAGAGAATTGAACCACCGTTTTGAAGGAGCAGTTTTGAAACACTCTTTTTCTGGAATCTGCAAGAGTATATTTGCCTAGCCTTGAGGATTTCGTTGGAAACGGGATTGTCTTCAGAGAAAATCTAGACAGAAGCATTCTCAGAAACTTCTTTGGGATGTTTGCATTCAAGTCACAGAGTAGAACATTCCCTTTGGTAGAGCAGGTTTGAAACACTCTTTTTTTAGTATATGGAAGTGGACATTTGGAGCGCTTTCAGGCCTACGTTGGAAAAGGAAATATCTTCCCATAACAACTAGACAGAAGCATTCTCAGAAACTAGTTTCTGATGTGTGTCCTCAACTAACACAGTTGAACTTTTCTTTAGACAGAACAGTTCTGAAACACTCTTTTTGTGGAATCTGCAAGTGGATATTTGGCTAGATTTGAGGATTTCGGTGGAAACGGGATTACATATAAAAAGCAGTCAGCAGCATTCTCAGAAACTTCTTTGTGATGATTGCATTCAAGTCACAGAATTGAACATTCCCTTTCACAGAGCAGGTTTGAAACACCCTTTTTGTAGTGTGTGTAAGTGGACATTTGGAGCGCTTTCCGGCCTAAGGTGAACAAGGAAATATCTTCCCATAAAAACTAGACAGAAGCATTCTCAGAAACTTACTCGTGATGTGTGTCCTCAACTAAAGGAGTAGAACCTTTCTTTTCATAGAGAAGTTTTGAAACGCTCTTTTTGTGGAATCTGCAAGTGGATATTTGGCTAGTTTTGAGGATTTCGTTGGAAGCGGGAATTCATACAAATTGCAGACTGCAGCGTTCTGAGAAACATCTTTGTGATGTTTGTATTCAGGACACAGAGTTGAACATTCCCTATCATAGATCAGGTTTGAATCACTCCTTTTGTAGTATCTGGAAGTGGACATTTGGAGCACTTTCAGGCCAATGTTGGAAAAGGAAATATCTTCCCATAACAACTAGACAGAAGCATTCCCAGAAACTTATTTGAGATGTGTGTACTCAACTAAGAGAATTGAACCACCGTTTTGAAGGAGCAGTTTGGAAACACTCTTTTTCTGGAATCTGCAAGTGGATATTTGGCTAGCTTTGGGGATTTCGCTGGAAGCGGGAATACATATAAAAAGCACACAGCAGCGTTCTGAGAAACTGCTTTCTGATGTTTGCATTCAAGTCAAAAGTTGAACACTCCCTTTCATAGAGCAGTCTTGAAACACCCCTTTTGTAGTATCTGGAACTGGAAATTTGGAGCGCTTTCAGGGCTAAGGTGAAAAAGGAAATATCTTCCCATAAAAACTGGACAGAAGCATTCTCAGAAACTTGTTTATGCTGTATCTGCTCAACTAACAAAGTTGAACCTTTCTTTTGATAGAGCAGTTTTGAAATGCTCTTTTTGTGGAATCTGCAAGTGGATATTTGGCTAGTTTTGAGGATTTCGTTGGAAGCGGGAATTCGTACAAATTGCAGACTGCAGCGTTCTGAGAAACATCTTTGTGATGTTTGTATTCAGGACACAGAGTTGAACATTCCCTATCATAGAGCAGGTTGGGATCACTCCTTTTGTAGTATCTGGAAGTGGACATTTGGAGCGCTTTCAGGCCTATGTTGAAAAAGGAAAAATCTTCCCATAACAACTAGACAGAAGCATTCTCAGAAACTTGTTGGTGATGTGTTTCCTCTACTGACAGAGTTGAACCTTTCTTTTCATAGAGCAGTTCCGAAACACTCTTTTTGTAGAATCTGCAAGAGGATATTTGCATAGCTCTGAGGATTTCGTGGGAAACGGGATTGTCTTCAGGTAAAATCTAGACAGAAGCATTCTCAGAAACTTCTTCGGGATGTTTGCATTCAAGTCACAGAGTAGAACATTCCCTTTGGTAGAGCAGGTTTGAAACACTCTTTTTGTCGTATCTGGAAGTGGACATTTGGAGCGCTTTCAGGCCTATGTTGGAAAGGGAAATATCTTCCCGTAACAACTAGGCAGAAGCATTCTCAGAAACTTATTTGAGATGTGTGTACTCAACTAAGAGAATTGAACCACCGTTTTGAAGGAGCAGTTTGGAAACACTCTTTTTCTGGAATCTGCAAGAGGATATTTGCCTAGCTTTGAGGATTTCGTTGGAAAAGGGATTGTCTTCAGATCAAATCTAGACAGAAGCATTCTCAGAAACTTCTTTGGGATGTTTGCATTCAAGTCACAGAGTAGAACATTCCTTTGGTAGAGCAGGTTTGAAACACTCTTTTTTTAGTATATGGAAGTGGACATTTGGAGCGCTTTCAGGCCTACGTTGGAAAAGGAAATATCTTCCCATAACAACTAGACAGAAGCATTCTCAGAAACTAGTTTCTGATGTGTGTCCTCAACTAACACAGTTGAACATTTCTTTAGACAGAACAGTTTTGAAACACTCTTTTTGTGGAATCTGCAAGTGGATATTTGGCTAGATATGAGGATTTCGTTGGAAACGGGATTACATATAAAAAGCAGACAGCAGCATTCTCAGAAACTTCTTTGTGATGATTGCATTCAAGTCACAGAATTGAACATTCCCTTTCACAGAGCAGGTTTGAAACACTCTTTTTGTAGTGTGTGTAAGTGGACATTTGGAGCGCTTTCCGGCCTAAGGTGAACAAGGAAATATCTTCCCATAAAAACTAGACAGAAGCATTCTCAGAAACTTACTCGTGATGTGTGTCCTCAACTAAAGGAGTAGAACCTTTCTTTTCATAGAGAAGTTTTGAAACGCTCTTTTTGTGGAATCTGCAAGTGGATATTTGGCTAGTTTGGAGGATTTCGTTGGAAGCGGGAATTCATACAAGATGCAGACTGCAGCGTTCTGAGAAACATCTTTGTGATGTTTGTATTCAGGACACAGAGTTGAACATTCCCTATCATAGAGCAGGTTTGAATCACTCCTTTTGTAGTATCTGGAAGTGGACATTTGGAGCGCTTTCAGGCCTATGTTGGAAAAGGAAATATCTTCCCATAACAACTAGACAGAAGCATTCCCAGAAACTTATTTGAGATGTGTGTACTCTACTAAGAGAATTGAACCACCGTTTTGAAGGAGCAGTTTGGAAACACTCTTTTTCTGGAATCTGCAAGTGGATATTTGGCTAGCTTTGGGGATTTCGCTGGAAGCGGGAATACATATAAAAAGCACACAGCAGCGTTCTGAGAAACTGCTTTCTGATGTTTGCATTCAAGTCAAAATTTGAACACTCCCTTTCATAGAGCAGTCCTGAAACACCCCTTTTGTAGTATCTGGAACTGGACTTTTGGAGCGATTTCAGGGCTAAGGTGAAAAAGGAAATATCTTCCCATAAAAACTGGACAGAAGCATTCTCAGAAACTTGTTTATGCTGTATCTACTCAACTAACAAAGTTGAACCTTTCTTTTGATAGAGCAGTTTTGAAATGCTCTTTTTGTGGAATCTGCAAGTGGATATTTGGCTAGTTTTGAGGATTTCGTTGGAAGCGGGAATTCATACAAATTGCAGACTGCAGCGTTCAGAGAAACATCTTTGTGATGTTTGTATTCAGGACAGAGAGTTGAACATTCCCTATCATAGAGCAGGTTGGAATCACTCCTTTTGTAGTATCTGGAAGTGGACATTTGGAGCACTTTCCGGCCTAAGGTGAAAAAGGAAATATCTTCCCATAAAAACTAGACAGAAGCATTCTCAGAAACTTACTCGTGATGTGTGTCCTCCACTAAATGAGTAGAACCTTTCTTTTCATAGAGAAGTTTTGAAACGCTCTTTTTGTAGAATCTGCAAGAGGATATTTGCATAGCTTTGAGGATTTCGTGGGAAACGGGATTGTCTTCAGGTAAAATCTAGACAGAAGCATTCTCAGAAACTTCTTTGGGATGTTTGCATTCAAGTCACAGAGTAGAACATTCCCTTTGGTAGAGCAGGTTTGAAACACTCTTTTTATAGTATCTGGAAGTGGACATTTGGAGCGCTTTCAGGCCTATGTTGGAAAGGGAAATATCTTCCCGTAACAACTAGGCAGAAGCATTCTCAGAAACTTATTTGAGATGTGTGTACTCAACTAAGAGAATTGAACCACCGTTTTGAAGGAGCAGTTTTGAAACACTCTTTTTCTGGAATCTGCAAGAGGATATTTGCCTAGCCTTGAGGATTTCGTTGGAAACGGGATTGTCTTCAGATCAAATCTAGACAGAAGCATTCTCAGAAACTTCTTTGGGATGTTTGCATTCAAGTCACAGAGTAGAACATTCCCTTTGGTAGAGCAGGTTTGAAACACTCTTTTTTTAGTATATGGAAGTGGACATTTGGAGCGCTTTCAGGCCTACGTTGGAAAAGGAAATATCTTCCCATAACAACTAGACAGAAGCATTCTCAGAAACTAGTTTCTGATGTGTGTCCTCAACTAACACAGTTGAACATTTCTTTAGACAGAACAGTTTTGAAACACTCTTTTTGTGGAATCTGCAAGTGGCTATTTGGCTAGATTTGAGGATTTCGTTGGAAACGGGATTACATATAAAAAGCAGACAGCAGCATTCTCAGAAAGTTCTTTGTGATGATTGCATTCAAGTCACAGAATTGAACATTCCCTTTCACAGAGCAGGTTTGAAACACTCTTTTTGTAGTGTGTGTAAGTGGACATTTGGAGCACTTTCCGGCCTAAGGTGAAAAAGGAAATATCTTCCCATAAAAACTAGACAGAAGCACTCTCAGAAACTTACTCGTGATGTGTGTCCTCAACTAAAGGAGTAGAACCTTTCTTTTCATAGAGAAGTTTTGAAACGCTCTTTTTGTGGAATCTGCAAGTGGATATTTGGCTAGTTTTGAGGATTTCGTTGGAAGCGGGAATTCATACAAATTGCAGACTGCAGCGTTCTGAGAAACATCTTTGTGATGTTTGTATTCAGGACACAGAGTTGAACATTCCCTATCATAGAGCAGGTTTGAATCACTCCTTTTGTAGTATCTGGAAGTGGACATTTGGAGCGCTTTCAGGCCTATGTTGGAAAAGGAAATATCTTCCCATAACAACTAGACAGAAGCATTCTCAGAAACTTATTTGAGATGTGTGTACTCAACTAAGAGAATTGAACCACCGTTTTGAAGGAGCAGTTTTGAAACACTCTTTTTCTGGAATCTGCAAGTGGATATTTGGCTAGCTTTGGGGATTTCGCTGGAAGCGGGAATACATATAAAAAGCACACAGCAGCGTTCTGAGAAACTGCTTTCTGATGTTTGCATTCAAGTCAAAAGTTGAACACTCCCTTTCATAGAGCAGTCCTGAAACACTCCTTTTGTAGGATCTGGAACTGGACTTTTGGAGCGCTTTCAGGGCTAAGGTGAAAAAGGAAATATCTTCCCATAAAAACTGGACAGAAGCATTCTCAGAAACTTGTTTATGCTGTATCTACTCAACTAACAAAGTTGAACCTTTCTTTTGATAGAGCAGTTTTGAAATGCTCTTTTTGTGGAATCTGCAAGTGGATATTTGGCTAGTTTTGAGGATTTCGTTGGAAGCGGGAATTCATACAAATTGCAGACTGCAGCGTTCTGAGAAACATCTTTGTGATGTTTGTATTCAGGACAGAGAGTTGAACATTCCCTATCATAGAGCAGGTTGGAATCACTCCTTTTGTAGTATCTGGAAGTGGACATTTGGAGCGCTTTCAGGCCTATGTTGAAAAAGGAAATATCTTCCCATAACAACTAGACACAAGCATTCTCAGAAACTTGTTTGTGATGTGTGCCCTCTACTGACAGAGTTGAACCTTTCTTTTCATAGAGCAGTTTTGAAACACTCTTTTTGTAGAATCTGCAAGAGGATATTTGCATAGCTTTGAGGATTTCGTGGGAAACGGGATTGTCTTCAGGTAAAATCTAGACAGAAGCATTCTCAGAAACTTCTTTGGGATGTTTGCATTCAAGTCACAGAGTAGAACATTCCCTTTGGTAGAGCAGGTTTGAAACACTCTTTTTGTAGTATCTGGAAGTGGACATTTGGAGCGCTTTCAGGCCCATGTTGGAAAGGGAAATATCTTCCCGTAACAACTAGGCAGAAGCATTCTCAGAAACTTATTTGAGATGTGTGTACTCAACTAAGAGAATTGAACCACCGTTTTGAAGGAGCAGTTTTGAAACACTCTTTTTCTGGAATCTGCAAGAGTATATTTGCCTAGCCTTGAGGATTTCGTTGGAAACGGGATTGTCTTCAGAGAAAATCTAGACAGAAGCATTCTCAGAAACTTCTTTGGGATGCTTGCATTCAAGTCACAGAGTAGAACATTCCCTTTGGTAGAGCAGGTTTGAAACACTCTTTTTGTAGTATCTGGAAGTGGACATTTGGAGCGCTTTCAGGCCTACGTTGGAAAAGGAAATATCTTCCCATAACAACTAGACAGAAGCATTCTCAGAAACTAGTTTCTGATGTGTGTCCTCAACTAACACAGTTGAACATTTCTTTAGACAGAACAGTTTTGAAACACTCTTTTTGTGGAATCTGCAAGTGGCTATTTGGCTAGATTTGAGGATTTCGTTGGAAACGGGATTACATATAAAAAGCAGTCAGCAGCATTCTCAGAAAGTTCTTTGTGATGATTGCATTCAAGTCACAGAATTGAACATTCCCTTTCACAGAGCAGGTTTGAAACACTCTTTTTGTAGTGTGTGTAAGTGGACATTTGGAGCACTTACCGGCCTAAGGTGAAAAAGGAAATATCTTCCCATAAAAACTAGACAGAAGCATTCTCAGAAACTTACTCGTGATGTGTGTCCTCAACTAAAGGAGTAGAACCTTTCTTTTCATAGAGAAGTTTTGAAACGCTCTTTTTGTGGAATCTGCAAGTGGATATTTGGCTAGTTTTGAGGATTTCGTTGGAAGCGGGAATTCATACAAATTGCAGACTGCAGCGTTCTGAGAAACATCTTTGTGATGTTTGTATTCAGGACACAGAGTTGAACATTCCCTATCATAGAGCAGGTTGGAATCACTCCTTTTGTAGTATCTGGAAGTGGACATTTGGAGCGCTTTCAGGCCTATGTTGGAAAAGGAAATATCTTCCCATAACAACTAGACAGAAGCATTCCCAGAAACTTATTTGAGATGTGTGTACTCAACTAAGAGAATTGAACCACCGTTTTCAAGGAGCAGTTTTGAAACACTCTTTTTCTGGGATCTGCAAGTGGATATTTGGCTAGCTTTGGGGATTTCGCTGGAAGCGGGAATACATATAAAAAGCACACAGCAGCGTTCTGAGAAACTGCTTTCTGATGTTTGCATTCAAGTCAAAAGTTGAACACTCCCTTTCATAGAGCAGTCTTGAAACACCCATTTTGTAGTATCTGGAACTGGACATTTGGAGCGCTTTCAGGGCTAAGGTGAAAAAGGAAATATCTTCCCATAAAAACTGGACAGAAGCATTCTCACAAACTTGTTTATGCTGTATCTACACAACTAACAAAGTTGAACCTTTCTTTTGATAGAGCAGTTTTGAAATGCTCTTTTTGTGGAATCTGCAAGTGGATATTTGGCTAGTTTTGAGGATTTCGTTGGAAGCGGGAATTCATACAAGTTGCAGTTTGCAGCGTTCTGAGAAACATCTTTGTGATGATTGTATTCAGGACACAGAGTTGAACATTCCCTATCATAGAGCAGGTTTGAATCACTCCTTTTGTAGTATCTGGAAGTGGACATTTGGAGCGCTTTCAGGCCTATGTTGAAAAAGGAAATATCTTCCCATAACAACTAGACAGAAAGCATTCTCAGAAACTTATTTGAGATGTGTGTACTCAACTAAGAGAATTGAACCACCGTTTTGAAGGAGCAGTTTTGAAACTCTCTTTTTCTGGAATCTGCAAGTGGATATTTGGCTAGCTTTGGGGATTTCGCTGGAAGCGGGAATACATATAAAAAGCACACAGCAGCGTTCTGAGAAACTGCTTTCTGATGTTTGCATTCAAGTCAAAAGTTGAACACTCCCTTTCATAGAGCAGTCTTGAAACACCCCTTTTGTAGTATCTGGAACTGGACTTTTGGAGCGATTTCAGGGCTAAGGTGAAAAAGGAAATATCTTCCCATAAAAACTGGACAGAAGCATTCTCAGAAACTTGTTTATGCTGTATCTACTCAACTAACAAAGTTGAACCTTTCTTTTGATAGAGCAGTTTTGAAATGGTCTTTTTGTGGAATCTGCAAGTGGATATTTGGCTAGTTTTGAGGATTTCGTTGGAAGCGGGAATTCATACAAATTGCAGACTGCAGCGTTCTGAGAAACATCTTTGTGATGTTTGTATTCAGGACACAGAGTTGAACATTCCCTATCATAGAGCAGGTTGGAATCACTCCTTTTGTAGTATCTGGAAGTGGACATTTGGAGCGCTTTCAGGCCTATTTTGGAAAGGGAAATATCTTCCCGTAACAACTATGCAGAAGCATTCTCAGAAACTTGTTTGTGATGTGTGCCCTCTACTGACAGAGTTGAACCTTTCTTTTCATAGAGCAGTTTTGAAACACTCTTTTTGTAGAATCTGCAAGAGGATATTTGCATAGCTTTGAGGATTTCGTGGGAAACGGGATTGTCTTCAGGTAAAATCTAGACAGAAGCATTCTCAGAAACTTCTTTGGGATGTTTGCATTCAAGTCACAGAGTAGAACATTCCCTTTGGTAGAGCAGGTTTGAAACACTCTTTTTGTAGTATCTGGAAGTGGACATTTGGAGCGCTTTCAGGCCCATGTTGGAAAGGGAAATATCTTCCCGTAACAACTAGGCAGAAGCATTCTCAGAAACTTATTTGAGATGTGTGTACTCAACTAAGAGAATTGAACCACCGTTTTGAAGGAGCAGTTTTGAAACACTTTTTCTGGAATCTGCAAGAGTATATTTGCCTAGCCTTGAGGATTTCGTTGGAAACGGGATTGTCTTCAGAGAAAATCTAGACAGAAGCATTCTCAGAAACTTCTTTGGGATGTTTGCATTCAAGTCACAGAGTAGAACATTCCCTTTGGTAGAGCAGGTTTGAAACACTCTTTTTTTAGTATATGGAAGTGGACATTTGGATCGCTTTCAGGCCTACGTTGGAAAAGGAAATATCTTCCCATAACAACTAGACAGAAGCATTCTCAGAAACTAGTTTCTGATGTGTGTCCTCAACTAACACAGTTGAACATTTCTTTAGACAGAACAGTTTTGAAACACTCTTTTTGTGGAATCTGCAAGTGGCTATTTGGCTAGATTTGAGGATTTCGTTGGAAACGGGATTACATATAAAAAGCAGTCAGCAGCATTCTCAGAAAGTTCTTTGTGATGATTGCATTCAAGTCACAGAATTGAACATTCCCTTTCACAGAGCAGGTTTGAAACACTCTTTTTGTAGTGTGTGTAAGTGGACATTTGGAGCACTTACCGGCCTAAGGTGAAAAAGGAAATATCTTCCCATAAAAACTAGACAGAAGCATTCTCAGAAACTTACTCGTGATGTGTGTCCTCAACTAAAGGAGTAGAACCTTTCTTTTCATAGAGAAGTTTTGAAACGCTCTTTTTGTGGAATCTGCAAGTGGATATTTGGCTAGTTTTGAGGATTTCGTTGGAAGCGGGAATTCATACAAATTGCAGACTGCAGCGTTCTGAGAAACATCTTTGTGATGTTTGTATTCAGGACACAGAGTTGAACATTCCCTATCATAGAGCAGGTTGGAATCACTCCTTTTGTAGTATCTGGAAGTGGACATTTGGAGCGCTTTCAGGCCTATTTTGGAAAGGGAAATATCTTCCCGTAACAACTATGCAGAAGCATTCTCAGAAACTTGTTTGTGATGTGTGCCCTCTACTGACAGAGTTGAACCTTTGTTTTCATAGAGCAGTTTTGAAACACTCTTTTTGTAGAATCTGCAAGAGGATATTTGCATAGCTTTGAGGATTTCGTGGGAAACGGGATTGTCTTCAGGTAAAATCTAGACAGAAGCATTCTCAGAAACTTCTTTGGGATGTTTGCATTCAAGTCACAGAGTAGAACATTCCCTTTGGTAGAGCAGGTTTGAAACACTCTTTTTGTAGTATCTGGAAGTGGACATTTGGAGCGCTTTCAGGCCTATGTTGGAAAGGGAAATATCTTCCCGTAACAACTAGGCAGAAGCATTCTCAGAAACTTATTTGAGATGTGTGTACTCAACTAAGAGAATTGAACCACCGTTTTGAAGGAGCAGTTTTGAAACACTCTTTTTCTGGAATCTGCAAGAGGATATTTGCCTAGCCTTGAGGATTTCGTTGGAAACGGGATTGTCTTCAGATCAAATCTAGACAGAAGCATTCTCAGAAACTTCTTTGGGATGTTTGCATTCAAGTCACAGAGTAGAACATTCCCTTTGGTAGAGCAGGTTTGAAACACTCTTTTTTTAGTATATGGAAGTGGACATTTGGAGCACTTTCAGGCCTACGTTGGAAAAGGAAATATCTTCCCATAACAACTAGACAGAGAGCATTCTCAGAAACTAGTTTCTGATGTGTGTCCTCAACTAACACAGTTGAACATTTCTTTAGACAGAACAGTTTTGAAACACTCTTTTTGTGGAATCTGCAAGTGGCTATTTGGCTAGATTTGAGGATTTCGTTGGAAACGGGATTACATATAAAAAGCAGTCAGCAGCATTCTCAGAAAGTTCTTTGTGATGATTGCATTCAAGTCACAGAATTGAACATTCCCTTTCACAGAGCAGGTTTGAAACACTCTTTTTGTAGTGTGTGTAAGTGGACATTTGGAGCACTTACCGGCCTAAGGTGAAAAAGGAAATATCTTCCCATAAAAACTAGACAGAAGCATTCTCAGAAACTTACTCGTGATGTGTGTCCTCAACTAAAGGAGTAGAACCTTTCTTTTCATAGAGAAGTTTTGAAACGCTCTTTTTGTGGAATCTGCAAGTGGATATTTGGCTAGTTTTGAGGATTTCGTTGGAAGCGGGAATTCATACAAATTGCAGACTGCAGCGTTCTGAGAAACATCTTTGTGATGTTTGTATTCAGGACACAGAGTTGAACATTCCCTATCATAGAGCAGGTTTGAATCACTCCTTTTGTAGTATCTGGAAGTGGACATTTGGAGCGCTTTCAGGCCTATGTTGGAAAAGGAAATATCTTCCCATAACAACTAGACAGAAGCATTCTCAGAAACTTATTTGAGATGTGTGTACTCAACTAAGAGAATTGAACCACCGTTTTGAAGGAGCAGTTTTGAAACTCTCTTTTTCTGGAATCTGCAAGTGGATATTTGGCTAGCTTTGGGGATTTCGCTGGAAGCGGGAATACATATAAAAAGCACACAGCAGCGTTCTGAGAAACTGCTTTCTGATGTTTGCATTCAAGTCAAAAGTTGAACACTCCCTTTCATAGAGCAGTCTTGAAACACCCCTTTTGTAGTATCTGGAACTGGACTTTTGGAGCGATTTCAGGGCTAAGGTGAAAAAGGAAATATCTTCCCATAAAAACTGGACAGAAGCATTCTCAGAAACTTGGTTATGCTGTATCTACTCAACTAACAAAGTTGAACCTTTCTTTTGATAGAGCAGTTTTGAAATGGTCTTTTTGTGGAATCTGCAAGTGGATATTTGGCTAGTTTTGAGGATTTCGTTGGAAGCGGGAATTCATACAAATTGCAGACTGCAGCGTTCTGAGAAACATCTTTGTGATGTTTGTATTCAGGACACAGAGTTGAACATTCCCTATCATAGAGCAGGTTGGAATCACTCCTTTTGTAGTATCTGGAAGTGGACATTTGGAGCGCTTTCAGGCCTATTTTGGAAAGGGAAATATCTTCCCGTAACAACTATGCAGAAGCATTCTCAGAAACTTGTTTGTGATGTGTGCCCTCTACTGACAGAGTTGAACCTTTCTTTTCATAGAGCAGTTTTGAAACACTCTTTTTGTAGAATCTGCAAGAGGATATTTGCATAGCTTTGAGGATTTCGTGGGAAACGGGATTGTCTTCAGGTAAAATCTAGACAGAAGCATTCTCAGAAACTTCTTTGGGATGTTTGCATTCAAGTCACAGAGTAGAACATTCCCTTTGGTAGAGCAGGTTTGAAACACTCTTTTTGTAGTATCTGGAAGTGGACATTTGGAGCGCTTTCAGGCCCATGTTGGAAAGGGAAATATCTTCCCGTAACAACTAGGCAGAAGCATTCTCAGAAACTTATTTGAGATGTGTGTACTCAACTAAGAGAATTGAACCACCGTTTTGAAGGAGCAGTTTTGAAACACTCTTTTTCTGGAATCTGCAAGAGTATATTTGCCTAGCCTTGAGGATTTCGTTGGAAACGGGATTGTCTTCAGAGAAAATCTAGACAGAAGCATTCTCAGAAACTTCTTTGGGATGCTTGCATTCAAGTCACAGAGTAGAACATTCCCTTTGGTAGAGCAGGTTTGAAACACTCTTTTTGTAGTATCTGGAAGTGGACATTTGGAGCGCTTTCAGGCCTACGTTGGAAAAGGAAATATCTTCCCATAACAACTAGACAGAAGCATTCTCAGAAACTAGTTTCTGATGTGTGTCCTCAACTAACACAGTTGAACATTTCTTTAGACAGAACAGTTTTGAAACACTCTTTTTGTGGAATCTGCAAGTGGCTATTTGGCTAGATTTGAGGATTTCGTTGGAAACGGGATTACATATAAAAAGCAGTCAGCGGCATTCTCAGAAAGTTCTTTGTGATGATTGCATTCAAGTCACAGAATTGAACATTCCCTTTCACAGAGCAGGTTTGAAACACTCTTTTTGTAGTGTGTGTAAGTGGACATTTGGAGCACTTACCGGCCTAAGGTGAAAAAGGAAATAATCTTCCCATAAAAACTAGACAGAAGCATTCTCAGAAACTTACTCGTGATGTGTGTCCTCAACTAAAGGAGTAGAACCTTTCTTTTCATAGAGAAGTTTTGAAACGCTCTTTTTGTGGAATCTGCAAGTGGATATTTGGCTAGTTTTGAGGATTTCGTTGGAAGCGGGAATTCATACAAATTGCAGACTGCAGCGTTCTGAGAAACATCTTTGTGATGTTTGTATTCAGGACACAGAGTTGAACATTCCCTATCATAGAGCAGGTTGGAATCACTCCTTTTGTCGTATCTGGAAGTGGACGTTTGGAGCGCTTTCAGGCCTATGTTGGAAAAGGAAATATCCTCCCATAACAGCTAGACAGAAGCATTCTCAGAAACTTATTTGAGATGTGTGTACTCAACTAAGAGAATTGAACCACCGTTTTGAAGGAGCAGTTTTGAAACTCTCTTTTTCTGGAATCTGCAAGTGGATATTTGGCTAGCTTTGGGGATTTCGCTGGAAGCGGGAATACATATAAAAAGCACACAGCAGCGTTCTGAGAAACTGCTTTCTGATGTTTGCATTCAAGTCAAAAGTTGAACACTCCCTTTCATAGAGCAGTCCTGAAACACCCCTTTTGTAGTATCTGGAACTGGACTTTTGGAGCGATTTCAGGGCTAAGGTGAAAAAGGAAATATCTTCCCATAAAAACTGGACAGAAGCATTCTCAGAAACTTGTTTATGCTGTATCTACTCAACTAACAAAGTTGAACCTTTCTTTTGATAGAGCAGTTTTGAAATGGTCTTTTTGTGGAATCTGCAAGTGGATATTTGGCTAGTTTTGAGGATTTCGTTGGAAGCGGGAATTCATACAAATTGCAGACTGCAGCGTTCTGAGAAACATCTTTGTGATGTTTGTATTCAGGACACAGAGTTGAACATTCCCTATCATAGAGCAGGTTGGAATCACTCCTTTTGTAGTATCTGGAAGTGGACATTTGGAGCGCTTTCAGGCCTATTTTGGAAAGGGAAATATCTTCCCGTAACAACTATGCAGAAGCATTCTCAGAAACTTGTTTGTGATGTGTGCCCTCTACTGACAGAGTTGAACCTTTCTTTTCATAGAGCAGTTTTGAAACACTCTTTTTGTAGAATCTGCAAGAGGATATTTGCATAGCTTTGAGGATTTCGTGGGAAACGGGATTGTCTTCAGGTAAAATCTAGACAGAAGCATTCTCAGAAACTTCTTTGGGATGTTTGCATTCAAGTCACAGAGTAGAACATTCCCTTTGGTAGAGCAGGTTTGAAACACTCTTTTTGTAGTATCTGGAAGTGGACATTTGGAGCGCTTTCAGGCCCATGTTGGAAAGGGAAATATCTTCCCGTAACAACTAGGCAGAAGCATTCTCAGAAACTTATTTGAGATGTGTGTACTCAACTAAGAGAATTGAACCACCGTTTTGAAGGAGCAGTTTTGAAACACTCTTTTTCTGGAATCTGCAAGAGTATATTTGCCTAGCCTTGAGGATTTCGTTGGAAACGGGATTGTCTTCAGAGAAAATCTAGACAGAAGCATTCTCAGAAACTTCTTTGGGATGCTTGCATTCAAGTCACAGAGTAGAACATTCCCTTTGGTAGAGCAGGTTTGAAACACTCTTTTTTTAGTATCTGGAAGTGGACATTTGGAGCGCTTTCAGGCCTACGTTGGAAAAGGAAATATCTTCCCATAACAACTAGACAGAAGCATTCTCAGAAACTAGTTTCTGATGTGTGTCCTCAACTAACACAGTTGAACATTTCTTTAGACAGAACAGTTTTGAAACACTCTTTTTGTGGAATCTGCAAGTGGCTATTTGGCTAGATTTGAGGATTTCGTTGGAAACGGGATTACATATAAAAAGCAGTCAGCAGCATTCTCAGAAAGTTCTTTGTGATGATTGCATTCAAGTCACAGAATTGAACATTCCCTTTCACAGAGCAGGTTTGAAACACTCTTTTTGTAGTGTGTGTAAGTGGACATTTGGAGCACTTACCGGCCTAAGGTGAAAAAGGAAATAATCTTCCCATAAAAACTAGACAGAAAGCATTCTCAGAAACTTACTCGTGATGTGTGTCCTCAACTAATAGGAGTAGAACCTTTCTTTCGTAGAGAAGTTTTGAAACGCTCTTTTTGTGGAATCTGCAAGTGGATATTTGGCTAGTTTGGAGGATTTCGTTGGAAGCGGGAATTCATACAAATTGCAGACTGCAGCGTTCTGAGAAACATCTTTGTGATGTTTGTATTCAGGACACAGAGTTGAACATTCCCTATCATAGAGCAGGTTTGAATCACTCCTTTTGTAGTATCTGGAAGTGGACATTTGGAGCGCTTTCAGGCCTATGTTGGAAAAGGAAATATCTTCCCATAACAACTAGACAGAAGCATTCTCAGAAACTTATTTGAGATGTGTGTACTCAACTAAGAGAATTGAACCACCGTTTTGAAGGAGCAGTTTTGAAACACTCTTTTTCTGGAATCTGCAAGTGGATATTTGGCTAGCTTTGGGGATTTCGCTGGAGGCGGGAATACATATAAAAAGCACACAGCAGCGTTCTGAGAAACTGCTTTCTGATGTTTGCATTCAAGTCAAAAGTTGAACACTCCCTTTCATAGAGCAGTCCTGAAACACTCCTTTTGTAGTATCTGGAACTGGACTTTTGGAGCGCTTTCAGGGCTAAGGTGAAAAAGGAAATATCTTCCCATAAAAACTGGACAGAAGCATTCTCAGAAACTTGTTTATGCTGTATCTACTCAACTAACAAATTTGAACCTTTCTTTTGATAGAGCAGTTTTGAAATGCTCTTTTTGTGGAATCTGCAAGTGGATATTTGGCTAGTTTTGAGGATTTCGTTGGAAGCGGGAATTCATACAAATTGCAGACTGCAGCGTTCTGAGAAACATCTTTGTGGTGTTTGTATTCAGGACAGAGAGTTGAACATTCCCTATCATAGAGCAGGTTGGAATCACTCCTTTTGTAGTATCTGGAAGTGGACATTTGGAGCGCTTTCAGGCCTATGTTGAAAAAGGAAATATCTTCCCATAACAACTAGACACAAGCATTCTCAGAAACTTATTTGAGATGTGTGTACTCAACTAAGAGAATTGAACCACCGTTTTGAAGGAGCAGTTTTGAAACACTCTTTTTCTGGAATCTGCAATTGGATATTTGGCTAGCTTTGGGGATTTCGCTGGAAGCGGGAATACATATAAAAAGCACACAGCAGCGTTCTGAGAAACTTCTTTCTGATGTTCGCATTCAAGCCAAAAGTTGAACACTCCCTTTCAGAGAGCAGTCTTGAAACTCCCCTTTTGTGGTATCTGGAAGTGGACATTTGGAGTGCTTTCAGGGCTAAGGTGAAAAAGGAAATATCTTCCCATAAAAACTGGACAGAAGCATTCTCAGAAACTTGTTTATGCTGTATCTACTCAGCTAACAAAGTTGAACCTTTCTTTTGATAGAGCAGTTTTGAAATGCTCTTTTTGTGGAGTCTGCAAGTGGATATTTGGTTAGTTTTGAGGATTGCGTTGGAAGCGGGAATTCATACAAATTGCAGACTGCAGCGTTCTGAGAAACATCTTTGTGATGTTTGTATTCAGGACACAGAGTTGAACATTCCCTATCATAGAGGAGGTTGGAATCACTCCTTTTGTAGTATCTGGAAGTGGACATTTGGAGCGCTTTCAGGCCTATGTTGAAAAAGGAAATATCTTCCCATAACAAGTAGACACAAGCATTCTCAGAAACTTGTTGTGATGTGTGCCCTCTACTGACAGAGTTGAACCTTTCTTTTCATAGAGCAGTTTTGAAACACTCTTTTTGTAGAATCTGCAAGAGGATATTTGCATAGCTTTGAGGATTTCGTGGGAAACGGGATTGTCTTCAGGTAAAATCTAGACAGAAGCATTCTCAGAAAATTCTTCGGGATGTTTGCATTCAAGTCACAGAGTAGAACATTCCCTTTGGTAGAGCAGGTTTGAAACACTCTTTTTGTAGTATCTGGAAGTGGACATTTGGAGCGCTTTCAGGCCTATGTTGGAAAGGGAAATATCTTCCCGTAACAACTAGGCAGAAGCATTCTCAGAAACTTATTTGAGATGTGTGTACTGAACTAAGAGAATTGAACCACCGTTTTGAAGGAGCAGGTTTGAAACACTCTTTTTGTAGTATCTGGAAGTGGACATTTGGAGCGCTTTCAGGCCTATGTTGGAAAGGGAAATATCTTCCCGTAACAACTAGGCAGAAGCATTCTCAGAAACTTATTTGAGATGTGTGTACTCAACTAAGAGAATTGAACCACCGTTTTGAAGGAGCAGTTTTGAAACACTCTTTTTCTGGAATCTGCAAGAGGATATTTGCATAGATTTGAGGATTTCGTTGGAAACGGGATTGTCTTCAGATCCAATCTAGACAGAAGCATTCTCAGAAACTTCTTTGGGATGTTTGCATTCAAGTCACAGAGTAGAACATTCCCTTTGGTAGAGCAGGTTTGAAACACTCTTTTTTTAGTATATGGAAGTGGACATTTGGAGCGCTTTCAGGCCTACGTTGGAAAAGGAAATATCTTCCCATAACAACTAGACAGAAGCATTCTCAGAAACTAGTTTCTGATGTGTGTCCTCAACTAACACAGTTGAACATTTCTTTAGACAGAACAGTTTTGAAACACTCTCTTTGTGGAATCTGCAAGTGGATATTTGGCTAGATTTGAGGATTTCGTTGGAAACGGGATTACATATAAAAAGCAGACAGCAGCATTCTCAGAAACTTCTTTGTGATGATTGCATTCAAGTCACAGAATTGAACATTCCCTTTCACAGAGCAGGTTTGAAACACTCTTTTTGTAGTGTGTGTAAGTGGACATTTGGAGCGGTTTCCGGCCTAAGGTGAACAAGGAAATATCTTCCCATAAAAACTAGACAGAAGTATTCTCAGAAACTTACTCGTGATGTGTGTCCTCAACTAAAGGAGTAGAACCTTTCTTTTCATAGAGAAGTTTTGAAACGCTCTTTTTGTGGAATCTGCAAGTGGATATTTGGCTAGTTTTGAGGATTTCGTTGGAAGCGGGAATTCATACAAATTGCAGACTGCAGCGTTCTGAGAAACATCTTTGTGATGTTTGTATTCAGGACACAGAGTTGAACGTTCCCTATCATAGAGCAGGTTTGAATCACTCCTTTTGTAGTATCTGGAAGTGGACATTTGGAGCGCTTTCCGGCCTCAGGTGAAAAAGGAAATATCTTCCCATAAAAACTAGACAGAAGCGTTCTGAGAAATTGCTTTCTGATGTTTGCTTTCAAGTCAAAAGTTGAACACTCCCTTTCATAGAGCAGTCTTGAAACACCCCTTGTGTAGTATCTGGAACTGGACATTTGGAGCGCTTTCAGGGCTAAGGTGAAAAAGGAAATATCTTCCCATAAAAACTGGACAGAAGCATTCTCAGAAACTTGTTTATGCTGTATTTACTCAACTAACAAGGTTGAACCTTTCTTTTGATAGAGCAGTTTTGAAATGCTCTTTTTGTGGAATCTGCAAGTGGATATTTGGCTAGGTTTGAGGATTTCGTTGGAAGCGGGAATTCATACAAATTGCAGACTGCAGCGTTCTGAGAAACATCTTTGTGATGTTTGTATTCAGGACACAGAGTTGAACATTCCCTATCATAGAGCAGGTTGGAATCACTCCTTTTGTAGTATCTGGAAGTGGACATTTGGAGCGCTTTCAGGCCTATGTTGAAAAAGGAAATATCTTCCCATAACAACTAGACAGAAGCATTCTCAGAAACTTGTTTGTGATGTGTGCCCTCTACTGACACAGTTGAACCTTTCTTTTCATAGAGCACTTTCGAAACACTCTTTTTGTAGAATCTGCAAGAGGATATTTGCATAGCTTTGAGGATTTCGTGGGAAACGGGATTGTCTTCATGTAAAATCTAGACAGAAGCATTCTCAGAAACTTCTTTGGGGTGTTTGCATTCAAGTCACAGAGTAGAACATTCCCTTTGGTAGAGCAGGTTTGAAACACTCTTTTTGTAGTGTGTGTAAGTGGACATTTGGAGCGCTTTCAGGCCTACGTTGGAAAAGGAAATATCTTCACATAACAACTAGACAGAAGCATTCTCAGAAACTAGTTTCTGATGTGTGTCCTCAACTAACACAGTTGAACATTTCTTTAGACAGAACAGTTTTGAAACACTCTTTTTGTGGAATCTGCAAGTGGCTATTTGGCTAGATTTGAGGATTTCGTTGGAAACGGGATTACATATAAAAAGCAGTCAGCGGCATTCTCAGAAAGTTCTTTGTGATGATTGCATTCAAGTCACAGAATTGAACATTCCCTTTCACAGAGCAGGTTTGAAACACTCTTTTTGTAGTGTGTGTAAGTGGACATTTGGAGCACTTACCGGCCTAAGGTGAAAAAGGAAATATCTTCCCATAAAAACTAGACAGAAGCATTCTCAGAAACTTACTCGTGATGTGTGTCCTCAACTAAAGGAGTAGAACCTTTCTTTTCATAGAGAAGTTTTGAAACGCTCTTTTTGTGGAATCTGCAAGTGGATATTTGGCTAGTTTGGAGGATTTCGTTGGAAGCGGGAATTCATACAAATTGCAGACTGCAGCGTTCTGAGAAACATCTTTGTGATGTTTGTATTCAGGACACAGAGTTGAACATTCCCTATCATAGAGCAGGTTGGAATCACTCCTTTTGTAGTATCTGGAAGTGGACATTTGGAGCGCTTTCAGGCCTATGTTGGAAAAGGAAATATCTTCCCATAACAACTAGACAGAAGCATTCCCAGAAACTTATTGGAGATGTGTGTACTCAACTATGAGAATTGAACCACCGTTTTGAAGGAGCAGTTTGGAAACACTCTTTTTCTGGAATCTGCAAGTGGATATTTGGCTAGCTTTGGGGATTTCGCTGTAAGCGGGAATACATATAAAAAGCACACAGCAGCGTTCTGAGAAACTGCTTTCTGATGTTTGCATTCAAGTCAAAAGTTGAACACTCCCTTTCATAGAGCAGTCTTGAAACACCCCTTTTGTAGTATCTGGAACTGGACATTTGGAGCGCCTTCAGGGCTAAGGTGAAAAAGGAAATATCTTCCCATAAAAACTGGACAGAAGCATTCTCAGAAACTTGTTTATGCTGTATCTACTCAACTAACAAAGTTGAACCTTTCTTTTGATAGAGCAGTTTTGAAATGGTCTTTTTGTGGAATCTGCAAGTGGATATTTGGCTAGTTTTGAGGATTTCGTTGGAAGCGGGAATTCATACAAATTGCAGACTGCAGCGTTCTGAGAAACATCTTTGTGATGTTTGTATTCAGGACAGAGAGTTGAACATTCCCTATCATAGAGCAGGTTGGAATCACTCCTTTTGTAGTATCTGGAAGTGGACATTTGGAGCGCTTTCAGGCCTATTTTGGAAAGGGAAATATCTTCCCGTAACAACTATGCAGAAGCATTCTCAGAAACTTGTTTGTGATGTGTGCCCTCTACTGACAGAGTTGAACCTTTCTTTTCATAGAGCAGTTTTGAAACACTCTTTTTGTAGAATCTGCAAGAGGATATTTGCATAGCTTTGAGGATTTCGTGGGAAACGGGATTGTCTTCAGGTAAAATCTAGACAGAAGCATTCTCAGAAACTTCTTTGGGATGTTTGCATTCAAGTCACAGAGTAGAACATTCCCTTTGGTAGAGCAGGTTTGAAACACTCTTTTTGTAGTATCTGGAAGTGGACATTTGGAGCGCTTTCAGGCCCATGTTGGAAAGGGAAATATCTTCCCGTAACAACTAGGCAGAAGCATTCTCAGAAACTTATTTGAGATGTGTGTACTCAACTAAGAGAATTGAACCACCGTTTTGAAGGAGCAGTTTTGAAACACTCTTTTTCTGGAATCTGCAAGAGTATATTTGCCTAGCCTTGAGGATTTCGTTGGAAACGGGATTGTCTTCAGAGAAAATCTAGACAGAAGCATTCTCAGAAACTTCTTTGGGATGTTTGCATTCAAGTCACAGAGTAGAACATTCCCTTTGGTAGAGCAGGTTTGAAACACTCTTTTTGTAGTATCTGGAAGTGGACATTTGGAGCGCTTTCAGGCCTACGTTGGAAAAGGAAATATCTTCCCATAACAACTAGACAGAAGCATTCTCAGAAACTAGTTTCTGATGTGTGTTCTCAACTAACACAGTTGAACATTTCTTTAGACAGAACAGTTTTGAAACACTCTTTTTGTGGAATCTGCAAGTGGCTATTTGGCTAGATTTGAGGATTTCGTTGGAAACGGGATTACATATAAAAAGCAGTCAGCAGCATTCTCAGAAAGTTCTTTGTGATGATTGCATTCAAGTCACAGAATTGAACATTCCCTTTCACAGAGCAGGTTTGAAACACTCTTTTTGTAGTGTGTGTAAGTGGACATTTGGAGCACTTACCGGCCTAAGGTGAAAAAGGAAATATCTTCCCATAAAAACTAGACAGAAGCATTCTCAGAAACTTACTCGTGATGTGTGTCCTCAACTAAAGGAGTAGAACCTTTCTTTTCATAGAGAAGTTTTGAAACGCTCTTTTTGTGGAATCTGCAAGTGGATATTTGGCTAGTTTTGAGGATTTCGTTGGAAGCGGGAATTCATACAAATTGCAGACTGCAGCGTTCTGAGAAACATCTTTGTGATGTTTGTATTCAGGACACAGAGTTGAACATTCCCTATCATAGAGCAGGTTTGAATCACTCCTTTTGTAGTATCTGGAAGTGGACATTTGGAGCGCTTTCAGGCCTATGTTGGAAAAGGAAATATCTTCCCATAACAACTAGACAGAAGCATTCTCAGAAACTTATTTGAGATGGGTGTACTCAACTAAGAGAATTGAACCACCGTTTTCAAGGAGCAGTTTTGAAACGCTCTTTTTCTGGAATCTGCAAGTGGATATTTGGCTAGCTTTGGGGATTTCGCTGGAAGCGGGAATACATATAAAAAACACACAGCAGCGTTCTGAGAAACTGCTTTCTGATGTTTGCATTCAAGTCAAAAGTTGAACACTCCCTTTCATAGAGCAGTCTTGAAACACCCCTTTTGTAGTATCTGGAACTGGACATTTGGAGCGCTTTCAGGGCTAAGGTGAAAAAGGAAATATCTTCCCATAAAAACTGGACAGAAGCATTCTCAGAAACTTGTTTATGCTGTATCTACTCAACTAACAAAGTTGAACCTTTCTTTTGATAGAGCAGTTTTGAAATGCTCTTTTTGTGGAATCTGCAAGTGGATATTTGGCTAGTTTTGAGGATTTCGCTGGAAGCGGGAATTCATACAAATTGCAGACTGCAGCGTTCAGAGAAACATCTTTGTGATGTTTGTATTCAGGACAGAGAGTTGAACATTCCCTATCATAGAGCAGGTTGGAATCACTCCTTTTGTAGTATCTGGAAGTGGACATTTGGAGCACTTTCCGGCCTAAGGTGAAAAAGGAAATATCTTCCCATAAAAACTAGACAGAAGCATTCTCAGAAACTTACTCGTGATGTGTGTCCTCCACTAAATGAGTAGAACCTTTCTTTTCATAGAGAAGTTTTGAAACGCTCTTTTTGTAGAATCTGCAAGAGGATATTTGCATAGCTTTGAGGATTTCGTGGGAAACGGGATTGTCTTCAGGTAAAATCTAGACAGAAGCATTCTGAGAAACTTCTTTGGGATGTTTGCATTCAAGTCACAGAGTAGAACATTCCCTTTGGTAGAGCAGGTTTGAAACACTCTTTTTGTATTATCTGGAAGTGGACATTTGGAGCGCTTTCAGGCCTATGTTGGAAAGGGAAATATCTTCCCGTAACAACTAGGCAGAAGCATTCTCAGAAACTTATTTGAGATGTGTGTACTCAACTAAGAGAATTGAATCACCGTTTTGAAGGAGCTGTTTTGAAACACTCTTTTTCTGGAATCTGCAAGAGGATATTTGCCTAGCCTTGAGGATTTCGTTGGAAACGGGATTGTCTTTAGATCAAATCTAGACAGAAGCATTCTCAGAAACTTCTTTGGGATGTTTGCATTCAAGTCACAGAGTAGAACATTCCCTTTGGTAGAGCAGGTTTGAAACACTCTTTTTTTAGTATATGGAAGTGGACATTTTGATCGCTTTCAGGTCTACGTTGGAAAAGGAAATATCTTCCCATAACAACTAGACAGAAGCATTCTCAGAAACTAGTTTCTGATGTGTGTCCTCAACTAACACAGTTGAACATTTCTTTAGACAGAACAGTTTTGAAACACTCTTTTTGTGGAATCTGCAAGTGGCTATTTGGCTAGATTTGAGGATTTCGTTGGAAACGGGATTACATATAAAAAGCAGTCAGCAGCATTCTCAGAAAGTTCTTTGTGATGATTGCATTCAAGTCACAGAATTGAACATTCCCTTTCACAGAGCAGGTTTGAAACACTCTTTTTGTAGTGTGTGTAAGTGGACATTTGGAGCACTTACCGGCCTAAGGTGAAAAAGGAAATATCTTCCCATAAAAACTAGACAGAAGCATTCTCAGAAACTTACTCGTGATGTGTGTCCTCAACTAAAGGAGTAGAACCTTTCTTTTCATAGAGAAGTTTTGAAACGCTCTTTTTGTGGAATCTGCAAGTGGATATTTGGCTAGTTTTGAGGATTTCGTTGGAAGCGGGAATTCATACAAATTGGCAGACTGCAGCGTTCTGAGAAACATCTTTGTGATGTTTGTATTCAGGACACAGAGTTGAACGTTCCCTATCATAGAGCAGGTTTGAATCACTCCTTTTGTAGTATCTGGAAGTGGACATTTGGAGCGCTTTCCGGCCTCAGGTGAAAAAGGAAATATCTTCCCATAAAAACTAGACAGAAGCATTCTCAGAAACTTACTCGTGATGTGTGTCCTCAACTAAAGGGGTAGAACCTTTCTTTTCATAGAGCAGTTTTGAAACACTCTTTTTGTAGAATCTGCAAGTGGATATTTCGATAGCTTTGTGGATTTCGTTGGAAACGGGAATATCTTCATATAAAATCTAGAGAGAAGCATTCTCAGAAACTTATTTGTGATGTGTGTCCTCAACTGACAGAGTTGAACATTTCTTTTGAGAGAGCAGTTTTGAAACACTCTTTTTGTGGAATCTGCAAGTGGATATTTGGCTGGCTTTGAGGATTTCGTTGGAAACGGGAATACATATAAAAAGCAGACAGCAGCGTTCTGAGAAACTTCTTGGTGATGTTTGCAATCAAGTCACAGAATTGAACATTCCCTTTGATAGAACAGGTTTGAAGCACTCCTTTTGTCATATCTGGAAGTGTCCATTTGGAGCGCATTCAGGCTTGTGTTGAAAAAGGAAATATCTTCCCATAAAAACTAGACAGAAGCATTCTCAGAAACTTACTCGTGATGTGTGTCCTCAACTAAAGGAGTAGAACCTTTCTTTTCATAGAGAAGTTTTGAAACGCTCTTTTTGTGGAATCTGCAAGTGGATATTTGGCTAGTTTTGAGGATTTCGTTGGAAGCGGGAATTCATACAAATTGCAGACTGCAGCGTTCTGAGAAACATCTTTGTGATGTTTGTATTCAGGACACAGAGTTGAACATTCCCTATCATAGAGCAGGTTGGAATCACTCCTTTTGTAGTATCTGGAAGTGGACATTTGGAGCGCTTTCAGGCCTATGTTGGAAAAGGAAATATCTTCCCATAACAACTAGACAGAAGCATTCTCAGAAACTTATTTGAGATGTGTGTACTCAACTAAGAGAATTGAACCACCGTTTTGAAGGAGCAGTTTTGAAACTCTCTTTTTCTGGAATCTGCAAGTGGATATTTGGCTAGCTTTGGGGATTTCGCTGGAAGCGGGAATACATATAAAAAGCACACAGCAGCGTTCTGAGAAACTGCTTTCTGATGTTTGCATTCAAGTCAAAAGTTGAACACTCCCTTTCATAGAGCAGTCTTGAAACACCCCTTTTGTAGTATCTGGAACTGGACTTTTGGAGCGATTTCAGGGCTAAGGTGAAAAAGGAAATATCTTCCCATAAAAACTGGACAGAAGCATTCTCAGAAACTTGGTTATGCTGTATCTACTCAACTAACAAAGTTTAACCTTTCTTTTGATAGAGCAGTTTTGAAATGGTCTTTTTGTGGAATCTGCAAGTGGATATTTGGCTAGTTTTGAGGATTTCGTTGGAAGCGGGAATTCATACAAATTGCAGACTGCAGCGTTCTGAGAAACATCTTTGTGATGTTTGTATTCAGGACACAGAGTTGAACATTCCCTATCATAGAGCAGGTTGGAATCACTCCTTTTGTAGTATCTGGAAGTGGACATTTGGAGCGCTTTCAGGCCTATTTTGGAAAGGGAAATATCTTCCCGTAACAACTATGCAGAAGCATTCTCAGAAACTTGTTTGTGATGTGTGCCCTCTACTGACAGAGTTGAACCTTTCTTTTCATAGAGCAGTTTTGAAACACTCTTTTTGTAGAATCTGCAAGAGGATATTTGCATAGCTTTGAGGATTTCGTGGGAAACGGGATTGTCTTCAGGTAAAATCTAGACAGAAGCATTCTCAGAAACTTCTTTGGGATGTTTGCATTCAAGTCACAGAGTAGAACATTCCCTTTGGTAGAGCAGGTTTGAAACACTCTTTTTGTAGTATCTGGAAGTGGACATTTGGAGCGCTTTCAGGCCCATGTTGGAAAGGGAAATATCTTCCCGTAACAACTAGGCAGAAGCATTCTCAGAAACTTATTTGAGATGTGTGTACTCAACTAAGAGAATTGAACCACCGTTTTGAAGGAGCAGTTTTGAAACACTCTTTTTCTGGAATCTGCAAGAGTATATTTGCCTAGCCTTGAGGATTTCGTTGGAAACGGGATTGTCTTCAGAGAAAATCTAGACAGAAGCATTCTCAGAAACTTCTTTGGGATGTTTGCATTCAAGTCACAGAGTAGAACATTCCCTTTGGTAGAGCAGGTTTGAAACACTCTTTTTTTAGTATATGGAAGTGGACATTTGGAGCGCTTTCAGGCCTACGTTGGAAAAGGAAATATCTTCCCATAACAACTAGACAGAAGCATTCTCAGAAACTAGTTTCTGATGTGTGTCCTCAACTAACACAGTTGTACATTTCTTTATACAGAACAGTTTTGAAACACTCTTTTTGTGGAATCTGCAAGTGGATATTGGGCTAGATTTGAGGATTTCGTTGGAAACGGGATTACATATAAAAAGCAGACAGCAGCATTCTCAGAAAGTTCTTTGTGATGATTGCATTCAAGTCACAGAATTGAACATTCCCTTTCACAGAGCAGGTTTGAAACACTCTTTTTGTAGTGTGTGTAAGTGGACATTTGGAGCGCTTTCCGGCCTAAGGTGAAAAAGGACATATCTTCCCATAAAAACTAGACAGAAGCATTCTCAGAAACTTACTCGTGATGTGTGTCCTCAACTAAAGGAGTAGAACCTTTCTATTCATAGAGAAGTTTTGAAACGCTCTTTTTGTGGAATCTCCAAGTGGATATTTGGCTAGTTTTGAGGATTTCGTTGGAAGCGGGAATTCATACAAATTGCAGACCGCAGCCTTCTGAGAAACATCTTTGTGATGTTTGTATTCAGGACACAGAGATGAACATTCCCTATCATAGAGCAGGTTGGAATCACTCCTTTTGTAGTATCTGGAAGTGGACATTTGGAGCGCTTTCAGGCCTATGTTGAAAAAGGAAATATCTTCCCATAACAACTAGACACAAGCATTCTCAGAAACTTATTTGAGATGTGTGTACTCAACTAAGAGAATTGAACCACCGTTTTGAAGGAGCAGTTTTGAAACTCTCTTTTTCTGGAATCTGCAAGTGGATATTTGGCTAGCTTTGGGGATTTCGCTGGAAGCGGGAATACATATAAAAAGCACACAGCAGCGTTCTGAGAAACTGCTTTCTGATGTTTGCATTCAAGTCAAAAGTTGAACACTCCCTTTCATAGAGCAGTCTTGAAACACCCGTTTTGTAGTATCTGGAACTGGACTTTTGGAGCGATTTCAGGGCTAAGGTGAAAAAGGAAATATCTTCCCATAAAAACTGGACAGAAGCATTCTCAGAAACTTGTTTATGCTGTATCTACTCAACTAACAAAGTTGAACCTTTCTTTTGATAGAGCAGTTTTGAAATGGTCTTTTTGTGGAATCTGCAAGTGGATATTTGGCTAGTTTTGAGGATTTCGTTGGAAGCGGGAATTCATACAAATTGCAGACTGCAGCGTTCTGAGAAACATCTTTGTGATGTTTGTATTCAGGACACAGAGTTGAACATTCCCTATCATAGAGCAGGTTGGAATCACTCCTTTTGTAGTATCTGGAAGTGGACATTTGGAGCGCTTTCAGGCCTATTTTGGAAAGGGAAATATCTTCCCGTAACAACTATGCAGAAGCATTCTCAGAAACTTGTTTGTGATGTGTGCCCTCTACTGACAGAGTTGAACCTTTCTTTTCATAGAGCAGTTTTGAAACACTCTTTTTGTAGAATCTGCAAGAGGATATTTGCATAGCTTTGAGGATTTCGTGGGAAACGGGATTGTCTTCAGGTAAAATCTAGACAGAAGCATTCTCAGAAACTTCTTTGGGATGTTTGCATTCAAGTCACAGAGTAGAACATTCCATTTGGTAGAGCAGGTTTGAAACACTCTTTTTGTAGTATCTGGAAGTGGACATTTGGAGCGCTTTCAGGCCTATGTTGGAAAGGGAAATATCTTCCCTTAACAACTAGGCAGAAGCATTCTCAGAAACTTATTTGAGATGTGTGTACTCAACTAAGAGAATTGAACCACCGTTTTGAAGGAGCAGTTTTGAAACACTCTTTTTCTGGAATCTGCAAGAGTATATTTGCCTAGCCTTGAGGATTTCGTTGGAAACGGGATTGTCTTCAGAGAAAATCTAGACAGAAGCATTCTCAGAAACTTCTTTGGGATGCTTGCATTCAAGTCACAGAGTAGAACATTCCCTTTGGTAGAGCAGGTTTGAAACACTCTTTTTTTAGTATCTGGAAGTGGACATTTGGAGCGCTTTCAGGCCTACGTTGGAAAAGGAAATATCTTCCCATAACAACTAGACAGAAGCATTCTCAGAAACTAGTTTCTGATGTGTGTCCTCAACTAACACAGTTGAACATTTCTTTAGACAGAACAGTTTTGAAACACTCTTTTTGTGGAATCTGCAAGTGGCTATTTGGCTAGATTTGAGGATTTCGTTGGAAACGGGATTACATATAAAAAGCAGTCAGCAGCATTCTCAGAAAGTTCTTTGTGATGATTGCATTCAAGTCACAGAATTGAACATTCCCTTTCACAGAGCAGGTTTGAAACACTCTTTTTGTAGTGTGTGTAAGTGGACATTTGGAGCACTTACCGGCCTAAGGTGAAAAAGGAAATAATCTTCCCATAAAAACTAGACAGAAGCATTCTCAGAAACTTACTCGTGATGTGTGTCCTCAACTAAAGGAGTAGAACCTTTCTTTTCATAGAGAAGTTTTGAAACGCTCTTTTTGTGGAATCTGCAAGTGGATATTTGGCTAGTTTTGAGGATTTCGTTGGAAGCGGGAATTCATACAAATTGCAGACTGCAGCGTTCTGAGAAACATCTTTGTGATGTTTGTATTCAGGACACAGAGTTGAACATTCCCTATCATAGAGCAGGTTTGAATCACTCCTTTTGTAGTATCTGGAAGTGGACATTTGGAGCGCTTTCAGGCCTATGTTGGAAAAGGAAATATCTTCCCATAACAACTAGACAGAAGCATTCTCAGAAACTTATTTGAGATGTGTGTACTCAACTAAGAGAATTGAACCACCGTTTTGAAGGAGCAGTTTTGAAACTCTCTTTTTCTGGAATCTGCAAGTGGATATTTGGCTAGCTTTGGGGATTTCGCTGGAAGCGGGAATACATATAAAAAGCACACAGCAGCGTTCTGAGAAACTGCTTTCTGATGTTTGCATTCAAGTCAAAAGTTGAACACTCCCTTTCATAGAGCAGTCTTGAAACACCCCTTTTGTAGTATCTGGAACTGGACTTTTGGAGCGATTTCAGGGCTAAGGTGAAAAAGGAAATATCTTCCCATAAAAACTGGACAGAAGCATTCTCAGAAACTTGGTTATGCTGTATCTACTCAACTAACAAAGTTGAACCTTTCTTTTGATAGAGCAGTTTTGAAATGGTCTTTTTGTGGAATCTGCAAGTGGATATTTGGCTAGTTTTGAGGATTTCGTTGGAAGCGGGAATTCATACAAATTGCAGACTGCAGCGTTCTGAGAAACATCTTTGTGATGTTTGTATTCAGGACACAGAGTTGAACATTCCCTATCATAGAGCAGGTTGGAATCACTCCTTTTGTAGTATCTGGAAGTGGACATTTGGAGCGCTTTCAGGCCTATGTTGGAAAAGGAAATATCTTCCCATAACAACTAGACAGAAGCATTCTCAGAAACTTATTTGAGATGTGTGTATTCAACTAAGAGAATTGAACCACCGTTTTGAAGGAGCAGTTTTGAAACTCTCTTTTTCTGGAATCTGCAAGTGGATATTTGGCTAGCTTTGGGGATTTCGCT
Source organism: Homo sapiens (assembly GCF_000001405.40). NCBI lineage: Eukaryota > Metazoa > Chordata > Mammalia > Primates > Hominidae > Homo > Homo sapiens. Next base: position 17,313,351 of record NC_000018.10, read on the forward strand.
GGAAGCGGGAATACATATAAAAAGCACACAGCAGCGGTTCTGAGAAACTGCTTTCTGATGTTTGCATTCAAGTCAAAAGTTGAACACTCCCTTTCATAGAGCAGTCTTGAAACACCCCTTTTGTAGTATCTGGACCTGGACTTTTGGAGCGATTTCAGGGCTAAGGTGAAAAAGGAAATATCTTCCCATAAAAACTGGACAGAAGCATTCTCAGAAACTTGTTTATGCTGTATCTACTCAACTAACAAAGTTGAACCTTTCTTTTGATAGAGCAGTTTTGAAATGCTCTTTTTGTGGAATCTGCAAGTGGATATTTGGCTAGTTTTGAGGATTTCGTTGGAAGCGGGAATTCATACAAATTGCAGACTGCAGCGTTCTGAGAAACATCTTTGTGATGTTTGTATTCAGGACACAGAGTTGAACATTCCCTATCATAGAGCAGGTTGGGATCACTCCTTTTGTAGTATCTGGAAGTGGACATTTGGAGCGCTTTCAGGCCTATGTTGAAAAAGGAAAAATCTTCCCATAACAACTAGACAGAAGCATTCTCAGAAACTTGTTGGTGATGTGTTTCCTCTACTGACAGAGTTGAACCTTTCTTTTCATAGAGCAGTTTCGAAACACTCTTTTTGTAGAATCTGCAAGAGGATATTTGCCTAGCTTTGAGGATTTCGTTGGAAAAGGGATTGTCTTCAGATCAAATCTAGACAGAAGCATTCTCAGAAACTTCTTTGGGATGTTTGCATTCAAGTCACAGAGTAGAACATTCCCTTTGGTAGAGCAGGTTTGAAACACTCTTTTTGTAGTATCTGGAAGTGGACATTTGGAGCGCTTTCAGGCCCATGTTGGAAAGGGAAATATCTTCCCGTAACAACTAGGCAGAAGCATTCTCAGAAACTTATTTGAGATGTGTGTACTCAACTAAGAGAATTGAACCACCGTTTTGAAGGAGCAGTTTTGAAACACTCTTTTTCTGGAATCTGCAAGAGGATATTTGCCTAGCCTTGAGGATTTCGTTGGAAACGGGATTGTCTTCAGATCAAATCTAGACAGAAGCATTCTCAGAAACTTCTTTGGGATGTTTGCATTCAAGTCACAGAGTAGAACGTTCCCTTTGGTAGAGCAGGTTTCAAACACTCTTTTTTTAGTATATGGAAGTGGACATTTGGAGCGCTTTCAGGCCTACGTTGGAAAAGGAAATATCTTCCCATAACAACTAGACAGAAGCATTCTCAGAAACTAGTTTCTGATGTGTGTCCTCAACTAACACAGTTGAACTTTTCTTTAGACAGAACAGTTTTGAAACACTCTTTTTGTGGAATCTGCAAGTGGATATTTGGCTAGATTTGAGGATTTCGTTGGAAACGGGATTACATATAAAAAGCAGACAGCAGCATTCTCAGAAAGTTCTTTGTGATGATTGCATTCAAGTCACAGAATTGAACATTGCCTTTCACAGAGCAGGTTTGAAACACTCTTTTTGTAGTGTGTGTAAGTGGACATTTGGAGTGCTTTCCGGCCTAAGGTGAAAAAGGAAATATCTTCCCATAAAAACTAGACAGAAGCATTCTCAGAAACTTACTCGTGATGTGTGTCCTCAACTAAAGGAGTAGAACCTTTCTTTTCATAGAGAAGTTTTGAAACGCTCTTTTTGTGGAATCTGCAAGTGGATATTTGGCTAGTTTTGAGGATTTCGTTGGAAGCGGGAATTCATACAAATTGCAGACTGCAGCGTTCTGAGAAACATCTTTGTGATGTTTGTATTCAGGACACAGAGTTGAACATTCCCTATCATAGAGCAGGTTTGAATCACTCCTTTTGTAGTATCTGGAAGTGGACATTTGGAGCGCTTTCAGGCCTATGTTGGAAAAGGAAATATCTTCCCATAACAACTAGACAGAAGCATTCTCAGAAACTTATTTGAGATGTGTGTACTCAACTAAGAGAATTGAACCACCGTTTTGAAGGAGCAGTTTTGAAACACTCTTTTTCTGGAATCTGCAAGTGGATATTTGGCTAGCTTTGGGGATTTCGCTGGAAGCGGGAATACATATAAAAAGCACACAGCAGCGTTCTGAGAAACTGCTTTCTGATGTTTGCATTCAAGTCAAAAGTTGAACACTCCCTTTCATAGAGCAGTCCTGAAACACTCCTTTTGTAGTATCTGGAACTGGACTTTTGGAGCGCTTTCAGGGCTAAGGTGAAAAAGGAAATATCTTCCCATAAAAACTGGACAGAAGCATTCTCAGCAAACTTGTTTATGCTGTATCTACTCAACTAACAAAGTTGAACCTTTCTTTTGATAGAGCAGTTTTGAAATGCTCTTTTTGTGGAATCTGCAAGTGGATATTTGGCTAGTTTTGAGGATTTCGTTGGAAGCGGGAATTCATACAAATTGCAGACTGCAGCGTTCTGAGAAACATCTTTGTGATGTTCGTATTCAGGACAGAGAGTTGAACATTCCCTATCATAGAGCAGGTTGGAATCACTCCTTTTGTAGTATCTGGAAGTGGACATTTGGAGCGCTTTCAGGCCTATGTTGAAAAAGGAAATATCTTCCCATAACAACTAGACACAAGCATTCTCAGAAACTTGTTTGTGATGTGTGCCCTCTACTGACAGAGTTGAACCTTTCTTTTCATAGAGCAGTTTTGAAACACTCTTTTTGTAGAATCTGCAAGAGGATATTTGCATAGCTTTGAGGATTTCGTGGGAAACGGGATTGTCTTCAGGTAAAATCTAGACAGAAAGCATTCTCAGAAACTTCTTTGGGAGGTTTGCATTCAAGTCACAGAGTAGAACATTCCCTTTCGTAGAGCAGGTTTGAAACACTCTTTTTGTAGTATCTGGAAGTGGACATTTGGAGCGCTTTCAGGCCTATGTTGGAAAGGGAAATATCTTCCCGTAACAACTAGGCAGAGCATTCTCAGAAACTTATTTGAGATGTGTGTACTCAACTAAGAGAATTGAACCACCGTTTTGAAGGAGCAGTTTTGAAACACTCTTTTTCTGGAATCTGCAAGAGGATATTTGCCTAGCCTTGAGGATTTCGTTGGAAACGGGATTGTCTTCAGATCAAATCTAGACAGAAGCATTCTCAGAAACTTCTTTGGGATGTTTGCATTCAAGTCACAGAGTAGAACATTCCCTTTGGTAGAGCAGGTTTGAAACACTCTTTTTTTAGTATATGGAAGTGGACATTTGGAGCGCTTTCAGGCCTACGTTGGAAAAGGAAATATCTTCCCATAACAACTAGACAGAAGCATTCTCAGAAACTAGTTTCTGATGTGTGTCCTCAACTAACACAGTTGAACATTTCTTTAGACAGAACAGTTTTGAAACTCTCTTTTTGTGGAATCTGCAAGTGGCTATTTGGCTGGATTTGAGGATTTCGTTGGAAACGGGATTACATATAAAAAGCAGACAGCAGCATTCTCAGAAAGTTCTTTGTGATGATTGCATTCAAGTCACAGAATTGAACATTCCCTTTCAGAGAGCAGGTTTGAAACACTCTTTTTGTAGTGTGTGTAAGTGGACATTTGGAGCACTTTCCGGCCTAAGGTGAAAAAGGAAATATCTTCCCATAAAAACTAGACAGAAGCATTCTCAGAAACTTACTCGTGATGTGTGTCCTCAACTAAAGGAGTAGAACCTTTGTTTTCATAGAGAAGTTTTGAAACGCTCTTTTTGTGGAATCTGCAAGTGGATATTTGGCTAGTTTTGAGGATTTCGTTGGAAGCGGGAATTCATACAAATTGCAGACTGCAGCGTTCTGAGAAACATCTTTGTGATGTTTGTATTCAGGACACAGAGTTGAACATTCCCTATCATAGAGCAGGTTTGAATCACTCCTTTTGTAGTATCTGGAAGTGGACATTTGGAGCGCTTTCAGGCCTATGTTGGAAAAGGAAATATCTTCCCATAACAACTAGACAGAAGCATTCTCAGAAACTTATTTGAGATGTGTGTACTCAACTAAGAGAATTGAACCACCGTTTTGAAGGAGCAGTTTTGAAACACTCTTTTTCTGGAATCTGCAAGTGGATATTTGGCTAGCTTTGGGGATTTCGCTGGAAGCGGGAATACATATAAAAAGCACACAGCAGCGTTCTGAGAAACTGCTTTCTGATGTTTGCATTCAAGTCAAAAGTTGAACACTCCCTTTCATAGAGCAGTCCTGAAACACTCCTTTTGTAGTATCTGGAACTGGACTTTTGGAGCGCTTTCAGGGCTAAGGTGAAAAAGGAAATATCTTCCCATAAAAACTGGACAGAAGCATTCTCAGAAACTTGTTTATGCTGTATCTACTCAACTAACAAAGTTGAACCTTTCTTTTGATAGAGCAGTTTTGAAATGCTCTTTTTGTGGAATCTGCAAGTGGATATTTGGCTAGTTTTGAGGATTTCGTTGGAAGCGGGAATTCATACAAATTGCAGACTGCAGCGTTCTGAGAAACATCTTTGTGATGTTTGTATTCAGGACACAGAGTTGAACATTCCCTATCATAGAGCAGGTTGGGATCACTCCTTTTGTAGTATCTGGAAGTGGACATTTGGAGCGCTTTCAGGCCTATGTTGAAAAAGGAAAAATCTTCCCATAACAACTAGACAGAAGCATTCTCAGAAACTTGTTGGTGATGTGTTTCCTCTACTGACAGAGTTGAACCTTTCTTTTCATAGAGCAGTTTCGAAACACTCTTTTTGTAGAATCTGCAAGAGGATATTTGCCTAGCTTTGAGGATTTCGTTGGAAAAGGGATTGTCTTCAGATCAAATCTAGACAGAAGCATTCTCAGAAACTTCTTCGGGATGTTTGCATTCAAGTCACAGAGTAGAACATTCCCTTTGGTAGAGCAGGTTTGAAACACTCTTTTTGTCGTATCTGGAAGTGGACATTTGTTGCGCTTTCAGGCCTATGTTGGAAAGGGAAATATCTTCCCGTAACAACTAGGCAGAAGCATTCTCAGAAACTTATTTGAGATGTGTGTACTCAACTAAGAGAATTGAACCACCGTTTTGAAGGAGCAGTTTGGAAACACTCTTTTTCTGGAATCTGCAAGAGGATATTTGCCTAGCTTTGAGGATTTCGTTGGAAAAGGGATTGTCTTCAGATCAAATCTAGACAGAAGCATTCTCAGAAACTTCTTTGGGATGTTTGCATTCAAGTCACAGAGTAGAACATTCCTTTGGTAGAGCAGGTTTGAAACACTCTTTTTTTAGTATATGGAAGTGGACATTTGGAGCGCTTTCAGGCCTACGTTGGAAAAGGAAATATCTTCCCATAACAACTAGACAGAAGCATTCTCAGAAACTAGTTTCTGATGTGTGTCCTCAACTAACACAGTTGAACATTTCTTTAGACAGAACAGTTTTGAAACACTCTCTTTGTGGAATCTGCAAGTGGATATTTGGCTAGATTTGAGGATTTCCGTTGGAAACGGGATTACATATAAAAAGCAGACAGCAGCATTCTCAGAAACTTCTTTGTGATGTTTGCATTCAAGTCACAGAATTGAACATTCCCTTTCACAGAGCAGGTTTGAAACACTCTATTTGTAGTGTCTGTAAGTGGACCTTTGGAGCGCTTTCCGGCCTAAGGTGAAAAAGGACATATCTTCCCATAAAAACCAGACAGAAGCATTCTCAGAAACTTACTCGTGATGTGTGTCCTCAACTAAAGGAGTAGAACCTTTCTTTTCATAGAGAAGTTTTGAAACGCTCTTTTTGTGGAATCTGCAAGTGGATATTTGGCTAGTTTTGAGGATTTCGTTGGAAGCGGGAATTCATACAAATTGCAGACTGCAGCGTTCTGAGAAACATCTTTGTGATGTTTGTATTCAGGACACAGAGTTGAACATTCCCTATCATAGAGCAGGTTTGAATCACTCCTTTTGTAGTATCTGGAAGTGGACATTTGGAGCGCTTTCAGGCCTATGTTGGAAAAGGAAATATCTTCCCATAACAACTAGACAGAAGCATTCTCAGAAACTTATTTGAGATGTGTGTACTCAACTAAGAGAATTGAACCACCGTTTTGAAGGAGCAGTTTTGAAACTCTCTTTTTCTGGAATCTGCAAGTGGATATTTGGCTAGCTTTGGGGATTTCGCTGGAAGCGGGAATACATATAAAAAGCACACAGCAGCGTTCTGAGAAACTGCTTTCTGATGTTTGCATTCAAGTCAAAAGTTGAACACTCCCTTTCATAGAGCAGTCTTGAAACACCCCTTTTGTAGTATCTGGAACTGGACTTTTGGAGCGATTTCAGGGCTAAGGTGAAAAAGGAAATATCTTCCCATAAAAACTGGACAGAAGCATTCTCAGAAACTTGGTTATGCTGTATCTACTCAACTAACAAAGTTGAACCTTTCTTTTGATAGAGCAGTTTTGAAATGGTCTTTTTGTGGAATCTGCAAGTGGATATTTGGCTAGTTTTGAGGATTTCGTTGGAAGCGGGAATTCATACAAATTGCAGACTGCAGCGTTCTGAGAAACATCTTTGTGATGTTTGTATTCAGGACACAGAGTTGAACATTCCCTATCATAGAGCAGGTTGGAATCACTCCTTTTGTAGTATCTGGAAGTGGACATTTGGAGCGCTTTCAGGCCTATTTTGGAAAGGGAAATATCTTCCCGTAACAACTATGCAGAAGCATTCTCAGAAACTTGTTTGTGATGTGTGCCCTCTACTGACAGAGTTGAACCTTTCTTTTCATAGAGCAGTTTTGAAACACTCTTTTTGTAGAATCTGCAAGAGGATATTTGCATAGCTTTGAGGATTTCGTGGGAAACGGGATTGTCTTCAGGTAAAATCTAGACAGAAGCATTCTCAGAAACTTCTTTGTTATGTTTGCATTCAAGTCACAGAGTAGAACATTCCCTTTGGTAGAGCAGGTTTGAAACCCTCTTTTTGTAGTATCTGGAAGTGGACATTTGGAGCGCATTCAGGCCCATGTTGGAAAGGGAAATATCTTCCCGTAACAACTATGCAGAAGCATTCTCAGAAACTTATTTGAGATGTGTGTACTCAACTAAGAGAATTGAACCACCGTTTTGAAGGAGCAGTTTTGAAACACTCTTTTTCTGGAATCTGCAAGAGTATATTTGCTTAGCCTTGAGGATTTCGTTGGAAACCGGATTGTCTTCAGATAAAATCTAGACAAATGCATTCTCAGAAACTTCTTTGGGATGTTTGCATTCAAGTCACAGAGTAGAACATTCCCTTTGGTAGAGCAGGTTTGAAACACTCTTTTTTTCGTATATGGAAGTGGACATTTGGAGCGCTTTCAGGCCTACGTTGGAAAAGGAAATATCTTCCCATAACAATTAGACAGAAGCATTCTCAGAAACTAGTTTCTGATGTGTGTCCTCAACTAACACAGTTGTACATTTCTTTAGACAGAACAGTTTTGATACACTCGTTTTGTGGAACCTTCAGGTGGATATTTTGGCTACATTTGAGGATTTCGTTGGAAACGGGATTACATATAAAAAGCAGTCAGCAGCATTCTCAGAAAGTTCTTTGTGATGATTGCATTCAAGTCACAGAATTGAACATTCCCTTTCACAGAGCAGGTTTGAAACACTCTTTTTGTAGTGTGTGTAAGTGGACATTTGGAGCGCTTTCTGGCCTAAGGTGAAAAAGGAAATATCTTCCCATAAAAACTAGACAGAAGCATTCTCAGAAACTTACTCGTGATGTGTGTCCTCAACTAAAGGAGTAGAACCTTTCTTTTCATAGAGAAGTTTTGAAACGCTCTTTTTGTGGAATCTGCAAGTGGATATTTGCCTAGTTTTGAGGATTTCGTTGGAAGCGGGAATTCATACAAATTGCAGACTGCAGCGTTCTGAGAAACATCTTTGTGATGTTTGTATTCAGGACACAGAGTTGAACATTCCCTATCATAGAGCAGGTTTGAATCACTCCTTTTGTAGTATCTGGAAGTGGACATTTGGAGCGCTTTCAGGCCTATGTTGGAAAAGGAAATATCTTCCCATAACAACTAGACAGAAGCATTCTCAGAAACTTATTTTTGATGTGTGCCCTCTACTGACAGAGTTGAACCTTTCTTTTCATAGAGCAGTTTCGAAACACTCTTTTTGTAGAATCTGCAAGAGGATATTTGCATAGCTTTGAGGATTTCGTGGGAAACGGGATTGTCTTCAGGTAAAATCTAGACAGAAGCATTCTCAGAAACTTCTTTGGGATGTTTGCATTCAAGACACAGAGTAGAACATTCCCTTTGGTAGAGCAGGTTTGAAACACTCTTTTTGTAGTATCTGGAAGTGGACATTTGGAGCGCTTTCAGGCCCATGTTGGAAAGGGAAATATCTTCCCATAACAACTAGGCAGAAGCATTCTCAGAAACTTATTTGAGATGTGTGTACTCAACTAAGAGAATTGAACCACCGTTTTGAAGGAGCAGTTTTGAAACACTCTTTTTCTGGATTCTGCAAGAATATATTTGCCTAGCCTTGAGGATTTCGTTGGAAACGGGATTGTCTTCAGATAAAATCTAGACAGAAGCATTCTCAGAAACTTCTTTGGGATGTTTGCATTCAAGTCACAGAGTAGAACATTCTCTTTGGTAGAGCAGGTTTGAAACACTCTTTTTTTAGTATCTGGAAGTGGACATTTGGAGCGCTTTCAGGCCTACGTTGGAAAAGGAAATATCTTCCCATAACAACTAGACAGAAGCATTCTCAGAAACTAGTTTCTGATGTGTGTCCTCAACTAACACAGTTGTACATTTCTTTAGGCAGAACAGTTTTGAAACACTCTTTTTGTGGAATCTGCAAGTGGATATTGGGCTAGATTTGAGGATTTCGTTGGAAACGGGATTACATATAAAAAGCAGTCAGCGGCATTCTCAGAAAGTTCTTTGTGATGATTGCATTCAAGTCACAGAATTGAACATTCCCTTTCACAGAGCAGGTTTGAAACACTCTTTTTGTAGTGTGTGTAAGTGGACATTTGGAGCACTTACCGGCCTAAGGTGAAAAAGGAAATAATCTTCCCATAAAAACTAGACAGAAGCATTCTCAGAAACTTACTCGTGATGTGTGTCCTCAACTAAAGGAGTAGAACCTTTCTTTTCATAGAGAAGTTTTGAAACGCTCTTTTTGTGGAATCTGCAAGTGGATATTTGGCTAGTTTTGAGGATTTCGTTGGAAGCGGGAATTCATACAAATTGCAGACTGCAGCGTTCTGAGAAACATCTTTGTGATGTTTGTATTCAGGACACAGAGTTGAACATTCCCTATCATAGAGCAGGTTGGAATCACTCCTTTTGTAGTATCTGGAAGTGGACATTTGGAGCGCTTCAGGCCTATGTTGGAAAAGGAAATATCTTCCCATAACAACTAGACAGAAGCATTCTCAGAAACTTATTTGAGATGTGTGTACTCAACTAAGAGAATTGAACCACCGTTTTGAAGGAGCAGTTTTGAAACACTCTTTTTCTGGAATCTGCAAGTGGATATTTGGCTAGCTTTGGGGATTTCGCTGGAGGCGGGAATACATATAAAAAGCACACAGCAGCGTTCTGAGAAACTGCTTTCTGATGTTTGCATTCAAGTCAAAAGTTGAACACTCCCTTTCATAGAGCAGTCCTGAAACACTCCTTTTGTAGTATCTGGAACTGGACTTTTGGAGCGCTTTCAGGGCTAAGGTGAAAAAGGAAATATCTTCCCATAAAAACTGGACAGAAGCATTCTCAGAAACTTGTTTATGCTGTATCTACTCAACTAACAAAGTTGAACCTTTCTTTTGATAGAGCAGTTTTGAAATGCTCTTTTTGTGGAATCTGCAAGTGGATATTTGGCTAGTTTGGAGGATTTCGTTGGAAGCGGGAATTCATACAAATTGCAGACTGCAGCGTTCTGAGAAACATCTTTGTGATGTTTGTATTCAGGACAGAGAGTTGAACATTCCCTATCATAGAGCAGGTTGGAATCACTCCTTTTGTAGTATCTGGAAGTGGACATTTGGAGCGCTTTCAGGCCTATGTTGAAAAAGGAAATATCTTCCCATAACAACTAGACACAAGCATTCTCAGAAACTTGTTTGTGATGTGTGCCCTCTACTGACAGAGTTGAACCTTTCTTTTCATAGAGCAGTTTTGAAACACTCTTTTTGTAGAATCTGCAAGAGGATATTTGCATAGCTTTGAGGATTTCGTGGGAAACGGGATTGTCTTCAGGTAAAATCTAGACAGAAGCATTCTCAGAAACTTCTTTGGGATGTTTGCATTCAAGTCACAGAGTAGAACATTCCCTTTGGTAGAGCAGGTTTGAAACCCTCTTTTTGTAGTATCTGGAAGTGGACATTTGGAGCGCTTTCAGGCCCATGTTGGAAAGGGAAATATCTTCCCGTAACAACTAGGCAGAAGCATTCTCAGAAACTTATTTGAGATGTGTGTACTCAACTAAGAGAATTGAACCACCGTTTTGAAGGAGCAGTTTTGAAACACTCTTTTTCTGGAATCTGCAAGAGTATATTTGCCTAGCCTTGAGGATTTCGTTGGAAACGGGATTGTCTTCAGATAAAATCTAGACAGAAGCATTCTCAGAAACTTCTTTGGGATGTTTGCATTCAAGTCACAGAGTAGAACATTCCCTTTGGTAGAGCAGGTTTGAAACACTCTTTTTTTAGTATATGGAAGTGGACATTTGGAGCGCTTTCAGGCCTACGTTGGAAAAGGAAATATCTTCCCATAACAACTAGACAGAAGTATTCTCAGAAACTAGTTTCTGATGTGTGTCCTCAACTAACACAGTTGAACTTTTCTTTAGACAGAACAGTTTTGAAACACTCTTTTTGTGGAATCTGCAAGTGGATATTGGGCTAGATTTGAGGATTTCGTTGGAAACGGGATTACATATAAAAAGCAGACAGCAGCATTCTCAGAAAGTTCTTTGTGATGATTGCATTCAAGTCACAGAAATTGAACATTCCCTTTCACAGAGCAGGTTTGAAACACTCTTTTTGTAGTGTGTGTAAGTGGACATTTGGAGCACTTTCCGGCCTAAGGTGAAAAAGGAAATATCTTCCCATAAAAACTAGACAGAAGCATTCTCAGAAACTTACTCGTGATGTGTGTCCTCAACTAAAGGAGTAGAACCTTTCTTTTCATAGAGAAGTTTTGAAACGCTCTTTTTGTGGAATCTGCAAGTGGATATTTGGCTAGTTTGGAGGATTTCGTTGGAAGCGGGAATTCATACAAATTGCAGACTGCAGCGTTCTGAGAAACTGCTTTCTGATGTTTGCATTCAAGTCAAAAGTTGAACACTCCCTTTCATAGAGCAGGCCTGAAACACCCCTTTTGTAGTATCTGGAAGTGGACATTGGGAACGCTTTCAGGGCTAAGGTGAAAAAGGAAATATCTTCCCATAAAAACTGGACAGAAGCATTCTCAGAAACTTATTTGAGATGTGTGTACTCAACTAAGAGAATTGAACCACCGTTTTGAAGGAGCAGTTTTGAAACACTCTTTTTCTGGAATCTGCAAGTGGATATTTGGCTAGCTTTGGGGATTTCGCTGGAAGCGGGAATACATATAAAAAGCACACAGCAGCGTTCTGAGAAACTGCTTTCTGATGTTTGCATTCAAGTCAAAAGTTGAACACTCCCTTTCATAGAGCAGTCTTGAAACACCCCTTTTGTAGTATCTGGAACTGGACTTTTGGAGCGATTTCAGGGCTAAGGTGAAAAAGGAAATATCTTCCCATAAAAACTGGACAGAAGCATTCTCAGAAACTTGTTTATGCTGTATCTACTCAACTAACAAAGTTGAACCTTTCTTTTGATAGAGCAGTTTTGAAATGGTCTTTTTGTGGAATCTGCAAGTGGATATTTGGCTAGTTTTGAGGATTTCGTTGGAAGCGGGAATTCATACAAATTGCAGACTGCAGCGTTCTGAGAAACATCTTTGTGATGTTTGTATTCAGGACACAGAGTTGAACATTCCCTATCATAGAGCAGGTTGGAATCACTCCTTTTGTAGTATCTGGAAGTGGACATTTGGAGCGCTTTCAGGCCTATTTTGGAAAGGGAAATATCTTCCCGTAACAACTATGCAGAAGCATTCTCAGAAACTTGTTTGTGATGTGTGCCCTCTACTGACAGAGTTGAACCTTTCTTTTCATAGAGCAGTTTTGAAACACTCTTTTTGTAGAATCTTCAAGAGGATATTTGCATAGCTTTGAGGATTTCGTGGGAAACGGGATTGTCTTCAGGTAAAATCTAGACAGAAGCATTCTCAGAAACTTCTTTGGGATGTTTGCATTCAAGTCACAGAGTAGAACATTCCCTTTGGTAGAGCAGGTTTGAAACACTCTTTTTGTAGTATCTGGAAGTGGACATTTGGAGCGCTTTCAGGCCTATGTTGGAAAGGGAAATATCTTCCCGTAACAACTAGGCAGAAGCATTCTCAGAAACTTATTTGAGATGTGTGTACTCAACTAAGAGAATTGAACCACCGTTTTGAAGGAGCAGTTTTGAAACACTCTTTTTCTGGAATCTGCAAGAGTATATTTGCCTAGCCTTGAGGATTTCGTTGGAAACGGGATTGTCTTCAGAGAAAATCTAGACAGAAGCATTCTCAGAAACTTCTTTGGGATGTTTGCATTCAAGTCACAGAGTAGAACATTCCCTTTGGTAGAGCAGGTTTGAAACACTCTTTTTTTAGTATATGGAAGTGGACATTTGGAGCGCTTTCAGGCCTACGTTGGAAAAGGAAATATCTTCCCATAACAACTAGACAGAAGCATTCTCAGAAACTAGTTTCTGATGTGTGTCCTCAACTAACACAGTTGAACATTTCTTTAGACAGAACAGTTTTGAAACACTCTTTTTGTGGAATCTGCAAGTGGCTATTTGGCTAGATTTGAGGATTTCGTTGGAAACGGGATTACATATAAAAAGCAGTCAGCAGCATTCTCAGAAAGTTCTTTGTGATGATTGCATTCAAGTCACAGAATTGAACATTCCCTTTCACAGAGCAGGTTTGAAACACTCTTTTTGTAGTGTGTGTAAGTGGACATTTGGAGCACTTACCGGCCTAAGGTGAAAAAGGAAATATCTTCCCATAAAAACTAGACAGAAGCATTCTCAGAAACTTACTCGTGATGTGTGTCCTCAACTAAAGGAGTAGAACCTTTCTTTTCATAGAGAAGTTTTGAAACGCTCTTTTTGTGGAATCTGCAAGTGGATATTTGGCTAGTTTTGAGGATTTCGTTGGAAGCGGGAATTCATACAAATTGCAGACTGCAGCGTTCTGAGAAACATCTTTGTGATGTTTGTATTCAGGACACAGAGTTGAACATTCCCTATCATAGAGCAGGTTGGAATCACTCCTTTTGTAGTATCTGGAAGTGGACATTTGGAGCGCTTTCAGGCCTATGTTGGAAAAGGAAATATCTTCCCATAACAACTAGACAGAAGCATTCTCAGAAACTTATTTGAGATGTGTGTACTCAACTAAGAGAATTGAACCACCGTTTTGAAGGAGCAGTTTTGAAACTCTCTTTTTCTGGAATCTGCAAGTGGATATTTGGCTAGCTTTGGGGATTTCGCTGGAAGCGGGAATACATATAAAAAGCACACAGCAGCGTTCTGAGAAACTGCTTTCTGATGTTTGCATTCAAGTCAAAAGTTGAACACTCCCTTTCATAGAGCAGTCTTGTAACACCCGTTTTGTAGTATCTGGAACTGGACTTTTGGAGCGATTTCAGGGCTAAGGTGAAAAAGGAAATATCTTCCCATAAAAACTGGACAGAAGCATTCTCAGAAACTTGTTTATGCTGTAACTACTCAACTAACAAAGTTGAACCTTTCTTTTGATAGAGCAGTTTTGAAATGGTCTTTTTGTGGAATCTGCAAGTGGATATTTGGCTAGTTTTGAGGATTTCGTTGGAAGCGGGAATTCATACAAATTGCAGACTGCAGCGTTCTGAGAAACATCTTTGTGATGTTTGTATTCAGGACACAGAGTTGAACATTCCCTATCATAGAGCAGGTTGGAATCACTCCTTTTGTAGTATCTGGAAGTGGACATTTGGAGCGCTTTCAGGCCTATTTTGGAAAGGGAAATATCTTCCCGTAACAACTATGCAGAAGCATTCTCAGAAACTTGTTTGTGATGTGTGCCCTCTACTGACAGAGTTGAACCTTTCTTTTCATAGAGCAGTTTTGAAACACTCTTTTTGTAGAATCTGCAAGAGGATATTTGCATAGCTTTGAGGATTTCGTGGGAAACGGGATTGTCTTCAGGTAAAATCTAGACAGAAGCATTCTCAGAAACTTCTTTGGGATGTTTGCATTCAAGTCACAGAGTAGAACATTCCCTTTGGTAGAGCAGGTTTGAAACACTCTTTTTGTAGTATCTGGAAGTGGACATTTGGAGCGCTTTCAGGCCCATGTTGGAAAGGGAAATATCTTCCCGTAACAACTAGGCAGAAGCATTCTCAGAAACTTATTTGAGATGTGTGTACTCAACTAAGAGAATTGAACCACCGTTTTGAAGGAGCAGTTTTGAAACACTCTTTTTCTGGAATCTGCAAGAGTATATTTGCCTAGCCTTGAGGATTTCGTTGGAAACGGGATTGTCTTCAGAGAAAATCTAGACAGAAGCATTCTCAGAAACTTCTTTGGGATGTTTGCATTCAAGTCACAGAGTAGAACATTCCCTTTGGTAGAGCAGGTTTGAAACACTCTTTTTGTAGTATCTGGAAGTGGACATTTGGAGCGCTTTCAGGCCTACGTTGGAAAAGGAAATATCTTCCCATAACAACTAGACAGAAGCATTCTCAGAAACTAGTTTCTGATGTGTGTCCTCAACTAACACAGTTGAACATTTCTTTAGACAGAACAGTTTTGAAACACTCTTTTTGTGGAATCTGCAAGTGGCTATTTGGCTAGATTTGAGGATTTCGTTGGAAACGGGATTACATATAAAAAGCAGTCAGCAGCATTCTCAGAAAGTTCTTTGTGATGATTGCATTCAAGTCACAGAATTGAACATTCCCTTTCACAGAGCAGGTTTGAAACACTCTTTTTGTAGTGTGTGTAAGTGGACATTTGGAGCACTTACCGGCCTAAGGTGAAAAAGGAAATATCTTCCCATAAAAACTAGACAGAAGCATTCTCAGAAACTTACTCGTGATGTGTGTCCTCAACTAAAGGAGTAGAACCTTTCTTTTCATAGAGAAGTTTTGAAACGCTCTTTTTGTGGAATCTGCAAGTGGATATTTGGCTAGTTTTGAGGATTTCGTTGGAAGCGGGAATTCATACAAATTGCAGACTGCAGCGTTCTGAGAAACATCTTTGTGATGTTTGTATTCAGGACACAGAGTTGAACATTCCCTATCATAGAGCAGGTTGGAATCACTCCTTTTGTAGTATCTGGAAGTGGACATTTGGAGCGCTTTCAGGCCTATGTTGGAAAAGGAAATATCTTCCCATAACAACTAGACAGAAGCATTCTCAGAAACTTATTTGAGATGTGTGTACTCAACTAAGAGAATTGAACCACCGTTTTGAAGGAGCAGTTTTGAAACACTCTTTTTCTGGAATCTGCAAGTGGATATTTGGCTAGCTTTGGGGATTTCGCTGGAAGCGGGAATACATATAAAAAGCACACAGCAGCGTTCTGAGAAACTGCTTTCTGATGTTTGCATTCAAGTCAAAAGTTGAACACTCCCTTTCATAGAGCAGTCTTGAAACACCCCTTTTGTAGTATCTGGAACTGGACATTTGGAGCGCTTTCAGGGCTAAGGTGAAAAAGGAAATATCTTCCCATAAAAACTGGACAGAAGCATTCTCAGAAACTTGTTTATGCTGTATCTACTCAACTAACAAAGTTGAACCTTTCTTTTGATAGAGCAGTTTTGAAATGCTCTTTTTGTGGAATCTGCAAGTGGATATTTGGCTAGGTTTGAGGATTTCGTTGGAAGCGGGAATTCATACAAATTGCAGACTGCAGCGTTCTGAGGAAACATCTTTGTGATGTTTGTATTCAGGACACAGAGTTGAACATTCCCTATCATAGAGCAGGTTGGAATCACTCCTTTTGTAGTATCTGGAAGTGGACATTTGGAGCGCTTTCAGGCCTATGTTGGAAAAGGAAATATCTTCCCATAACAACTAGACAGAAGCATTCTCAGAAACTTGTTTGTGATGTGTGCCCTCTACTGACAGAGTTGAACCTTTCTTTTCATAGAGCAGTTTTGAAACACTCTTTTTGTAGAATCTGCAAGAGGATATTTGCATAGCTTTGAGGATTTCGTGGGAAACGGGATTGTCTTCAGGTAAAATCTAGACAGAAGCATTCTCAGAAACTTCTTTGGGATGTTTGCATTCAAGTCACAGAGCAGAACATTCCCTTTGGTAGAGCAGGTTTGAAACACTCTTTTTGTAGTATCTGGAAGTGGACATTTGGAGCGCTTTCAGGCCTATGTTGGAAAGGGAAATATCTTCCCGTAACAACTAGGCAGAAGCATTCTCAGAAACTTATTTGAGATGTGTGTACTCAACTAAGAGAATTGAACCACCGTTTTGAAGGAGCAGTTTTGAAACACTCTTTTTCTGGAATCTGCAAGAGGATATTTGCCTAGCCTTGAGGATTTCGTTGGAAACGGGATTGTCTTCAGATCAAATCTAGACAGAAGCATTCTCAGAAACTTCTTTGGGATGTTTGCATTCAAGTCACAGAGTAGAACATTCCCTTTGGTAGAGCAGGGTTTGAAACACTCTTTTTTTAGTATATGGAAGTGGACCTTTTGATCGCTTTCAGGCCTACGTTGGAAAAGGAAATATCTTCCCATAACAACTAGACAGAAGCATTCTCAGAAACTAGTTTCTGATGTGTGTCCTCAACTAACACAGTTGAACTTTTCTTTAGACAGAACAGTTTTGAAACACTCTTTTTGTGGAATCTGCAAGTGGATATTTGGCTAGATTTGAGGATTTCGTTGGAAACGGGATTACATATAAAAAGCAGACAGCAGCATTCTCAGAAACTTCTTTGTGATGATTGCATTCAAGTCACAGAATTGAACATTCCCTTTCACAGAGCAGGTTTGAAACACTCTTTTTGTAGTGTGTGTAAGTGGACATTTGGAGCGCTTTCCGGCCTAAGGTGAACAAGGAAATATCTTCCCATAAAAACTAGACAGATAAGCATTCTCAGAAACATACTCGTGATGTGTGTCCTCAACTAAAGGAGTAGAACCTTTCTTTTCATAGAGAAGTTTTGAAACGCTCTTTTTGTGGAATCTGCAAGTGGATATTTGGCTAGTTTTGAGGATTTCGTTGGAAGCGGGAATTCATACAAGATGCAGACTGCAGCGTTCTGAGAAACATCTTTGTGATGTTTGTATTCAGGACACAGAGTTGAACATTCCCTATCATAGAGCAGGTTTGAATCACTCCTTTTGTAGTATCTGGAAGTGGACATTTGGAGCGCTTTCAGGCCTATGTTGGAAAAGGAAATATCTTCCCATAGCAACTAGACAGAAGCATTCCCAGAAACTTATTTGAGATGTGTGTACTCAACTAAGAGAATTGAACCACCGTTTTGAAGGAGCAGTTTGGAAACACTCTTTTTCTGGAATCTGCAAGTGGATATTTGGCTAGCTTTGGGGATTTCGCTGGAAGCGGGAATACATATAAAAAGCACACAGCAGCGTTCTGAGAAACTGCTTTCTGATGTTTGCATTCAAGTCAAAAGTTGAACACTCCCTTTCATAGAGCAGTCTTGAAACACCCCTTTTGTAGTATCTGGAACTGGAAATTTGGAGCGCTTTCAGGGCTAAGGTGAAAAAGGAAATATCTTCCCATAAAAACTGGACAGAAGCATTCTCAGAAACTTGTTTATGCTGTATCTACTCAACTAACAAAGTTGAACCTTTCTTTTGATAGAGCAGTTTTGAAATGCTCTTTTTATGGAATCTGCAAGTGGATATTTGGCTAGTTTTGAGGATTTCGTTGGAAGCGGGAATTCATACAAATTGCAGACTGCAGCGTTCTGAGAAACATCTTTGTGATGTTTGTATTCAGGACACAGAGTTGAACATTCCCTATCATAGAGCAGGTTGGAATCACTCCTTTTGTAGTATCTGGAAGTGGACATTTGGAGCGCTTTCAGGCCTATTTTGGAAAGGGAAATATCTTCCCGTAACAACTATGCAGAAGCATTCTCAGAAACTTGTTTGTGATGTGTGCCCTCTACTGACAGAGTTGAACCTTTCTTTTCATAGAGCAGTTTTGAAACACTCTTTTTGTAGAATCTGCAAGAGGATATTTGCATAGCTTTGAGGATTTCGTGGGAAACGGGATTGTCTTCAGGTAAAATCTAGACAGAAGCGTTCTCAGAAACTTCTTTGGGATGTTTGCATTCAAGTCACAGAGTAGAACATTCCCTTTGGTAGAGCAGGTTTGAAACACTCTTTTTGTAGTATCTGGAAGTGGACATTTGGAGCGCTTTCAGGCCCATGTTGGAAAGGGAAATATCTTCCCGTAACAACTAGGCAGAAGCATTCTCAGAAACTTATTTGAGATGTGTGTACTCAACTAAGAGAATTGAACCACCGTTTTGAAGGCGCAGTTTTGAAACACTCTTTTTCTGGAATCTGCAAGAGTATATTTGCCTAGCCTTGAGGATTTCGTTGGAAACGGGATTGTCTTCAGAGAAAATCTAGACAGAAGCATTCTCAGAAACTTCTTTGGGATGTTTGCATTCAAGTCACAGAGTAGAACATTCCCTTTGGTAGAGCAGGTTTGAAACACTCTTTTTGTAGTATCTGGAAGTGGACATTTGGAGCGCTTTCAGGCCTACGTTGGAAAAGGAAATATCTTCCCATAACAACTAGACAGAAGCATTCTCAGAAACCAGTTTCTGATGTGGGTCCTCAACTAACAGAGTTGAACCTTTCTTTTGACAGACCAGTTTTGAAACACTCTTTTTGAGGAATCTGCAAGTGGATATTTGGCTAGATTTGAGGATTTCGTTGGACACGGGATTACCTATAAAAAGCAGACAGCAGCATTCTCAGAAACTTCTTTGTGGTGATTGCATTCAAGTCACAGAATTGAACATTCCCTTTCACAGAGCAGGTTTGAAACACTCTTTTGTAGTGTCTGTAAGTGGACATTTGGAGCGCTTTCCGGCCTCAGGTGAAAAAGGAAATATCTTCCCATAAAAACTAGACAGAAGCATTCTCAGAAACTTACTCGTGATGTGTGTCCTCAACTAAAGGAGTAGAACCTTTCTTTTCATAGAGAAGTTTTGAAACGCTCTTTTTGTGGAATCTGCAAGTGGATATTTGGCTAGTTTTGAGGATTTCGTTGGAAGCGGGAATTCATGCAAATTGCAGACTGCAGCGTTCTGAGAAACATCTTTGAGATGTTTGTATTCAGGACACAGAGTTGAACATTCCCTATCATAGAGCAGGTTGGAATCACTGCTTTTGTGGTATCTGGAAGTGGACGTTTG
Organism: Homo sapiens; assembly: GCF_000001405.40. Lineage (NCBI taxonomy): Eukaryota > Metazoa > Chordata > Mammalia > Primates > Hominidae > Homo > Homo sapiens. The sequence goes on from NC_000018.10 coordinate 17,332,840, forward strand.
GAGCGCTTTCAGGCCTATGTTGGAAAAGGAAATATCCTCCCATAACAGCTAGACAGAAGCATTCTCAGAAACTTATTTGAGATGTGTGTACTCAACTAAGAGAATTGAACCACCGTTTTGAAGGAGCAGTTTTGAAACACTCTTTTTCTGGAATCTGCAAGTGGATATTTGGCTAGCTTTGGGGATTTCGCTGGAAGCGGGAATACATATAAAAAGCACACAGCAGCGTTCTGAGAAACTGCTTTCTGATGTTTGCATTCAAGTCAAAAGTTGAACACTCCCTTTCATAGAGCAGTCCTGAAACACTCCTTTTGTAGTATCTGGAACTGGACTTTTGGAGCGCTTTCAGGGCTAAGGTGAAAAAGGAAATATCTTCCCATAAAAACTGGACAGAAGCATTCTCAGAAACTTGTTTATGCTGTATCTACTCAACTAACAAAGTTGAACCTTTCTTTTGATAGAGCAGTTTTGAAATGCTCTTTTTGTGGAATCTGCAAGTGGATATTTGGCTAGTTTTGAGGATTTCGTTGGAAGCGGGATTTCATACAAATTGCAGACTGCAGCGTTCTGAGAAACATCTTTGTGATGTTTGTATTCAGGACAGAGAGTTGAACATTCCCTATCATAGAGCAGGTTGGAATCACTCCTTTTGTAGTATCTGGAAGTGGACATTTGGAGCGCTTTCAGGCCTATGTTGAAAAAGGAAATATCTTCCCATAACAACTAGACACAAGCATTCTCAGAAACTTATTTGAGATGTGTGTACTCAACTAAGAGAATTGAACCACCGTTTTGAAGGACCAGTTTTGAAACACTCTTTTTCTGGAATCTGCTAGAGGATATTTGCCTAGCTTTGAGGATTTCGTTGGAAACGGGATTGTCTTCAGAGAAAATCTAGACAGAAGCATTCTCAGAAACTTCTTTGGGATGTTTGCATTCAAGTCACAGAGTAGAACATTCCCTTTGGTAGAGCAGGTTTCAAACACTCTTTTTGTAGTATCTGGAAGTGGACATTTGGAGCGGTTTCAGGCCTATGTTGGAAAGGGAAATATCTTCCCGTAACAACTAGGCAGAAGCATTCTCAGAAACTTATTTGAGATGTGTGTACTCAACTAAGAGAATTGAACCACCGTTTTGAAGGAGCAGTTTTGAAACACTCTTTTTCTGGAATCTGCAAGAGTATATTTGCCTAGCCTTGAGGATTTCGTTGGAAACGGGATTGTCTTCAGAGAAAATCTAGACAGAAGCATTCTCAGAAACTTCTTTGGGATGTTTGCATTCAAGTCACAGAGTAGAACATTCCCTTTGGTAGAGCAGGTTTGAAACACTCTTTTTTTAGTATATGGAAGTGGACATTTGGAGCGCTTTCAGGCCTACGTTGGAAAAGGAAATATCTTCCCATAACAACTAGACAGAAGCATTCTCAGAAACTAGTTTCTGATGTGTGTCCTCAACTAACACAGTTGAACATTTCTTTAGACAGAACAGTTTTGAAACACTCTTTTTGTGGAATCTGCAAGTGGATATTGGGCTAGATTTGAGGATTTCGTTGGAAACGGGATTACATATAAAAAGCAGACAGCAGCATTCTCAGAAAGTTTTTTGTGATGATTGCATTCAAGTCACAGAATTGAACATTCCCTTTCACAGAGCAGGTTTGAAACACTCTTTTTGTAGTGTGTGTAAGTGGACATTTGGAGCGCTTTCCGGCCTAAGGTGAAAAAGGACATATCTTCCCATAAAAACTAGACAGAAGCATTCTCAGAAACTTACTCGTGATGTGTGTCCTCAACTAAAGGAGTAGAACCTTTCTATTCATAGAGAAGTTTTGAAACGCTCTTTTTGTGGAATCTCCAAGTGGATATTTGGCTAGTTTTGAGGATTTCGTTGGAAGCGGGAATTCATACAAATTGCAGACTGCAGCGTTCTGAGAAACATCTTTGTGATGTTTGTATTCAAGACACAGAGGTGAACATTCCCTATCATAGAGCATGTTGGAGTCACTCCTTTTGTAGTATCTGGAAGTGGACATTTGGAGCGCTTTCAGGCCTATGTTGAAAAAGGAAATATCTTCCCATAACAACTAGACACAAGCATTCTCAGAAACTTGTTTGTGATGTGTGCCCTCTACTGACAGAGTTGAACCTTTCTTTTCATAGAGCAGTTTTGAAACACTCTTTTTGTAGAATCCGCAAGAGGATATTTGCATAGCTTTGAGGATTTCGTGGGAAACGGGATTGTCTTCAGGTAAAATCTAGACAGAAGCATTCTCAGAAACTTCTTTGGGATGTTTGCATTCAAGTCACAGAGTAGAACATTCCCTTTGGTAGAGCAGGTTTGAAACACTCTTTTTGTAGTATCTGGAAGTGGACATTTGGAGCGCTTTCAGGCCCATGTTGGAAAGGGAAATATCTTCCCGTAACAACTAGGCAGAAGCATTCTCAGAAACTTATTTGAGATGTGTGTACTCAACTAAGAGAATTGAACCACCGTTTTGAAGGAGCAGTTTTGAAACACTCTTTTTCTGGAATCTGCAAGAGTATATTTGCCTAGCCTTGAGGATTTCGTTGGAAACGGGATTGTCTTCAGAGAAAATCTAGACAGAAGCATTCTCAGAAACTTCTTTGGGATGCTTGCATTCAAGTCACAGAGTAGAACATTCCCTTTGGTAGAGCAGGTTTGAAACACTCTTTTTTTAGTATCTGGAAGTGGACATTTGGAGCGCTTTCAGGCCTACGTTGGAAAAGGAAATATCTTCCCATAACAACTAGACAGAAGCATTCTCAGAAACTCGTTTCTGATGTGTGTCCTCAACTAACACAGTTGAACATTTCTTTAGACAGAACAGTTTTGAAACACTCTTTTTGTGGAATCTGCAAGTGGCTATTTGGCTAGATTTGAGGATTTCGTTGGAAACGGGATTACATATAAAAAGCAGTCAGCAGCATTCTCAGAAAGTTCTTTGTGATGATTGCATTCAAGTCACAGAATTGAACATTCCCTTTCACAGAGCAGGTTTGAAACACTCTTTTTGTAGTGTGTGTAAGTGGACATTTGGAGCACTTACCGGCCTAAGGTGAAAAAGGAAATATCTTCCCATAAAAACTAGACAGAAGCATTCTCAGAAACTTACTCGTGATGTGTGTCCTCAACTAAAGGAGTAGAACCTTTCTTTTCATAGAGAAGTTTTGAAACGCTCTTTTTGTGGAATCTGCAAGTGGATATTTGGCTAGTTTTGAGGATTTCGTTGGAAGCGGGAATTCATACAAATTGCAGACTGCAGCGTTCTGAGAAACATCTTTGTGATGTTTGTATTCAGGACACAGAGTTGAACATTCCCTATCATAGAGCAGGTTGGAATCACTCCTTTTGTAGTATCTGGAAGTGGACATTTGGAGCGCTTTCAGGCCTATGTTGGAAAAGGAAATATCTTCCCATAACAACTAGACAGAAGCATTCTCAGAAACTTATTTGAGATGTGTGTACTCAACTAAGAGAATTGAACCACCGTTTTGAAGGAGCAGTTTTGAAACTCTCTTTTTCTGGAATCTGCAAGTGGATATTTGGCTAGCTTTGGGGATTTCGCTGGAAGCGGGAATACATATAAAAAGCACACAGCAGCGTTCTGAGAAACTGCTTTCTGATGTTTGCATTCAAGTCAAAAGTTGAACACTCCCTTTCATAGAGCAGTCTTGAAACACCCCTTTTGTAGTATCTGGAACTGGACTTTTGGAGCGATTTCAGGGCTAAGGTGAAAAAGGAAATATCTTCCCATAAAAACTGGACAGAAGCATTCTCAGAAACTTGGTTATGCTGTATCTACTCAACTAACAAAGTTGAACCTTTCTTTTGATAGAGCAGTTTTGAAATGGTCTTTTTGTGGAATCTGCAAGTGGATATTTGGCTAGTTTTGAGGATTTCGTTGGAAGCGGGAATTCATACAAATTGCAGACTGCAGCGTTCTGAGAAACATCTTTGTGATGTTTGTATTCAGGACACAGAGTTGAACATTCCCTATCATAGAGCAGGTTGGAATCACTCCTTTTGTAGTATCTGGAAGTGGACATTTGGAGCGCTTTCAGGCCTATTTTGGAAAGGGAAATATCTTCCCGTAACAACTATGCAGAAGCATTCTCAGAAACTTGTTTGTGATGTGTGCCCTCTACTGACAGAGTTGAACCTTTCTTTTCATAGAGCAGTTTTGAAACACTCTTTTTGTAGAATCTGCAAGAGGATATTTGCATAGCTTTGAGGATTTCGTGGGAAACGGGATTGTCTTCAGGTAAAATCTAGACAGAAGCATTCTCAGAAACTTCTTTGGGATGTTTGCATTCAAGTCACAGAGTAGAACATTCCCTTTGGTAGAGCAGGTTTGAAACACTCTTTTTGTAGTATCTGGAAGTGGACATTTGGAGCGCTTTCAGGCCCATGTTGGAAAGGGAAATATCTTCCCGTAACAACTAGGCAGAAGCATTCTCAGAAACTTATTTGAGATGTGTGTACTCAACTAAGAGAATTGAACCACCGTTTTGAAGGAGCAGTTTTGAAACACTCTTTTTCTGGAATCTGCAAGAGTATATTTGCCTAGCCTTGAGGATTTCGTTGGAAACGGGATTGTCTTCAGAGAAAATCTAGACAGAAGTATTCTCAGAAACTTCTTTGGGATGTTTGCATTCAAGTCACAGAGTAGAACATTCCCTTTGGTAGAGCAGGTTTGAAACACTCTTTTGGTAGTATCTGGAAGTGGACATTTGGAGCGCTTTCAGGCCTACGTTGGAAAAGGAAATATCTTCCCATAACAACTAGACAGAAGCATTCTCAGAAACTAGTTTCTGATGTGTGTCCTCAACTAACACAGTTGAACATTTCTTTAGACAGAACAGTTTTGAAACACTCTTTTTGTGGAATCTGCAAGTGGCTATTTGGCTAGATTTGAGGATTTCGTTGGAAACGGGATTACATATAAAAAGCAGTCAGCAGCATTCTCAGAAAGTTCTTTGTGATGATTGCATTCAAGTCACAGAATTGAACATTCCCTTTCACAGAGCAGGTTTGAAACACTCTTTTTGTAGTGTGTGTAAGTGGACATTTGGAGCACTTACCGGCCTAAGGTGAAAAAGGAAATATCTTCCCATAAAAACTAGACAGAAGCATTCTCAGAAACTTACTCGTGATGTGTGTCCTCAACTAAAGGAGTAGAACCTTTCTTTTCATAGAGAAGTTTTGAAACGCTCTTTTTGTGGAATCTGCAAGTGGATATTTGGCTAGTTTTGAGGATTTCGTTGGAAGCGGGAATTCATACAAATTGCAGACTGCAGCGTTCTGAGAAACATCTTTGTGATGTTTGTATTCAGGACACAGAGTTGAACATTCCCTATCATAGAGCAGGTTGGAATCACTCCTTTTGTAGTATCTGGAAGTGGACATTTGGAGCGCTTTCAGGCCTATGTTGGAAAAGGAAATATCTTCCCATAACAACTAGACAGAAGCATTCTCAGAAACTTATTTGAGATGTGTGTACTCAACTAAGAGAATTGAACCACCGTTTTGAAGGAGCAGTTTTGAAACTCTCTTTTTCTGGAATCTGCAAGTGGATATTTGGCTAGCTTTGGGGATTTCGCTGGAAGCGGGAATACATATAAAAAGCACACAGCAGCGTTCTGAGAAACTGCTTTCTGATGTTTGCATTCAAGTCAAAAGTTGAACACTCCCTTTCATAGAGCAGTCTTGAAACACCCCTTTTGTAGTATCTGGAACTGGACTTTTGGAGCGATTTCAGGGCTAAGGTGAAAAAGGAAATATCTTCCCATAAAAACTGGACAGAAGCATTCTCAGAAACTTGTTTATGCTGTATCTACTCAACTAACAAAGTTGAACCTTTCTTTTGATAGAGCAGTTTTGAAATGGTCTTTTTGTGGAATCTGCAAGTGGATATTTGGCTAGTTTTGAGGATTTCGTTGGAAGCGGGAATTCATACAAATTGCAGACTGCAGCGTTCTGAGAAACATCTTTGTGATGTTTGTATTCAGGACACAGAGTTGAACATTCCCTATCATAGAGCAGGTTGGAATCACTCCTTTTGTAGTATCTGGAAGTGGACATTTGGAGCGCTTTCAGGCCTATGTTGGAAAGGGAAATATCTTCCCGTAACAACTATGCAGAAGCATTCTCAGAAACTTGTTTGTGATGTGTGCCCTCTACTGACAGAGTTGAACCTTTCTTTTCATAGAGCAGTTTTGAAACACTCTTTTTGTAGAATCTGCAAGAGGATATTTGCATAGCTTTGAGGATTTCGTGGGAAACGGGATTGTCTTCAGGTAAAATCTAGACAGAAGCATTCTCAGAAACTTCTTTGGGATGTTTGCATTCAAGTCACAGAGTAGAACATTCCCTTTGGTAGAGCAGGTTTGAAACACTCTTTTTGTAGTATCTGGAAGTGGACATTTGGAGCGCTTTCAGGCCCATGTTGGAAAGGGAAATATCTTCCCGTAACAACTAGGCAGAAGCATTGCTCAGAAACTTATTTGAGATGTGTGTACTCAACTAAGAGAATTGAACCACCGTTTTGAAGGAGCAGTTTTGAAACACTCTTTTTCTGGAATCTGCAAGAGTATATTTGCCTAGCCTTGAGGATTTCGTTGGAAACGGGATTGTCTTCAGAGAAAATCTAGACAGAAGCATTCTCAGAAACTTCTTTGGGATGCTTGCATTCCAGTCACAGAGTAGAACATTCCCTTTGGTAGAGCAGGTTTGAAACACTCTTTTTGTAGTATCTGGAAGTGGACATTTGGAGCGCTTTCAGGCCTACGTTGGAAAAGGAAATATCTTCCCATAACAACTAGACAGAAGCATTCTCAGAAACTAGTTTCTGATGTGTGTCCTCAACTAACACAGTTGAACATTTCTTTAGACAGAACAGTTTTGAAACACTCTTTTTGTGGAATCTGCAAGTGGCTATTTGGCTAGATTTGAGGATTTCGTTGGAAACGGGATTACATATAAAAAGCAGTCAGCAGCATTCTCAGAAAGTTCTTTGTGATGATTGCATTCAAGTCACAGAATTGAACATTCCCTTTCACAGAGCAGGTTTGAAACACTCTTTTTGTAGTGTGTGTAAGTGGACATTTGGAGCACTTACCGGCCTAAGGTGAAAAAGGAAATATCTTCCCATAAAAACTAGACAGAAGCATTCTCAGAAACTTACTCGTGATGTGTGTCCTCAACTAAAGGAGTAGAACCTTTCTTTTCATAGAGAAGTTTTGAAACGCTCTTTTTGTGGAATCTGCAAGTGGATATTTGGCTAGTTTTGAGGATTTCGTTGGAAGCGGGAATTCATACAAATTGCAGACTGCAGCGTTCTGAGAAACATCTTTGTGATGTTTGTATTCAGGACACAGAGTTGAACATTCCCTATCATAGAGCAGGTTGGAATCACTCCTTTTGTAGTATCTGGAAGTGGACATTTGGAGCGCTTTCAGGCCTATGTTGGAAAAGGAAATATCTTCCCATAACAACTAGACAGATAAGCATTCTCAGAAAACTTATTTGAGATGTGTGTACTCAACTAAGAGAATTGAACCACCGTTTTGAAGGAGCAGTTTTGAAACTCTCTTTTTCTGGAATCTGCAAGTGGATATTTGGCTAGCTTTGGGGATTTCGCTGGAAGCGGGAATACATATAAAAAGCACACAGCAGCGTTCTGAGAAACTGCTTTCTGATGTTTGCATTCAAGTCAAAAGTTGAACACTCCCTTTCATAGAGCAGTCTTGAAACACCCCTTTTGTAGTATCTGGAACTGGACTTTTGGAGCGATTTCAGGGCTAAGGTGAAAAAGGAAATATCTTCCCATAAAAACTGGACAGAAGCATTCTCAGAAACTTGGTTATGCTGTATCTGCTCAACTAACAAAGTTGAACCTTTCTTTTGATAGAGCAGTTTTGAAATGGTCTTTTTGTGGAATCTGCAAGTGGATATTTGGCTAGTTTTGAGGATTTCGTTGGAAGCGGGAATTCATACAAATTGCAGACTGCAGCGTTCTGAGAAACATCTTTGTGATGTTTGTATTCAGGACACAGAGTTGAACATTCCCTATCATAGAGCAGGTTGGAATCACTCCTTTTGTAGTATCTGGAAGTGGACATTTGGAGCGCTTTCAGGCCTATTTTGGAAAGGGAAATATCTTCCCGTAACAACTATGCAGAAGCATTCTCAGAAACTTGTTTGTGATGTGTGCCCTCTACTGACAGAGTTGAACCTTTCTTTTCATAGAGCAGTTTTGAAACACTCTTTTTGTAGAATCTGCAAGAGGATATTTGCATAGCTTTGAGGATTTCGTGGGAAACGGGATTGTCTTCAGGTAAAATCTAGACAGAAGCATTCTCAGAAACTTCTTTGGGATGTTTGCATTCAAGTCACAGAGTAGAACATTCCCTTTGGTAGAGCAGGTTTGAAACACTCTTTTTGTAGTATCTGGAAGTGGACATTTGGAGCGCTTTCAGGCCCATGTTGGAAAGGGAAATATCTTCCCGTAACAACTAGGCAGAAGCATTCTCAGAAACTTATTTGAGATGTGTGTACTCAACTAAGAGAATTGAACCACCGTTTTGAAGGAGCAGTTTTGAAACACTCTTTTTCTGGAATCTGCAAGAGTATATTTGCCTAGCCTTGAGGATTTCGTTGGAAACGGGATTGTCTTCAGAGAAAATCTAGACAGAAGTATTCTCAGAAACTTCTTTGGGATGTTTGCATTCAAGTCACAGAGTAGAACATTCCCTTTGGTAGAGCAGGTTTGAAACACTCTTTTTGTAGTATCTGGAAGTGGACATTTGGAGCGCTTTCAGGCCTACGTTGGAAAAGGAAATATCTTCCCATAACAACTAGACAGAAGCATTCTCAGAAACTAGTTTCTGATGTGTGTCCTCAACTAACACAGTTGAACATTTCTTTAGACAGAACAGTTTTGAAACACTCTTTTTGTGGAATCTGCAAGTGGCTATTTGGCTAGATTTGAGGATTTCGTTGGAAACGGGATTACATATAAAAAGCAGTCAGCAGCATTCTCAGAAAGTTCTTTGTGATGATTGCATTCAAGTCACAGAATTGAACATTCCCTTTCACAGAGCAGGTTTGAAACACTCTTTTTGTAGTGTGTGTAAGTGGACATTTGGAGCACTTACCGGCCTAAGGTGAAAAAGGAAATATCTTCCCATAAAAACTAGACAGAAGCATTCTCAGAAACTTACTCGTGATGTGTGTCCTCAACTAAAGGAGTAGAACCTTTCTTTTCATAGAGAAGTTTTGAAACGCTCTTTTTGTGGAATCTGCAAGTGGATATTTGGCTAGTTTTGAGGATTTCGTTGGAAGCGGGAATTCATACAAATTGCAGACTGCAGCGTTCTGAGAAACATCTTTGTGATGTTTGTATTCAGGACACAGAGTTGAACATTCCCTATCATAGAGCAGGTTTGAATCACTCCTTTTGTAGTATCTGGAAGTGGACATTTGGAGCGCTTTCAGGCCTATGTTGGAAAAGGAAATATCTTCCCATAACAACTAGACAGAAGCATTCTCAGAAACTTATTTGAGATGTGTGTACTCAACTAAGAGAATTGAACCACCGTTTTGAAGGAGCAGTTTTGAAACTCTCTTTTTCTGGAATCTGCAAGTGGATATTTGGCTAGCTTTGGGGATTTCGCTGGAAGCGGGAATACATATAAAAAGCACACAGCAGCGTTCTGAGAAACTGCTTTCTGATGTTTGCATTCAAGTCAAAAGTTGAACACTCCCTTTCATAGAGCAGTCTTGAAACACCCCTTTTGTAGTATCTGGAACTGGACTTTTGGAGCGATTTCAGGGCTAAGGTGAAAAAGGAAATATCTTCCCATAAAAACTGGACAGAAGCATTCTCAGAAACTTGGTTATGCTGTATCTACTCAACTAACAAAGTTGAACCTTTCTTTTGATAGAGCAGTTTTGAAATGGTCTTTTTGTGGAATCTGCAAGTGGATATTTGGCTAGTTTTGAGGATTTCGTTGGAAGCGGGAATTCATACAAATTGCAGACTGCAGCGTTCTGAGAAACATCTTTGTGATGTTTGTATTCAGGACACAGAGATGAACATTCCCTATCATAGAGCAGGTTGGAATCACTCCTTTTGTAGTATCTGGAAGTGGACATTTGGAGCGCTTTCAGGCCTATGTTGAAAATGGAAATATCTTCCCATAACAACTAGACACAAGCATTCTCAGAAACTTGTTTGTGATGTGTGCCCTCTACTGACAGAGTTGAACCTTTCTTTTCATAGAGCAGTTTTGAAACACTCTTTTTGTAGAATCTGCAAGAGGATATTTGCATAGCTTTGAGGATTTCGTGGGAAACGGGATTGTCTTCAGGTAAAATCTAGACAGAAGCATTCTCAGAAACTTCTTTGGGATGTTTGCATTCAAGTCACAGAGTAGAACATTCCCTTTGGTAGAGCAGGTTTGAAACACTCTTTTTGTAGTATCTGGAAGTGGACATTTGGAGCGCTTTCAGGCCTATGTTGGAAAGGGAAATATCTTCCCGTAACAACTAGGCAGAAGCATTCTCAGAAACTTATTTGAGATGTGTGTACTCAACTAAGAGAATTGAATCACCGTTTTGAAGGAGCAGTTTTGAAACACTCTTTTTCTGGAATCTGCAAGAGGATATTTGCCTAGCCTTGAGGATTTCGTTGGAAACGGGATTGTCTTCAGATCAAATCTAGACAGAAGCATTCTCAGAAACTTCTTTGGGATGTTTGCATTCAAGTCACAGAGTAGAACATTCCCTTTGGTAGAGCAGGTTTGAAACACTCTTTTTGTAGTATCTGGAAGTGGACATTTGGAGCGCTTTCAGGCCTACGTTGGAAAAGGAAATATCTTCCCATAACAACTAGACAGAAGCATTCTCAGCAAACTAGTTTCTGATGTGTGTCCTCAACTAACACAGTTGAACATTTCTTTAGACAGAACAGTTTTGAAACACTCTTTTTGTGGAATCTGCAAGTGGCTATTTGGCTAGATTTGAGGATTTCGTTGGAAACGGGATTACGTATAAAAAGCAGTCAGCAGCATTCTCAGAAAGTTCTTTGTGATGATTGCATTCAAGTCACAGAATTGAACATTCCCTTTCACAGAGCAGGTTTGAAACACTCTTTTTGTAGTGTGTGTAAGTGGACATTTGGAGCACTTACCGGCCTAAGGTGAAAAAGGAAATATCTTCCCATAAAAACTAGACAGAAGCATTCTCAGAAACTTACTCGTGATGTGTGTCCTCAACTAAAGGAGTAGAACCTTTCTTTTCATAGAGAAGTTTTGAAACGCTCTTTTTGTGGAATCTGCAAGTGGATATTTGGCTAGTTTTGAGGATTTCGTTGGAAGCGGGAATTCATACAAATTGCAGACTGCAGCGTTCTGAGAAACATCTTTGTGATGTTTGTATTCAGGACACAGAGTTGAACATTCCCTATCATAGAGCAGGTTTGAATCACTCCTTTTGTAGTATCTGGAAGTGGACATTTGGAGCGCTTTCAGGCCTATGTTGGAAAAGGAAATATCTTCCCATAACAACTAGACAGAAGCATTCTCAGAAACTTATTTGAGATGGGTGTACTCAACTAAGAGAATTGAACCACCGTTTTCAAGGAGCAGTTTTGAAACGCTCTTTTTCTGGAATCTGCAAGTGGATATTTGGCTAGCTTTGGGGATTTCGCTGGAAGCGGGAATACATATAAAAAACACACAGCAGCGTTCTGAGAAACTGCTTTCTGATGTTTGCATTCAAATCAAAAGTTGAACACTCCCTTTCATAGAGCAGTCTTGAAACACCCCTTTTGTAGTATCTGGAACTGGACATTTGGGGCGCTTTCAGGGCTAAGGTGAAAAAGGAAATATCTTCCCATAAAAACTGGACAGAAGCATTCTCAGAAACTTGTTTATGCTGTATCTACTCAACTAACAAAGTTGAACCTTTCTTTTGATAGAGCAGTTTTGAAATGCTCTTTTTGTGGAATCTGCAAGTGGATATTTGGCTAGTTTTGAGGATTTCGTTGGAAGCGGGAATTCATACAAATTGCAGACTGCAGCGTTCTGAGAAACATCTTTGTGATGTTTGTATTCAGGACACAGAGTTGAACATTCCCTATCATAGAGCAGGGTTGAATCACTCCTTTTGTAGTATCTGGAAGTGGACATTTGGAGCGCTTTCAGGCTTATGTTGAAAAAGGAAAAATCTTCCCATAACAACTAGACAGAAGCATTCTCAGAAACTTGTTTGTGATGTGTGCCCTCTACTGACAGAGTTGAACCTTTCTTTTCATAGAGCAGTTTTGAAACACTCTTTTTGTAGAATCTGCAACAGGATATTTGCATAGCTTTGAGGATTTCGTGGGAAACGGGATTGTCTTCAGGTAAAATCTAGACAGAAGCATTCTCAGAAACTTCTTTGGGATGTTTGCATTCAAGTCACAGAGTAGAACATTCCCTTTGGTAGAGCAGGTTTGAAACACTCTTTTTGTAGTATCTGGAAGTGGACATTTGGAGCGCTTTCAGGCCTATGTTGGAAAGGGAAATATCTTCCCGTAACAACTAGGCAGAAGCATTCTCAGAAACTTATTTGAGATGTGTGTACTCAACTAAGAGAATTGAACCACCGTTTTGAAGGAGCAGTTTTGAAACACTCTTTTTCTGGAATCTGCAAGAGGATGTTTGCCTAGCCTTGAGGATTTCGTTGGAAACGGGATTGTCTTCAGATCAAATCTAGACAGAAGCATTCTCAGAAACTTCTTTGGGATGTTTGCATTCAAGTCACAGAGTAGAACATTCCCTTTGGTAGAGCAGGTTTGAAACACTCTTTTTTTAGTATATGGAAGTGGACATTTCGAGCGCTTTCAGGCCTACGTTGGAAAAGGAAATATCTTCCCATAACAACTAGACAGAAGCATTCTCAGAAACTAGTTTCTGATGTGTGTCCTCAACTAACACAGTTGCACATTTCTTTAGACAGAACAGTTTTGAAACACTCTTTTTGTGGAATCTGCAAGTGGCTATTTGGCTAGATTTGAGGATTTCGTTGGAAACGGGATTACATATAAAAAGCAGACAGCAGCATTCTCAGAAACTTCTTTGTGATGATTGCATTCAAGTCACAGAATTGAACATTCCCTTTCACAGAGCAGGTTTGAAACACTCTTTTTGTAGTGTGTGTAAGTGGACATTTGGAGCACTTTCCGGCCTAAGGTGAAAAAGGAAATATCTTCCCATAAAAACTAGACAGAAGCATTCTCAGAAACTTACTCGTGATGTGTGTCCTCAACTAAAGGAGTAGAACCTTTCTTTTCATAGAGAAGTTTTGAAACGCTCTTTTTGTGGAATCTGCAAGTGGATATTTGGCTAGTTTTGAGGATTTCGTTGGAAGCGGGAATTCATACAAATTGCAGACTGCAGCGTTCTGAGAAACATCTTTGTGATGTTTGTATTCAGGACACAGAGTTGAACATTCCCTATCATAGAGCAGGTTGGAATCACTCCTTTTGTAGTATCTGGAAGTGGACATTTGGAGCGCTTTCAGGCCTATGTTGGAAAAGGAAATATCTTCCCATAACAACTAGACAGAAGCATTCTCAGAAACTTATTTGAGATGTGTGTACTCAACTAAGAGAATTGAACCACCGTTTTGAAGGAGCAGTTTTGAAACTCTCTTTTTCTGGAATCTGCAAGTGGATATTTGGCTAGCTTTGGGGATTTCGCTGGAAGCGGGAATACATATAAAAAGCACACAGCAGCGTTCTGAGAAACTGCTTTCTGATGTTTGCATTCAAGTCAAAAGTTGAACACTCCCTTTCATAGAGCAGTCTTGAAACACCCCTTTTGTAGTATCTGGAACTGGACTTTTGGAGCGATTTCAGGGCTAAGGTGAAAAAGGAAATATCTTCCCATAAAAACTGGACAGAAGCATTCTCAGAAACTTGTTTATGCTGTATCTACTCAACTAACAAAGTTGAACCTTTCTTTTGATAGAGCAGTTTTGAAATGGTCTTTTTGTGGAATCTGCAAGTGGATATTTGGCTAGTTTTGAGGATTTCGTTGGAAGCGGGAATTCATACAAATTGCAGACTGCAGCGTTCTGAGAAACATCTTTGTGATGTTTGTATTCAGGACACAGAGTTGAACATTCCCTATCATAGAGCAGGTTGGAATCACTCCTTTTGTAGTATCTGGAAGTGGACATTTGGAGCGCTTTCAGGCCTATTTTGGAAAGGGAAATATCTTCCCGTAACAACTATGCAGAAGCATTCTCAGAAACTTGTTTGTGATGTGTGCCCTCTACTGACAGAGTTGAACCTTTCTTTTCATAGAGCAGTTTTGAAACACTCTTTTTGTAGAATCTGCAAGAGGATATTTGCATAGCTTTGAGGATTTCGTGGGAAACGGGATTGTCTTCAGGTAAAATCTAGACAGAAGCATTCTCAGAAACTTCTTTGGGATGTTTGCATTCAAGTCACAGAGTAGAACATTCCCTTTGGTAGAGCAGGTTTGAAACACTCTTTTTGTAGTATCTGGAAGTGGACATTTGGAGCGCTTTCAGGCCTATGTTGGAAAGGGAAATATCTTCCCGTAACAACTAGGCAGAAGCATTCTCAGAAACTTATTTGAGATGTGTGTACTCAACTAAGAGAATTGAATCACCGTTTTGAAGGAGCAGTTTTGAAACACTCTTTTTCTGGAATCTGCAAGAGGATATTTGCCTAGCCTTGAGGATTTCGTTGGAAACGGGATTGTCTTCAGATCAAATCTAGACAGAAGCATTCTCAGAAACTTCTTTGGGATATTTGCATTCAAGTCACGGAGTAGAACATTCCCTTTGGTAGAGCAGGTTTGAAACACTCTTTTTTTAGTATATGGAAGTGGACATTTGGAGCGCTTTCAGGCCTACGTTGGAAAAGGAAATATCTTCCCATAACAACTAGACAGAAGCATTCTCAGAAACTAGTTTCTGATATGTGTCCTCAACTAACACAGTTGAACATTTCTTTAGACAGAACAGTTTTGAAACACTCTTTTTGTGGAATCTGCAAGTGGCTATTTGGCTAGATTTGAGGATTTCGTTGGAAACGGGATTACATATAAAAAGCAGACAGCAGCATTCTCAGAAAGTTCTTTGTGATGATTGCATTCAAGTCACAGAATTGAACATTCCCTTTCACAGAGCAGGTTTCAAAAACACTCTTTTTGTAGTGTGTGTAAGTGGACATTTGGAGCACTTTCCGGCCTAAGGTGAAAAAGGAAATATCTTCCCATAAAAACTAGACAGAAGCATTCTCAGAAACTTACTCGTGATGTGTGTCCTCAACTAAAGGAGTAGAACCTTTCTTTTCATAGAGAAGTTTTGAAACGCTCTTTTTGTGGAATCTGCAAGTGGATATTTGGCTAGTTTGGAGGATTTCGTTGGAAGCGGGAATTCATACAAATTGCAGACTGCAGCGTTCTGAGAAACATCTTTGTGATGTTTGTATTCAGGACACAGAGTTGAACATTCCCTATCATAGAGCAGGTTGGAATCACTCCTTTTGTAGTATCTGGAAGTGGACATTTGGAGCGCTTTCAGGCCTATGTTGGAAAAGGAAATATCTTCCCATAACAACTAGACAGAAGCATTCTCAGAAACTTATTTGAGATGTGTGTACTCAACTAAGAGAATTGAACCACCGTTTTGAAGGAGCAGTTTTGAAACACTCTTTTTCTGGAATCTGCAAGTGGATATTTGGCTAGCTTTGGGGACTTCGCTGGAGGCGGGAATACATATAAAAAGCACACAGCAGCGTTCTGAGAAACTGCTTTCTGATGTTTGCATTCAAGTCAAAAGTTGAACACTCCCTTTCATAGAGCAGTCCTGAAACACTCCTTTTGTAGTATCTGGAACTGGACTTTTGGAGCGCTTTCAGGGCTAAGGTGAAAAAGGAAATATCTTCCCATAAAAACTGGACAGAAGCATTCTCAGAAACTTGTTTATGCTGTATCTACTCAACTAACAAAGTTGAACCTTTCTTTTGATAGAGCAGTTTTGAAATGCTCTTTTTGTGGAATCTGCAAGTGGATATTTGGCTAGTTTTGAGGATTTCGTTGGAAGCGGGAATTCATACAAATTGCAGACTGCAGCGTTCTGAGAAACATCTTTGTGATGTTTGTATTCAGGACACAGAGTTGAACATTCCCTATCATAGAGCAGGTTGGAATCACTCCTTTTGTAGTATCTGGAAGTGGACATTTGGAGCGCTTTCAGGCCTATTTTGGAAAGGGAAATATCTTCCCGTAACAACTATGCAGAAGCATTCTCAGAAACTTGTTTGTGATGTGTGCCCTCTACTGACAGAGTTGAACCTTTCTTTTCATAGAGCAGTTTTGAAACACTCTTTTTGTAGAATCTGCAAGAGGATATTTGCATAGCTTTGAGGATTTCGTGGGAAACGGGATTGTCTTCAGGTAAAATCTAGACAGAAGCATTCTCAGAAACTTCTTTGGGATGTTTGCATTCAAGTCACAGAGTAGAACATTCCCTTTGGTAGAGCAGGTTTGAAACACTCTTTTTGTAGTATCTGGAAGTGGACATTTGGAGCGCTTTCAGGCCTATGTTGGAAAGGGAAATATCTTCCCGTAACAACTAGGCAGAAGCATTCTCAGAAACTTATTTGAGATGTGTGTACTCAACTAAGAGAATTGAACCACCGTTTGAAGGAGCAGTTTTGAAACACTCTTTTTCTGGAATCTGCAAGAGGATATTTGCCTAGCCTTGAGGATTTCGTTGGAAACGGGATTGTCTTCAGATCAAATCTAGACAGAAGCATTCTCAGAAACTTCTTTGGGATGTTTGCATTCAAGTCACAGAGTAGAACATTCCCTTTGGTAGAGCAGGTTTGAAACACTCTTTTTTTAGTATATGGAAGTGGACATTTGGAGCGCTTTCAGGCCTACGTTGGAAAAGGAAATATCTTCCCATAACAACTAGACAGAAGCATTCTCAGAAACTAGTTTCTGATGTGTGTCCTCAACTAACACAGTTGAACATTTCTTTAGACAGAACAGTTTTGAAACTCTCTTTTTGTGGAATCTGCAAGTGGCTATTTGGCTAGATTTGAGGATTTCGTTGGAAACGGGATTACATATAAAAAGCAGACAGCAGCATTCTCAGAAAGTTCTTTGTGATGATTGCATTCAAGTCACAGAATTGAACATTCCCTTTCACAGAGCAGGTTTGAAACACTCTTTTTATAGTGTGTGTAAGTGGACATTTGGAGCACTTTCCGGCCTAAGGTGAAAAAGGAAATATCTTCCCATAAAAACTAGACAGAAGCATTCTCAGAAACATACTCGTGATGTGTGTCCTCAACTAAAGGAGTAGAACCTTTCTTTTCATAGAGAAGTTTTGAAACGCTCTTTTTGTGGAATCTGCAAGTGGATATTTGGCTAGTTTGGAGGATTTCGTTGGAAGCGGGAATTCATACAAATTGCAGACTGCAGCGTTCTGAGAAACATCTTTGTGATGTTTGTATTCAGGACACAGAGTTGAACATTCCCTATCATAGAGCAGGTTGGAATCACTCCTTTTGTAGTATCTGGAATTGGACATTTGGAGCGCTTTCAGGCCTATGTTGGAAAAGGAAATATCTTCCCATAACAACTAGACAGAAGCATTCTCAGAAACTTATTTGAGATGTGTGTACTCAACTAAGAGAATTGAACCACCGTTTTGAAGGAGCAGTTTTGAAACACTCTTTTTCTGGAATCTGCAAGTGGATATTTGGCTAGCTTTGGGGATTTCGCTGGAGGCGGGAATACATATAAAAAGCACACAGCAGCGTTCTGAGAAACTGCTTTCTGATGTTTGCATTCAAGTCAAAAGTTGAACACTCCCTTTCATAGAGCAGTCCTGAAACACTCCTTTTGTTGTATCTGGAACTGGACTTTTGGAGCGCTTTCAGGGCTAAGGTGAAAAAGGAAATATCTTCCCATAAAAACTGGACAGAAGCATTCTCAGAAACTTGTTTATGCTGTATCTACTCAACTAACAAAGTTGAACCTTTCTTTTGATAGAGCAGTTTTGAAATGCTCTTTTTGTGGAATCTGCAAGTGGATATTTGGCTAGTTTTGAGGATTTCGTTGGAAGCGGGAATTCATACAAATTGCAGACTGCAGCGTTCTGAGAAACATCTTTGTGATGTTTGTATTCAGGACAGAGAGTTGAACATTCCCTATCATAGAGCAGGTTGGAATCACTCCTTTTGTAGTATCTGGAAGTGGACATTTGGAGCGCTTTCAGGCCTATGTTGAAAAAGGAAATATCTTCCCATAACAACTAGACACAAGCATTCTCAGAAACTTGTTTGTGATGTGTGCCCTCTACTGACAGAGTTGAACCTTTCTTTTCATAGAGCAGTTTTGAAACACTCTTTTTGTAGAATCTGCAAGAGGATATTTGCATAGCTTTGAGGATTTCGTGGGAAACGGGATTGTCTTCAGGTAAAATCTAGACAGAAGCATTCTCAGAAACTTCTTTGGGATGTTTGCATTCAAGTCACAGAGTAGAACATTCCCTTTGGTAGAGCAGGTTTGAAACACTCTTTTTGTAGTATCTGGAAGTGGACATTTGGAGCGCTTTCAGGCCCATGTTGGAAAGGGAAATATCTTCCCGTAACAACTAGGCAGAAGCATTCTCAGAAACTTATTTGAGATGTGTGTACTCAACTAAGAGAATTGAACCACCGTTTTGAAGGAGCAGTTTTGAAACACTCTTTTTCTGGAATCTGCAAGAGTATATTTGCCTAGCCTTGAGGATTTCGTTGGAAACGGGATTGTCTTCAGAGAAAATCTAGACAGAAACATTCTCAGAAACTTCTTTGGGATGCTTGCATTCCAGTCACAGAGTAGAACATTCCCTTTGGTAGAGCAGGTTTGAAACACTCTTTTTGTAGTATCTGGAAGTGGACATTTGGAGCGCTTTCAGGCCTACGTTGGAAAAGGAAATATCTTCCCATAACAACTAGACAGAAGCATTCTCAGAAACTAGTTTCTGATGTGTGTCCTCAACTAACACAGTTGAACATTTCTTTAGACAGAACAGTTTTGAAACACTCTTTTTGTGGAATCTGCAAGTGGCTATTTGGCTAGATTTGAGGATTTCGTTGGAAACGGGATTACATATAAAAAGCAGTCAGCGGCATTCTCAGAAAGTTCTTTGTGATGATTGCATTCAAGTCACAGTAATTGAACATTCCCTTTCACAGAGCAGGTTTGAAACACTCTTTTTGTAGTGTGTGTAAGTGGACATTTGGAGCACTTACCGGCCTAAGGTGAAAAAGGAAATAATCTTCCCATAAAAACTAGACAGAAGCATTCTCAGAAACTTACTCGTGATGTGTGTCCTCAACTAAAGGAGTAGAACCTTTCTTTTCATAGAGAAGTTTTGAAACGCTCTTTTTGTGGAATCTGCAAGTGGATATTTGGCTAGTTTTGAGGATTTCGTTGGAAGCGGGAATTCATACAAATTGCAGACTGCAGCGTTCTGAGAAACATCTTTGTGATGTTTGTATTCAGGACACAGAGTTGAACATTCCCTATCATAGAGCAGGTTTGAATCACTCCTTTTGTAGTATCTGGAAGTGGACATTTGGAGCGCTTTCAGGCCTATGTTGGAAAAGGAAATATCTTCCCATAACAACTAGACAGAAGCATTCTCAGAAACTTATTTGAGATGTGTGTACTCAACTAAGAGAATTGAACCACCGTTTTGAAGGAGCAGTTTTGAAACTCTCTTTTTCTGGAATCTGCAAGTGGATATTTGGCTAGCTTTGGGGATTTCGCTGGAAGCGGGAATACATATAAAAAGCACACAGCAGCGTTCTGAGAAACTGCTTTCTGATGTTTGCATTCAAGTCAAAAGTTGAACACTCCCTTTCATAGAGCAGTCCTGAAACACCCCTTTTGTAGTATCTGGAACTGGACTTTTGGAGCGATTTCAGGGCTAAGGTGAAAAAGGAAATATCTTCCCATAAAAACTGGACAGAAGCATTCTCAGAAACTTGTTTATGCTGTATCTACTCAACTAACAAAGTTGAACCTTTCTTTTGATAGAGCAGTTTTGAAATGGTCTTTTTGTGGAATCTGCAAGTGGATATTTGGCTAGTTTTGAGGATTTCGTTGGAAGCGGGAATTCATACAAATTGCAGACTGCAGCGTTCTGAGAAACATCTTTGTGATGTTTGTATTCAGGACACAGAGTTGAACATTCCCTATCATAGAGCAGGTTGGAATCACTCCTTTTGTAGTATCTGGAAGTGGACATTTGGAGCGCTTTCAGGCCTATTTTGGAAAGGGAAATATCTTCCCGTAACAACTATGCAGAAGCATTCTCAGAAACTTGTTTGTGATGTGTGCCCTCTACTGACAGAGTTGAACCTTTCTTTTCATAGAGCAGTTTTGAAACACTCTTTTTGTAGAATCTGCAAGAGGATATTTGCATAGCTTTGAGGATTTCGTGGGAAACGGGATTGTCTTCAGGTAAAATCTAGACAGAAGCATTCTCAGAAACTTCTTTGGGATGTTTGCATTCAAGTCACAGAGTAGAACATTCCCTTTGGTAGAGCAGGTTTGAAACACTCTTTTTGTAGTATCTGGAAGTGGACATTTGGAGCGCTTTCAGGCCCATGTTGGAAAGGGAAATATCTTCCCGTAACAACTAGGCAGAAGAATTCTCAGAAACTTATTTGAGATGTGTGTACTCAACTAAGAGAATTGAACCACCGTTTTGAAGGAGCAGTTTTGAAACACTCTTTTTCTGGAAACTGCAAGAGTATATTTGCCTAGCCTTGAAGATTTCGTTGGAAACGGGATTGTCTTCAGATAAAATCTAGACAGAAGCATTCTCAGAAACTTCTTTGGGATGCTTGCATTCAAGTCACAGAGTAGAACATTCCCTTTGGTAGAGCAGGTTTGAAACACTCTTTTTTTAGTATCTGGAAGTGGACATTTGGAGCGCTTTCAGGCCTACGTTGGAAAAGGAAATATCTTCCCATAACAACTAGACAGAAGCATTCTCAGAAACTAGTTTCTGATGTGTGTCCTCAACTAACACAGTTGAACATTTCTTTAGACAGAACAGTTTTGAAACACTCTTTTTGTGGAATCTGCAAGTGGCTATTTGGCTAGATTTGAGGATTTCGTTGGAAACGGGATTACATATAAAAAGCAGTCAGCAGCATTCTCAGAAAGTTCTTTGTGATGATTGCATTCAAGTCACAGAATTGAACATTCCCTTTCACAGAGCAGGTTTGAAACACTCTTTTTGTAGTGTGTGTAAGTGGACATTTGGAGCACTTACCGGCCTAAGGTGAAAAAGGAAATATCTTCCCATAAAAACTAGACAGAAGCATTCTCAGAAACTTACTCGTGATGTGTGTCCTCAACTAAAGGAGTAGAACCTTTCTTTTCATAGAGAAGGTTTGAAACGCTCTTTTTGTGGAATCTGCAAGTGGATATTTGGCTAGTTTTGAGGATTTCGTTGGAAGCGGGAATTCATACAAATTGCAGACTGCAGTGTTCTGAGAAACATCTTTGTGATGTTTGTATTCAGGACACAGAGTTGAACATTCCCTATCATAGAGCAGGTTTGAATCACTCCTTTTGTAGTATCTGGAAGTGGACATTTGGAGCGCTTTCAGGCCTATGTTGGAAAAGGAAATATCTTCCCATAACAACTAGACAGAAGCATTCTCAGAAACTTATTTGAGATGTGTGTACTCAACTAAGAGAATTGAACCACCGTTTTGAAGGAGCAGTTTTGAAACACTCTTTTTCTGGAATCTGCAAGTGGATATTTGGCTGGCTTTGGGGATTTCGCTGGAAGCGGGAATACATATAAAAAGCACACAGCAGCGTTCTGAGAAACTGCTTTCTGATGTTTGCATTCAAGTCAAAAGTTGAACACTCCCTTTCATAGAGCAGTCCTGAAACACTCCTTTTGTAGTATCTGGAACTGGACTTTTGGAGCGCTTTCAGGGCTAAGGTGAAAAAGGAAATATCTTCCCATAAAAACTGGACAGAAGCATTCTCAGAAACTTGTTTATGCTGTATCTACTCAACTAACAAAGTTGAACCTTTCTTTTGATAGAGCAGTTTTGAAATGCTCTTTTTGTGGAATCTGCAAGTGGATATTTGGCTAGTTTTGAGGATTTCGTTGGAAGCGGGAATTCATACAAATTGCAGACTGCAGCGTTCTGAGAATCATCTTTGTGATGTTTGTATTCAGGACACAGAGAATGAACATTCCCTATCATAGAGCAGGTTGGAATCACTCCTTTTGTAGTATCTGGAAGTGGACATTTGGAGCGCTTTCAGTCCTATGTTGAAAAAGGAAATATCTTCCCATAACAACTAGACACAAGCATTCTCAGTAAACTTGTTTGTGATGTGTGCCCTCTACTGACAGAGTTGAACCTTGCTTTTCATAGAGCAGTTTCGAAACACTCTTTTTGTAGAATCTGCAAGAGGATATTTGCATAGCTTTGAGGATTTCGTGGGAAACGGGATTGTCTTCAGGTAAAATCTAGACAGAAGCATTCTCAGAAAATTCTTCGGGATGTTTGCATTCAAGTCACAGAGTAGAACATTCCCTTTGGTAGAGCAGGTTTGAAACACTCTTTTTGTAGTATCTGGAAGTGGACATTTGGAGCGCTTTCAGGCCTATGTTGGAAAGGGAAATATCTTCCCGTAACAACTAGGCAGAAGCATTCTCAGAAACTTATTTGAGATGTGTGTACTGAACTAAGAGAATTGAACCACCGTTTTGAAGGAGCAGGTTTGAAACACTCTTTTTGTAGTATCTGGAAGTGGACATTTGGAGCGCTTTCAGGCCTATGTTGGAAAGGGAAATATCTTCCCGTAACAACTAGGCAGAAGCATTCTCAGAAACTTATTTGAGATGTGTGTACTCAACTAAGAGAATTGAACCACCGTTTTGAAGGAGCAGTTTTGAAACACTCTTTTTCTGGAATCTGCAAGAGGATATTTGCATAGATTTGAGGATTTCGTTGGAAACGGGATTGTCTTCAGATCAAATCTAGACAGAAGCATTCTCAGAAACTTCTTTGGGATGTTTGCATTCAAGTCACAGAGTAGAACATTCCCTTTGGTAGAGCAGGTTTGAAACACTCTTTTTTTAGTATATGGAAGTGGACATTTGGAGCGCTTTCAGGCCTACGTTGGAAAAGGAAATATCTTCCCATAACAACTAGACAGAAGCATTCTCAGAAACTAGTTTCTGATGTGTGTCCTCAACTAACACAGTTGAACATTTCTTTAGACAGAACAGTTTTGAAACACTCTCTTTGTGGAATCTGCAAGTGGATATTTGGCTAGATTTGAGGATTTCGTTGGAAACGGGATTACATATAAAAAGCAGACAGCAGCATTCTCAGAAACTTCTTTGTGATGATTGCATTCAAGTCACAGAATTGAACATTCCGTTTCACAGAGCAGGTTTGAAACACTCTTTTTGTAGTGTGTGTAAGTGGACATTTGGAGCGCTTTCCGGCCTAAGGTGAACAAGGAAATATCTTCCCATAAAAACTAGACAGAAGCATTCTGAGAAACTTACTCGTGATGTGTGTCCTCAACTAAAGGAGTAGAACCTTTCTTTTCATAGAGAAGTTTTGAAACGCTCTTTTTGTGGAATCTGCAAGTGGATATTTGGCTAGTTTTGAGGATTTCGTTGGAAGCGGGAATTCATACAAATTGCAGACTGCAGCATTCTCAGAAACTTGTTTATGCTGTATCTACTCTACTAACAAAGTTGAACCTTTCTTTTGACAGAGCAGTTTTGAAATGCTCTTTTTGTGGAATCTGCAAGTGGATATTTGGCTAGATTTGAGGATTTCGTTGGAAGCTGGAATTCATACAAATTGCAGACTGCAGCATTCTCAGAAACTTATTTGAGATGTGTGTACTCAACTAAGAGAATTGAACCACCGTTTTGAAGGAGCAGTTTTGAAACTCTCTTTTTCTGGAATCTGCAAGTGGATATTTGGCTAGCTTTGGGGATTTCGCTGGAAGCGGGAATACATATAAAAAGCACACAGCAGCGTTCTGAGAAACTGCTTTCTGATGTTTGCATTCAAGTCAAAAGTTGAACACTCCCTTTCATAGAGCAGTCCTGAAACACCCCTTTTGTAGTATCTGGAACTGGACTTTTGGAGCGATTTCAGGGCTAAGGTGAAAAAGGAAATATCTTCCCATAAAAACTGGACAGAAGCATTCTCAGAAACTTGTTTATGCTGTATCTACTCAACTAACAAAGTTGAACCTTTCTTTTGATAGAGCAGTTTTGAAATGGTCTTTTTGTGGAATCTGCAAGTGGATATTTGGCTAGTTTTGAGGATTTCGTTGGAAGCGGGAATTCATACAAATTGCAGACTGCAGCGTTCTGAGAAACATCTTTGTGATGTTTGTATTCAGGACACAGAGTTGAACATTCCCTATCATAGAGCAGGTTGGAATCACTCCTTTTGTAGTATCTGGAAGTGGACATTTGGAGCGCTTTCAGGCCTATTTTGGAAAGGGAAATATCTTCCCGTAACAACTATGCAGAAGCATTCTCAGAAACTTGTTTGTGATGTGTGCCCTCTACTGACAGAGTTGAACCTTTCTTTTCATAGAGCAGTTTTGAAACACTCTTTTTGTAGAATCTGCAAGAGGATATTTGCATAGCTTTGAGGATTTCGTGGGAAACGGGATTGTCTTCAGGTAAAATCTAGACAGAAGCATTCTCAGAAACTTCTTTGGGATGTTTGCATTCAAGTCACAGAGTAGAACATTCCCTTTGGTAGAGCAGGTTTGAAACACTCTTTTTGTAGTATCTGGAAGTGGACATTTGGAGCGCTTTCAGGCCTATGTTGGAAAGGGAAATATCTTCCCGTAACAACTAGGCAGAAGCATTCTCAGAAACTTATTTGAGATGTGTGTACTCAACTAAGAGAATTGAACCACCGTTTTGAAGGAGCAGTTTTGAAACACTCTTTTTCTGGAATTGGCAAGAGGATATTTGCCTAGCCTTGAGGATTTCGTTGGAAACGGTATTGTCTTCAGATCAAATCTAGACAGAAGCATTCTCAGAAACTTCTTTGGGATGTTTGCATTCAAGTCACAGAGTAGAACATTCCCTTTGGTAGAGCAGGTTTGAAACACTCTTTTTTTAGTGTATGGAAGTGGACATTTGGAGCGCTTTCAGGCCTACGTTGGAAAAGGAAATATCTTCCCATAACAACTAGACAGAAGCATTCTCAGAAACTAGTTTCTGATGTGTGTCCTCAACTAACACAGTTGAACATTTCTTTAGACAGAACAGTTTTGAAACACTCTTTTTGTGGAATCTGCAAGTGGCTATTTGGCTAGATTTGAGGATTTCGTTAGAAACGGGATTACATATAAAAAGCAGACAGCAGCATTCTCAGCAAAGTTCTTTGTGATGATTGCATTCAAGTCACAGAATTGAACATTCCCTTTCACAGAGCAGGTTTGAAACACTCTTTTTGTAGTGTGTGTAAGTGGACATTTGGAGCGCTTTCCGGCCTAAGGTGAAAAAGGAAATATCTTCCCATAAAAACTAGACAGAAGCATTCTCAGAAACTTACTCGTGATGTGTGTCCTCAACTAAAGGAGTAGAACCTTTCTATTCGTAGAGAAGTTTTGAAATGCTCTTTTTGTGGAATCTCCAAGTGGATATTTGGCTAGTTTTGAGGATTTCGTTGGAAGCGGGAATTCATACAAATTGCAGACTGCAGCGTTCTGAGAAACATCTTTGTGATGTTTGTATTCAGGACACAGAGATGAACATTCCCTATCATAGAGCAGGTTGGAATCACTCCTTTTGTAGTATCTGGAAGTGGACATTTGGAGCGCTTTCAGGCCTATGTTGAAAAAGGAAATATCTTCCCATAACAACTAGACACAAGCATTCTCAGAAACTTGTTTGTGATGTGTGCCCTCTACTGACAGAGTTGAACCTTTCTTTTCATAGAGGAGTTTTGAAACACTCTTTTTGTAGAGTCCGCAAGAGGATATTTGCATAGCTTTGAGGATTTCGTGGGAAACGGGATTGTCTTCAGGTAAAATCTAGACAGAAGCATTGTCAGAAACTTCTTTGGGATGTTTGCATTCAAGTCACAGAGTAGAACATTCCCTTTGGTAGAGCAGGTTTGAAACACTCTTTTTGTAGTATCTGGAAGTGGACATTTGGAGCGCTTTCAGGCCCATGTTGGAAAGGGAAATATCTTCCCGTAACAACTAGGCAGAAGCATTCTCAGAAACTTATTTGAGATGTGTGTACTCAACTAAGAGAATTGAACCACCGTTTTGAAGGAGCAGTTTTGAAACACTCTTTTTCTGGAATCTGCAAGAGTATATTTGCCTAGCTTTGAGGATTTCGTTGGAAACGGGATTGTCTTCAGATAAAATCTAGACAGAAGCATTCTCAGAAACTTCTTTGGGATGTTTGCATTCAAGTCACAGAGTAGAACATTCCCTTTGGTAGAGCAGGTTTGAAACACTCTTTTTTTAGTATATGGAAGTGGACATTTGGAGCGCTTTCAGGCCTACGTTGGAAAAGGAAATATCTTCCCATAACAACTAGACAGAAGCATTCTCAGAAACTAGTTTCTGATGTGTGTCCTCAACTAACACAGTTGTACATTTCTTTAGACAGAACAGTTTTGAAACACTCTTTTTGTGGAATCTGCAAGTGGATATTGGGCTAGATTTGAGGATTTCGTTGGAAACGGGATTACATATAAAAAGCAGTCAGCAGCATTCTCAGAAAGTTCTTTGTGATGATTGCATTCAAGTCACAGAATTGAACATTCCCTTTCACAGAGCAGGTTTGAAAGACTCTTTTTGTAGTGTGTGTAAGTGGACATTTGGAGCACTTACCGGCCTAAGGTGAAAAAGGAAATATCTTCCCATAAAAACTAGACAGAAGCATTCTCAGAAACTTACTCGTGATGTGTGTCCTCAACTAAAGGAGTAGAACCTTTCTATTCATAGAGAAGTTTTGAAACGCTCTTTTTGTGGAATCTCCAAGTGGATATTTGGCTAGTTTTGAGGATTTCGTTGGAAGCGGGAATTCATACAAATTGCAGACTGCAGCGTTCTCAGAAACATCGTTGTGATGTTTGTATTCAGGACACAGAGCATGAACATTCCCTATCATAGAGCAGGTTGGAATCACTCCTTTTGTAGTATCTGGAAGTGGACATTTGGAGCGCTTTCAGGCCTATGTTGAAAAAGGAAATATCTTCCCATAACAACTAGACACAAGCATTCTCAGAAACTTATTTGAGATGTGTGTACTCAACTTAGAGAATTGAACCACCGTTTTGAAGGAGCAGTTTTGAAACACTCTTTTTCTGGAATCTGCAAGTGGATATTTGGCTAGCTTTGGGGATTTCGCTGGAAGCGGGAATACATATAAAAAGCACACAGCAGCGTTCTGAGAAACTGCTTTCTGATGTTTGCATTCAAGTCAAAAGTTGAACACTCCCTTTCATAGAGCAGTCCTGAAACACTCCTTTTGTAGTATCTGGAACTGGACTTTTGGAGCGCTTTCAGGGCTAAGGTGAAAAAGGAAATATCTTCCCATAAAAACTGGACAGAAGCATTCTCAGAAACTTGTTTATGCTGTATCTACTCAACTAACAAAGTTGAACCTTTCTTTTGATAGAGCAGTTTTGAAATGCTCTTTTTGTGGAATCTGCAAGTGGATATTTGGCTAGTTTTGAGGATTTCGTTGGAAGTGGGAATTCATACAAATTGCAGACTGCAGCGTTCTGAGAAACATCTTTGTGATGTTTGTATTCAGGACACAGAGTTGAACATTCCCTATCATAGAGCAGGTTGGAATCACTCCTTTTGTAGTATCTGGAAGTGGACATTTGGAGCGCTTTCAGGCCTATTTTGGAAAGGGAAATATCTTCCCGTAACAACTATGCAGAAGCATTCTCAGAAACTTGTTTGTGATGTGTGCCCTCTACTGACAGAGTTGAACCGTTCTTTTCATAGAGCAGTTTTGAAACACTCTTTTTGTAGAATCTTCAAGAGGATATTTGCATAGCTTTGAGGATTTCGTGGGAAACGGGATTGTCTTCAGGTAAAATCTAGACAGAAGCATTCTCAGTAAACTTCTTTGGGATGTTTGCATTCAAGTCACAGAGTAGAACATTCCCTTTGGTAGAGCAGGTTTGAAACACTCTTTTTGTAGTATCTGGAAGTGGACATTTGGAGCGCTTTCAGGCCCATGTTGGAAAGGGAAATATCTTCCCGTAACAACTAGGCAGAAGCATTCTCAGAAACTTATTTGAGATGTGTGTACTCAACTAAGAGAATTGAACCACCGTTTTGAAGGAGCAGTTTTGAAACACTCTTTTTCTGGAATCTGCAAGAGTATATTTGCCTAGCCTTGAGGATTTCGTTGGAAACGGGATTGTCTTCAGAGAAAATCTAGACAGAAGCATTCTCAGAAACTTCTTTGGGATGTTTGCATTCAAGTCACAGAGTAGAACATTCCCTTTGGTAGAGCAGGTTTGAAACACTCTTTTTGTAGTATCTGGAAGTGGACATTTGGATCGCTTTCAGGCCTACGTTGGAAAAGGAAGTATCTTCCCATAACAACTAGACAGAAGCATTCTCAGAAACTAGTTTCTGATGTGTGTCCTCAACTAACACAGTTGAACATTTCTTTAGACAGAACAGTTTTGAAACACTCTTTTTGTGGAATCTGCAAGTGGCTATTTGGCTAGATTTGAGGATTTCGTTGGAAACGGGATTACATATAAAAAGCAGTCAGCAGCATTCTCAGAAAGTTCTTTGTGATGATTGCATTCAAGTCACAGAATTGAACATTCCCTTTCACAGAGCAGGTTTGAAACACTCTTTTTGTAGTGTGTGTAAGTGGACATTTGGAGCACTTACCGGCCTAAGGTGAAAAAGGAAATATCTTCCCATAAAAACTAGACAGAAGCATTCTCAGAAACTTACTCGTGATGTGTGTCCTCAACTAAAGGAGTAGAACCTTTCTTTTCATAGAGAAGTTTTGAAACGCTCTTTTTGTGGAATCTGCAAGTGGATATTTGGCTAGTTTTGAGGATTTCGTTGGAAGCGGGAATTCATACAAATTGCAGACTGCAGCGTTCTGAGAAACATCTTTGTGATGTTTGTATTCAGGACACAGAGTTGAACATTCCCTATCATAGAGCAGGTTTGAATCACTCCTTTTGTAGTATCTGGAAGTGGACATTTGGAGTGCTTTCAGGCCTATGTTGGAAAAGGAAATATCTTCCCATAACAACTAGACAGAAGCATTCTCAGAAACTTATTTGAGATGTGTGTACTCAACTAAGAGAATTGAACCACCGTTTTGAAGGAGCAGTTTTGAAACACTCTTTTTCTGGAATCTGCAAGTGGATATTTGGCTAGCTTTGGGGATTTCGCTGGAAGCGGGAATACATATAAAAAGCACACAGCAGCGTTCTGAGAAACTGCTTTCTGATGTTTGCATTCAAGTCAAAAGTTGAACACTCCCTTTCATAGAGCAGTCCTGAAACACTCCTTTTGTAGTATCTGGAACTGGACTTTTGGAGCGCTTTGAGGGCTAAGGTGAAAAAGGAAATATCTTCCCATAAAAACTGGACAGAAGCATTCTCAGAAACTTGTTTATGCTGTATCTACTCAACTAACAAAGTTGAACCTTTCTGTTGACAGAGCAGTTTTGAAATGCTCTTTTTGTGGAATCTGCAAGTGGATATTTGGCTAGTTTTGAGGATTTCGTTGGAAGCGGGAATTCATACAAATTGCAGACTGCAGCGTTCTGAGAAACATCTTTGTGATGTTTGTATTCAGGACAGAGAGTTGAACATTCCCTATCATAGAGCAGGTTGGAATCACTCCTTTTGTAGTATCTGGAAGTGGACATTTGGAGCGCTTTCAGGCCTATTTTGGAAAGGGAAATATCTTCCCGTAACAACTATGCAGAAGCATTCTCAGAAACTTGTTTGTGATGTGTGCCCTCTACTGACAGAGTTGAACCTTTCTTTTCATAGAGCAGTTTTGAAACACTCTTTTTGTAGAATCTGCAAGAGGATATTTGCATAGCTTTGAGGATTTCGTGGGAAACGGGATTGTCTTCAGGTAAAATCTAGACAGAAGCATTCTCAGAAACTTCTTTGGGATGTTTGCATTCAAGTCACAGAGTAGAACATTCCCTTTGGTAGAGCAGGTTTGAAACACTCTTTTTGTAGTATCTGGAAGTGGACATTTGGAGCGCTTTCAGGCCCATGTTGGAAAGGGAAATATCTTCCCGTAACAACTAGGCAGAAGCATTCTCAGAAACTTATTTGAGATGTGTGTACTCAACTAAGAGAATTGAACCACCGTTTTGAAGGAGCAGTTTTGAAACACTCTTTTTCTGGAATCTGCAAGAGTATATTTGCCTAGCCTTGAGGATTTCATTGGAAACGGGATTGTCTTTAGATCAAATCTAGACAGAAGCATTCTCAGAAACTTCTTTGGGATGTTTGCATTCAAGTCACAGAGTAGAACATTCCCTTTGGTAGAGCAGGTTTGAAACACTCTTTTTTTAGTATATGGAAGTGGACATTTGGAGCGCTTTCAGGCCTACGTTGGAAAAGGAAATATCTTCCCATAACAACTAGACAGAAGCATTCTCAGAAACTAGTTTCTGATGTGTGTCCTCAACTAACACAGTTGTACATTTCTTTAGACAGAACAGTTTTGAAACACTCTTTTTGTGGAATCTGCAAGTGGATATTGGGCTAGATTTGAGGATTTCGTTGGAAACGGGATTACATATAAAAAGCAGACAGCAGCATTCTCAGAAAGTTCTTTGTGATGATTGCATTCAAGTCACAGAATTGAACATTCCCTTTCACAGAGCAGGTTTGAAACACTCTTTTTGTAGTGTGTGTAAGTGGACATTTGGAGCGCATTCCGGCCTAAGGTGAAAAAGGAAATATCTTCCCATAAAAACTAGACAGAAGCATTCTCAGAAACTTACTCGTGATGTGTGTCCTCAACTAAAGGAGTAGAACCTTTCTATTCATAGAGAAGTTTTGAAACGCTCTTTTTGTGGAATCTCCAAGTGGATATTTGGCTAGTGTTGAGGATTTCGTTGGAAGCGGGAATTCATACAAATTGCAGACTGCAGCGTTCTGAGAAACATCTTTGTGATGTTTGTATTCAGGACACAGAGATGAACATTCCCTATCATAGAGCAGGTTGGAATCACTCCTTTTGTAGTATCTGGAAGTGGACAATTGGAGCGCTTTCAGGCCTATGTTGAAAAAGGAAATATCTTCCCATAACAACTAGACACAAGCATTCTCAGAAACTTGTTTGTGATGTGTGCCCTCTACTGACAGAGTTGAACCTTTCTTTTCATAGAGCAGTTTTGAAACACTCTTTTTGTAGAATCCGCAAGAGGATATTTGCATAGCTTTGAGGATTTCGTGGGAAACGGGATTGTCTTCAGGTAAAATCTAGACAGAAGCATTCTCAGAAACTTCTTTGGGATGTTTGCATTCAAGTCACAGAGTAGAACATTCCCTTTGGTACAGCAGGTTTGAAACACTCTTTTTGTAGTATCTGGAAGTGGACATTTGGAGCGCTTTCAGGCCCATGTTGGAAAGGGAAATATCTTCCCGTAACAACTAGGCAGAAGCATTCTCAGAAACTTATTTGAGATGTGTGTACTCAACTAAGAGAATTGAACCACCGTTTTGAAGGAGCAGTTTTGAAACACTCTTTTTCTGGAATCTGCAAGAGTATATTTGCCTAGCCTTGAGGATTTCGTTGGAAACGGGATTGTCTTCAGATAAAATCTAGACAGAAGCATTCTCAGAAACTTCTTTGGGATGTTTGCATTCAAGTCACAGAGTAGAACATTCCCTTTGGTAGAGCAGGTTTGAAACACTCTTTTTTTAGTATATGGAAGTGGACATTTGGAGCGCTTTCAGGCCTACGTTGGAAAAGGAAATATCTTCCCATAACAACTAGACAGAAGCATTCTCAGAAACTAGTTTCTGATGTGTGTCCTCAACTAACACAGTTGAACTTTTCTTTAGACAGAACAGTTTTGAAACACTCTTTTTGTGGAATCTGCAAGTGGATATTTGGCTAGATTTGAGGATTTCGTTGGAAACGGGATTACATATAAAAAGCAGACAGCAGCATTCTCAGAAAGTTCTTTGTGATGATTGCATTCAAGTCACCGAATTGAACATTCCCTTTCACAGAGCAGGTTTGAAACATGCTTTGTGTAGTGTGTGTAAGGGGACATTTGGAGCGCTTTCCGGCCTAAGGTGAAAAAGGAAATATCTTCCCATAAAAACTAGACAGAAGCATTCTCAGAAACTTACTCGTGATGTGTGTCCTCAACTAAAGGAGTAGAACCTTTCTATTCATAGAGAAGTTTTGAAACGCTCTTTTTGTGGAATCTCCAAGTGGATATTTGGTTAGTTTTGAGGATTTCGTTGGAAGCGGGAATTCATACAAATTGCAGACTGCAGCGTTCTGAGAAACATCTTTGTGATGTTTGTATTCAGGACACAGAGATGAACATTCCCTATCATAGAGCAGGTTGGAATCACTCCTTTTGTAGTATCTGGAAGTGGACATTTGGAGCGCTTTCAGGCCTATGTTGAAAAAGGAAATATCTTCCCATAACAACTAGACACAAGCATTCTCAGAAACTTGTTTGTGATGTGTGCCCTCTACTGACAGAGTTGAACCTTTCTTTTCATAGAGCAGTTTTGAAACACTCTTTTTGTAGAATCTGCAAGAGGATATTTGCATAGCTTTGAGGATTTAGTGGGAAACGGGATTGTCTTCAGGTAAAATCTAGACAGAAGCATTCTCAGAAACTTCTTTGGGATGTTTGCATTCAAGTCACAGAGTAGAACATTCCCTTTGGTAGAGCAGGTTTGAAACCCTCTTTTTGTAGTATCTGGAAGTGGACATTCGGAGCGCTATCAGGCCCATGTTGGAAAGGGAAATATCTTCCCGTAACAACTAGGCAGAAGCATTCTCAGAAACTTATTTGAGATGTGTGTACTCAACTAAGAGAATTGAACCACCGTTTTGAAGGAGCAGTTTTGAAACACTCTTTTTCTGGAATCTGCAAGAGTATATTTGCCTAGCCTTGAGGATTTCGTTGGAAACGGGATTGTCTTCAGATAAAATCTAGACAGAAGCATTCTCAGAAACTTCTTTGGGATGTTTGCATTCAAGTCACAGAGTAGAACATTCCCTTTGGTAGAGCAGGTTTGAAACACTCTTTTTGTAGTATCTGGAAGTGGACATTTGGAGCGCTTTCAGGCCTACGTTGGAAAAGGAAATATCTTCCCATAACAACTAGACAGAAGCATTCTCAGAAACTAGTTTCTGATGTGTGTCCTCAACTAACACAGTTGAACTTTTCTTTAGACAGAACAGTTTTGAAACACTCTTTTTGTGGAATCTGCAAGTGGATATTGGGCTAGATTTGAGGATTTCGTTGGAAACGGGATTACATATAAAAAGCAGACAGCATCATTCTCAGAAAGTTCTTTGTGATGATTGCATTCAAGTCACAGAATTGAACATTCCCTTTCACAGAGCAGGTTTGAAACACTCTTTTTGTAGTGTGTGTAAGTGGACATTTGGAGCGCTTTCCGGCCTAAGGTGAAAAAGGACATATCTTCCCATAAAAACTAGACAGAAGCATTCTCAGAAACTTACTCGTGATGTGTGTCCTCAACTAAAGGAGTAGAACCTTTCTATTCATAGAGAAGTTTTGAAACGCTCTTTTTGTGGAATCTCCAAGTGGATATTTGGCTAGTTTTGAGGATTTCGTTGGAAGCGGGAATTCATACAAATTGCAGACTGCAGCGTTCTGAGAAACATCTTTGTGATGTTTGTATTCAGGACACAGAGATGAACATTCCCTGTCATAGTGCAGGTTGGAATCACTCCTTTTGTAGTATCTGGAAGTGGACATTTGGAGCGCTTTCAGGCCTATGTTGAAAAAGGAAATATCTTCCCATAACAACTAGACACAAGCATTCTCAGAAACTTATTTGAGATGTGTGTACTCAACTAAGAGAATTGAACCACCGTTTTGAAGGAGCAGTTTTGAAACACTCTTTTTCTGGAATCTGCAAGTGGATATTTGGCTAGCTTTGTGGATTTCGCTGGAAGCGGGAACACATATAAAAAGCACACAGCAGCGTTCTGAGAAACTGCTTTCTGATGTTTGCATTCAAGTCAAAAGTTGAACACTCCCTTTCATAGAGCAGTCTTGAAACACCCCTTTTGTAGTATCTGGAACTGGACTTTTGGAGCGATTTCAGGGCTAAGGTGAAAAAGGAAATATCTTCCCATAAAAACTGGACAGAAGCATTCTCAGAAACTTGTTTATGCTGTATCTACTCAACTAACAAAGTTGAACCTTTCTTTTGATAGAGCAGTTTTGAAATGCTCTTTTTGTGGAATCTGCAAGTGGATATTTGGCTAGTTTTGAGGATTTCGTTGGAAGCGGGAATTCATACAAATTGCAGACTGCAGCGTTCTGAGAAACATCTTTGTGATGTTTGTATTCAGGACAGAGAGTTGAACATTCCCTATCATAGAGCAGGTTGGAATCACTCCTTTTGTAGTTTCTGGAAGTGGACATTTGGAGCGCTTTCAGGCCTATGTTGAAAAAGGAAATATCTTCCCATAACAACTAGACACAAGCATTCTCAGAAACTTGTTTGTGATGTGTGCCCTCTACTGACAGAGTTGAACCTTTCTTTTCATAGAGCAGTTTTGAAACACTCTTTTTGTAGAATCTGCAAGAGGATATTTGCATAGCTTTGAGGATTTCGTGGGAAACGGGATTGTCTTCAGGTAAAATCTAGACAGAAGCATTCTCAGAAACTTCTTTGGGATGTTTGCATTCAAGTCACAGAGTAGAACATTCCCTTTGGTAGAGCAGGTTTGAAACACTCTTTTTGTAGTATCTGGAAGTGGACATTTGGAGCGCTTTCAGGCCTATGTTGGAAAGGGAAATATCTTCCCGTAACAACTAGGCAGAAGCATTCTCAGAAACTTATTTGAGATGTGTGTACTCAACTAAGAGAATTGAACCACCGTTTTGAAGGAGCAGTTTTGAAACCCTCTTTTTCTGGAATCTGCAAGAGTATATTTGCCTAGCCTTGAGGATTTCGTTGGAAACGGGATTGTCTTCAGATAAAATCTAGACAGAAGCATTCTCAGAAACTTCTTTGGGATGTTTGCATTCAAGTCACAGAGTAGAACATTCCCTTTGGTAGAGCAGGTTTGAAACACTCTTTTTTTAGTATATGGAAGTGGACATTTGGAGCGCTTTCAGGCCTACGTTGGAAAAGGAAATATCTTCCCATAACAACTAGACAGAAGCATTCTCAGAAACTAGTTTCTGATGTGTGTCCTCAACTACCACAGTTGTACATTTCTTTACACAGAACAGTTTTGAAACACTCTTTTTGTGGAATCTGCAAGTGGATATTGGGCTAGATTTGAGGATTTCGTTGGAAACGGGATTACATATAAAAAGCAGACAGCAGCATTCTCAGAAAGTTCTTTGTGATGATTGCATTCAAGTCACAGAATTGAACATTCCCTTTCACAGAGCAGGTTTGAAACACTCTTTTTGTAGTGTGTGTAAGTGGACATTTGGAGCGCTTTCCGGCCTAAGGTGAAAAAGGACATATCTTCCCATAAAAACTAGACAGAAGCATTCTCAGAAACTTACTCGTGATGTGTGTCCTCAACTAAAGGAGTAGAACCTTTCTATTCATAGAGAAGTTTTGAAACGCTCTTTTTGTGGAATCTCCAAGTGGATATTTGGCTAGTTTTGAGGATTTCGTTGGAAGCGGGAATTCATACAAATTGCAGACTGCAGCGTTCTGAGAAACATCTTTGTGATGTTTGTATTCAGGACACAGAGATGAACATTCCCTATCATAGAGCAGGTTGGAATCACACCTTTTGTAGTATCTGGAAGTGGACATTTGGAGCGCTTTCAGGCCTATGTTGAAAAAGGAAATATCTTCCCATAACAACTAGTCACAAGCATTCTCAGAAACTTGTTTGTGATGTGTGCCCTCTACTGACAGAGTTGAACCTTTCTTTTCTTAGAGCAGTTTTGAAACACTCTTTTTGTAGAATCTGCAAGAGGATATTTGCATAGCTTTGAGGATTTCGTGGGAAACGGGATTGTCCTTCAGGTAAAATCTAGACAGAAGCATTCTCAGAAACTTCTTTGGGATGTTTGCATTCAAGTCACAGAGTAGAACATTCCCTTTGGTAGAGCAGGTTTGAAACACTCTTTTTGTAGTATCTGGAAGTGGACATTTGGAGCGCTTTCAGGCCCATGTTGGAAAGGGAAATATCTTCCCATAACAACTAGGCAGAAGCATTCTCAGAAACTTATTTGAGATGTGTGTACTCAACTAAGAGAATTGAACCACCGTTTTGAAGGAGCAGTTTTGAAACACTCTTTTTCTGGAATCTGCAAGAGTATATTTGCCTAGCCTTGAGGATTTCGTTGGAAACGGGATTGTCTTCAGAGAAAATCTAGACAGAAGTATTCTCAGAAACTTCTTTGGGATGTTTGCATTCAAGTCACAGAGTAGAACATTCCCTTTGGTAGAGCAGGTTTGAAACACTCTTTTTGTAGTATCTGGAAGTGGACATTTGGAGCGCTTTCAGGCCTACGTTGGAAAAGGAAATATCTTCCCATAACAACTAGACAGAAGCATTCTCAGAAACTAGTTTCTGATGTGTGTCCTCAACTAACACAGTTGAACATTTCTTTAGACAGAACAGTTTTGAAACACTCTTTTTGTGGAATCTGCAAGTGGCTATTTGGCTAGATTTGAGGATTTCGTTGGAAACGGGATTACATATAAAAAGCAGTCAGCAGCATTCTCAGAAAGTTCTTTGTGATGATTGCATTCAAGTCACAGAATTGAACATTCCCTTTCACAGAGCAGGTTTGAAACACTCTTTTTGTAGTGTGTGTAAGTGGACATTTGGAGCACTTACCGGCCTAAGGTGAAAAAGGAAATATCTTCCCATAAAAACTAGACAGAAGCATTCTCAGAAACTTACTCGTGATGTGTGTCCTCAACTAAAGGAGTAGAACCTTTCTTTTCATAGAGAAGTTTTGAAACGCTCTTTTTGTGGAATCTGCAAGTGGATATTTGGCTAGTTTTGAGGATTTCGTTGGAAGCGGGAATTCATACAAATTGCAGACTGCAGCGTTCTGAGAAACATCTTTGTGATGTTTGTATTCAGGACACAGAGTTGAACATTCCCTATCATAGAGCAGGTTGGAATCACTCCTTTTGTAGTATCTGGAAGTGGACATTTGGAGCGCTTTCAGGCCTATGTTGGAAAAGGAAATATCTTCCCATAACAACTAGACAGAAGCATTCTCAGAAACTTATTTGAGATGTGTGTACTCAACTAAGAGAATTGAACCACCGTTTTGAAGGAGCAGTTTTGAAACTCTCTTTTTCTGGAATCTGCAAGTGGATATTTGGCTAGCTTTGGGGATTTCGCTGGAAGCGGGAATACATATAAAAAGCACACAGCAGCGTTCTGAGAAACTGCTTTCTGATGTTTGCATTCAAGTCAAAAGTTGAACACTCCCTTTCATAGAGCAGTCTTGAAACACCCCTTTTGTAGTATCTGGAACTGGACTTTTGGAGCGATTTCAGGGCTAAGGTGAAAAAGGAAATATCTTCCCATAAAAACTGGACAGAAGCATTCTCAGAAACTTGGTTATGCTGTATCTACTCAACTAACAAAGTTGAACCTTTCTTTTGATAGAGCAGTTTTGAAATGGTCTTTTTGTGGAATCTGCAAGTGGATATTTGGCTAGTTTTGAGGATTTCGTTGGAAGCGGGAATTCATACAAATTGCAGACTGCAGCGTTCTGAGAAACATCTTTGTGATGTTTGTATTCAGGACACAGAGTTGAACATTCCCTATCATAGAGCAGGTTGGAATCACTCCTTTTGTAGTATCTGGAAGTGGACATTTGGAGCGCTTTCAGGCCTATTTTGGAAAGGGAAATATCTTCCCGTAACAACTATGCAGAAGCATTCTCAGAAACTTGTTTGTGATGTGTGCCCTCTACTGACAGAGTTGAACCTTTCTTTTCATAGAGCAGTTTTGAAACACTCTTTTTGTAGAATCTGCAAGAGGATATTTGCATAGCTTTGAGGATTTCGTGGGAAACGGGATTGTCTTCAGGTAAAATCTAGACAGAAGCATTCTCAGAAACTTCTTTGGGATGTTTGCATTCAAGTCACAGAGTAGAACATTCCCTTTGGTAGAGCAGGTTTGAAACACTCTTTTTGTAGTGTCTGGAAGTGGACATTTGGAGCGCTTTCAGGCCCATGTTGGAAAGGGAAATATCTTCCCGTAACAACTAGGCAGAAGCATTCTCAGAAACTTATTTGAGATGTGTGTACTCAACTAAGAGAATTGAACCACCGTTTTGAAGGAGCAGTTTTGAAACACTCTTTTTCTGGAATCTGCAAGAGTATATTTGCCTAGCCTTGAGGATTTCGTTGGAAACGGGATTGTCTTCAGAGAAAATCTAGACAGAAGCATTCTCAGAAACTTCTTTGGGATGTTTGCATTCAAGTCACAGAGTAGAACATTCCCTTTGGTAGAGCAGGTTTGAAACACTCTTTTTGTAGTATCTGGAAGTGGACATTTGGAGCGCTTTCAGGCCTACGTTGGAAAAGGAAATATCTTCCCATAACAACTAGACAGAAGCATTCTCAGAAACTAGTTTCTGATGTGTGTCCTCAACTAACACAGTTGAACATTTCTTTAGACAGAACAGTTTTGAAACACTCTTTTTGTGGAATCTGCAAGTGGCTATTTGGCTAGATTTGAGGATTTCGTTGGAAACGGGATTACATATAAAAAGCAGTCAGCAGCATTCTCAGAAAGTTCTTTGTGATGATTGCATTCAAGTCACAGAATTGAACATTCCCTTTCACAGAGCAGGTTTGAAACACTCTTTTTGTAGTGTGTGTAAGTGGACATTTGGAGCACTTACCGGCCTAAGGTGAAAAAGGAAATATCTTCCCATAAAAACTAGACAGAAAGCACTCTCAGAAACTTACTCGTGATGTGTGTCCTCAACTAAAGGAGTAGAACCTTTCTTTTCATAGAGAAGTTTTGAAACGCTCTTTTTGTGGAATCTGCAAGTGGATATTTGGCTAGTTTGGAGGATTTCGTTGGAAGCGGGAATTCATACAAATTGCAGACTGCAGCGTTCTGAGAAACATCTTTGTGATGTTTGTATTCAGGACACAGAGTTGAACATTCCCTATCATAGAGCAGGTTGGAATCACTCCTTTTGTAGTATCTGGAAGTGGACATTTGGAGCGCTTTCAGGCCTATGTTGGAAAAGGAAATATCTTCCCATAACAACTAGACAGAAGCATTCTCAGAAACTTATTTGAGATGTGTGTACTCAACTAAGAGAATTGAACCACCGTTTTGAAGGAGCAGTTTTGAAACTCTCTTTTTCTGGAATCTGCAAGTGGATATTTGGCTAGCTTTGGGGATTTCGCTGGAAGCGGGAATACATATAAAAAGCACACAGCAGCGTTCTGAGAAACTGCTTTCTGATGTTTGCATTCAAGTCAAAAGTTGAACACTCCCTTTCATAGAGCAGTCTTGAAACACCCCTTTTGTAGTATCTGGAACTGGACTTTTGGAGCGATTTCAGGGCTAAGGTGAAAAAGGAAATATCTTCCCATAAAAACTGGACAGAAGCATTCTCAGAAACTTGGTTATGCTGTATCTACTCAACTAACAAAGTTGAACCTTTCTTTTGATAGAGCAGTTTTGAAATGGTCTTTTTGTGGAATCTGCAAGTGGATATTTGGCTAGTTTTGAGGATTTCGTTGGAAGCGGGAATTCATACAAATTGCAGACTGCAGCGTTCTGAGAAACATCTTTGTGATGTTTGTATTCAGGACACAGAGTTGAACATTCCCTATCATAGAGCAGGTTGGAATCACTCCTTTTGTAGTATCTGGAAGTGGACATTTGGAGCGCTTTCAGGCCTATTTTGGAAAGGGAAATATCTTCCCGTAACAACTATGCAGAAGCATTCTCAGAAACTTGTTTGTGATGTGTGCCCTCTACTGACAGAGTTGAACCTTTCTTTTCATAGAGCAGTTTTGAAACACTCTTTTTGTAGAATCTGCAAGAGGATATTTGCATAGCTTTGAGGATTTCGTGGGAAACGGGATTGTCTTCAGGTAAAATCTAGACAGAAGCATTCTCAGAAACTTCTTTGGGATGTTTGCATTCAAGTCACAGAGTAGAACATTCCCTTTGGTAGAGCAGGTTTGAAACACTCTTTTTGTAGTATCTGGAAGTGGACATTTGGAGCGCTTTCAGGCCCATGATGGAAAGGGAAATATCTTCCCGTAACAACTAGGCAGAAGCATTCTCAGAAACTTATTTGAGATGTGTGTACTCAACTAAGAGAATTGAACCACCGTTTTGAAGGAGCAGTTTTGAAACACTCTTTTTCTGGAATCTGCAAGAGTATATTTGCCTAGCCATGAGGATTTCGTTGGAAACGGGATTGTCTTCAGAGAAAATCTAGACAGAAGCATTCTCAGAAACTTCTTTGGGATGTTTGCATTCAAGTCACAGAGTAGAACATTCCCTTTGGTAGAGCAGGTTTGAAACACTCTTTTTTTAGTATATGGAAGTGGACATTTGGAGCGCTTTCAGGCCTACGTTGGAAAAGGAAATATCTTCCCATAACAACTAGACAGAAGCATTCTCAGAAACTAGTTTCTGATGTGTGTCCTCAACTAACACAGTTGAACATTTCTTTAGACAGAACAGTTTTGAAACACTCTTTTTGTGGAATCTGCAAGTGGCTATTTGGCTAGATTTGAGGATTTCGTTGGAAACGGGATTACATATAAAAAGCAGTCAGCAGCATTCTCAGAAAGTTCTTTGTGATGATTGCATTCAAGTCACAGAATTGAACATTCCCTTTCACAGAGCAGGTTTGAAAGACTCTTTTTGTAGTGTGTGTAAGTGGACATTTGGAGCACTTACCGGCCTAAGGTGAAAAAGGAAATATCTTCCCATAAAAACTAGACAGAAGCATTCTCAGAAACTTACTCGTGATGTGTGTCCTCAACTAAAGGAGTAGAACCTTCCTTTTCATAGAGAAGTTTTGAAACGCTCTTTTTGTGGAATCTGCAAGTGGATATTTGGCTAGTTTTGAGGATTTCCGTTGGAAGCGGGAATTCATACAAATTGCAGACTGCAGCGTTCTGAGAAACATCTTTGTGATGTTTGTATTCAGGACACAGAGATGAACATTCCCTATCATAGAGCAGGTTGGAATCACTCCTTTTGTAGTATCTGGAAGTGGACATTTGGAGCGCTTTCAGGCCTATGTTGAAAAAGGAAATATCTTCCCATAACAACTAGACACAAGCATTCTCAGAAACTTGTTTGTGATGTGTGCCCTCTGCTGACAGAGTTGAACCATTCTTTTCATAGAGCAGTTTTGAAACACTCTTTTTGTAGAATCTGCAAGAGGATATTTGCATAGCTTTGAGGATTTCGTGGGAAACGGGATTGTCTTCAGGTAAAATCTAGACAGAAGCATTCTCAGAAACTTCTTTGGGATGTTTGCATTCAAGTCACAGAGTAGAACATTCCCTTTGGTAGAGCAGGTTTGAAACCCTCTTTTTGTAGTATCTGGAAGTGGACATTTGGAGCGCTTTCAGGCCCATGTTGGAAAGGGAAATATCTTCCCGTAACAACTAGGCAGAAGCATTCTCAGAAACTTATTTGAGATGTGTGTACTCAACTAAGAGAATTGAACCACCGTTTTGAAGGAGCAGTTTTGAAACACTCTTTTTCTGGAATCTGCAAGAGTATATTTGCCTAGCCTTGAAGATTTCGTTGGAAACGGGATTGTCTTCAGATAAAATCTAGACAGAAGCATTCTCAGAAACTTCTTTGGGATGTTTGCATTCAAGTCACAGAGTAGAACATTCCCTTTGGTAGAGCAGGTTTGAAACACTCTTTTTTTAGTATATGGAAGTGGACATTTGGAGTGCTTTCAGGCCTACGTTGGAAAAGGAAATATCTTCCCATAACAACTAGACAGAAGCATTCTCAGAAACTAGTTTCTGATGTGTGTCCTCAACTAACACAGTTGAACATTTCTTTAGACAGAACAGTTTTGAAACACTCTTTTTGTGGAATCTGCAAGTGGCTATTTGGCTAGATTTGAGGATTTCGTTGGAAACGGGATTACATATAAAAAGCAGACAGCAGCATTCTCAGAAA
This sequence comes from Homo sapiens, assembly GCF_000001405.40. Lineage (NCBI taxonomy): Eukaryota > Metazoa > Chordata > Mammalia > Primates > Hominidae > Homo > Homo sapiens. Next base: position 17,375,340 of record NC_000018.10, read on the forward strand.
GTTCTTTGTGATGATTGCATTCAAGTCACAGAATTGAACATTCCCTTTCACAGAGCAGGTTTGAAACACTCTTTTTGTAGTGTGTGTAAGTGGACATTTGGAGCGCTTTCCGGCCTAAGGTGAAAAAGGACATATCTTCCCATAAAAACTAGACAGAAGCATTCTCAGAAACTTACTCGTGATGTGTGTCCTCAACTAAAGGAGTAGAACCTTTCTTTTCATAGAGAAGTTTTGAAACGCTCTTTTTGTGGAATCTGCAAGTGGATATTTGGCTAGTTTGGAGGATTTCGTTGGAAGCGGGAATTCATACAAATTGCAGACTGCAGCGTTCTGAGAAACATCTTTGTGATGTTTGTATTCAGGACACAGAGTTGAACATTCCCTATCATAGAGCAGGTTTGAATCACTCCTTTTGTAGTATCTGGAAGTGGACATTTGGAGCGCTTTCAGGCCTATGTTGGAAAAGGAAATATCTTCCCATAACAACTAGACAGAAGCATTCTCAGAAACTTATTTGAGATGTGTGTACTCAACTAAGTAGAATTGAACCACCGTTTTGAAGGAGCAGTTTTGAAACTCTCTTTTTCTGGAATCTGCAAGTGGATATTTGGCTAGCTTTGGGGATTTCGCTGGAAGCGGGAATACATATAAAAAGCACACAGCAGCGTTCTGAGAAACTGCTTTCTGATGTTTGCATTCAAGTCAAAAGTTGAACACTCCCTTTCATAGAGCAGTCTTGAAACACCCCTTTTGTAGTATCTGGAACTGGACTTTTGGAGCGATTTCAGGGCTAAGGTGAAAAAGGAAATATCTTCCCATAAAAACTGGACAGAAGCATTCTCAGAAACTTGTTTATGCTGTATCTACTCAACTAACAAAGTTGAACCTTTCTTTTGATAGAGCAGTTTTGAAATGGTCTTTTTGTGGAATCTGCAAGTGGATATTTGGCTAGTTTTGAGGATTTCGTTGGAAGCGGGAATTCATACAAATTGCAGACTGCAGCGTTCTGAGAAACATCTTTGTGATGTTTGTATTCAGGACACAGAGTTGAACATTCCCTATCATAGAGCAGGTTGGAATCACTCCTTTTGTAGTATCTGGAAGTGGACATTTGGAGCGCTTTCAGGCCTATTTTGGAAAGGGAAATATCTTCCCGTAACAACTATGCAGAAGCATTCTCAGAAACTTGTTTGTGATGTGTGCCCTCTACTGACAGAGTTGAACCTTTCTTTTCATAGAGCAGTTTTGAAACACTCTTTTTGTAGAATCTGCAAGAGGATATTTGCATAGCTTTGAGGATTTCGTGGGAAACGGGATTGTCTTCAGGTAAAATCTAGACAGAAGCATTCTCAGAAACTTCTTTGGGATGTTTGCATTCAAGTCACAGAGTAGAACATTCCCTTTGGTAGAGCAGGTTTGAAACACTCTTTTTGTAGTATCTGGAAGTGGACATTTGGAGCGCTTTCAGGCCCATGTTGGAAAAGGAAATATCTTCCCGTAAGAACTAGGCAGAAGCATTCTCAGAAACTTATTTGAGATGTGTGTACTCAACTAAGAGAATTGAACCACCGTTTTGAAGGACCAGTTTTGAAACACTCTTTTTCTGGAATCTGCAAGAGGATATTTGCGTAGCTTTGAGGATTTCGTTGGAAACGGGATTGTTTTCAGATAAAATCTAGACAGAAGCATTCTGAGAAACTTCTTTGGGATGTTTGCATTCAAGTCACACAGTAGAACATTCCCTTTGGTAGAGCAGGTTTGAAACACTCTTTTTGTAGTATCTGGAAGTGGACATTTGGAGCGCTTTCAGGCCTATGTTGGAAAGGGAAATATCTTCCCTTAACAACTAGGCAGAAGCATTCTCAGAAACTTATTTGAGATGTGTGTACTCAACTAAGAGAATTGAACCACCCTTTTGAAGGAGCAGTTTTGAAACACTCTTTTTCTGGAATCTGCAAGAGTATATTTGCCTAGCTTTGAGGATTTCGTTGGAAACGGGATTGTCTTCAGATCAAATATAGACAGAAGCTTTCTCAGAAACTTCTTTGGGATGTTTGCATTCAAGTCACAGAGTAGAACATTCCCTTTGGTAGAGCAGGTTTGAAACACTCTTTTTTTGGCATATGGAATTGGACATTTGGAGCGCTTTCAGGCCTACTTTGGAAAAGGAAATATCTTCCCATAACAACTAGACAGAAGCATTCTCAGAAACTAGTTTCTGATGTGTGTCCTCAACTAACACAGTTGAACTTTTCTTTAGACAGAACAGTTTTGAAACACTCTTTTTGTGGAATCTGCAAGTGGATATTGGGTTAGATTTGAGGATTTCGTTGGAAAGGGGATTACACATAAAAAGCAGACAGCAGCATTCTCAGAAAGTTGTTTGTGATGATTGCATTCAAGTCACAGAATTGAACATTCCCTTTCACAGAGCAGGTTTGAAACACTCTTTTTGTAGTGTGTGTAAGTGGACATTTGGAGCGCTTTCCGGCCTAAGGTGAAAAAGGACATATCTTCCCATAAAAACTAGACAGAAGCATTCTCAGAAACTTACTCGTGATGTGTGTCCTCAACTAAAGGAGTAGAACCTTTCTATTCATAGAGAAGATTTCAAACGCTCTTTTTGTGGAATCTCCAAGTGGATATTTGGCTAGTTTTGAGGATTTCGTTGGAAGCGGGAATTCATACAAATTGCAGACTGCAGCGTTCTGAGAAACATCTTTGTGATGTTTGTATTCAAGACACAGAGATGAACATTCCCTATCATAGAGCATGTTGGAATCACTCCTTTTGTAGTATCTGGAAGTGGACATTTGGAGCGCTTTCAGGCCTATGTTGAAAAAGGAAATATCTTCCCATAACAACTAGACACAAGCGTTCTCAGAAACTTGTTTGTGATGTGTGCCCTCTACTGACAGAGTTGAACCTTTCTTTTCATAGAGCAGTTTTGAAACACTCTTTTTGTAGAATCTGCAAGAGGATATTTGCATAGCTTTGAGGATTTCGTGGGAAACGGGATTGTCTTCAGGTAAAATCTAGACAGAAGCATTCTCAGAAACTTCTTTGGGATGTTTGCATTCAAGTCACAGAGTAGAACATTCCCTTTGGTAGAGCCGGTTTGAAACACTCTTTTTGTAGTATCTGGAAGTGGACATTTGGAGCGCTTTCAGGCCCATGTTGGAAAGGGAAATATCTTCCCGTAACAACTAGGCAGAAGCATTCTCAGAAACTTATTTGAGATGTGTGTACTCAACTAAGAGAATTGAACCACCGTTTTGAAGGAGCAGTTTTGAAACCCTCTTTTTCTGGAATCTGCAAGAGTATATTTGCCTAGCCTTGAGGATTTCGTTGGAAACGGGATTGTCTTCAGATAAAATCTAGACAGAAGCATTCTCAGAAACTTCTTTGGGATGTTTGCATTCAAGTCACAGTAGTAGAACATTCCCTTTGGTAGAGCAGGTTTGAAACACTCTTTTTTTAGTATATGGAAGTGGACATTTGGAGCGCTTTCAGGCCTACGTTGGAAAAGGAAATATCTTCCCATAACAAATAGACAGAAGCATTCTCAGAAACTAGTTTCTGATGTGTGTCCTCAACTAACACAGTTGAACTTTTCTTTAGACAGAACAGTTTTGAAACACTCTTTTTGTGGAATCTGCAAGTGGATATTTGGCTAGATTTGAGGATTTCGTTGGAAACGGGATTACATATAAAAAGCAGACAGCAGCATTCTCAGAAAGTTCTTTGTGATGATTGCATTCAAGTCACAGAATTGAACATTCCCTTTCACAGAGCAGGTTTGAAACACTCTTTTTGTAGTGTGTGTAAGTGGACATTTGGAGCGCTTTCCGGCCTAAGGTGAAAAAGGAAATATCTTCCCATAAAAACTAGACAGAAGCATTCTCAGAAACTTACTCGTGATGTGTGTCCTCAACTAAAGGAGTAGAACCTTTCTATTCATAGAGAAGTTTTGAAACGCTCTTTTTGTGGAATCTCCAAGTGGATATTTGGCTAGTTTTGAGGATTTCGTTGGAAGCGGGAATTCATACAAATTGCAGACTGCAGCGTTCTGAGAAACATCTTTGTGATGTTTGTATTCAGGACACAGAGATGAACATTCCCTATCATAGAGCAGGTTGGAATCACTCCTTTTGTAGTATCTGGAAGTGGACATTTGGAGCGCTTTCAGGCCTATGTTGAAAAAGGAAATATCTTCCCATAACAACTAGACACAAGCATTCTCAGAAACTTGTTTGTGATGTGTGCCCTCTACTGACAGAGTTGAACCTTTCTTTTCATAGAGCAGTTTTGAAACACTCTTTTTGTAGAATCTGCAAGAGGATATTTGCATAGCTTTGAGGATTTCGTGGGAAACGGGAGTGTCTTCAGGTAAAATCTAGACAGAAGCATTCTCAGAAACTTCTTTGGGATGTTTGCATTCAAGTCACAGAGTAGAACATTCCCTTTGGTAGAGCAGGTTTGAAACACTCTTTTTGTAGTATCTGGAAGTGGACATTTGGAGCGCTTTCAGGCCCATGTTGGAAAGGGAAATATCTTCCCGTAACAACTAGGCAGAAGCATTCTCAGAAACTTATTTGAGATGTGTGTACTCAACTAAGAGAATTGAACCACCGTTTTGAAGGAGCAGTTTTGAAACACTCTTTTTCTGGAATCTGCAAGAGTATATTTGCCTAGCCTTGAGGATTTCGTTGGAAACGGGATTGTCTTCAGAGAAAATCTAGACAGAAGCATTCTCAGAAACTTCTTTGGGATGTTTGCATTCAAGTCACAGAGTAGAACATTCCCTTTGGTAGAGCAGGTTTGAAACACTCTTTTTGTAGTATCTGGAAGTGGACATTTGGAGCGCTTTCAGGCCTACGTTGGAAAAGGAAATATCTTCCCATAACAACTAGACAGAAGCATTCTCAGAAACTAGTTTCTGATGTGTGTCCTCAACTAACACAGTTGAACATTTCTTTAGACAGAACAGTTTTGAAACACTCTTTTTGTGGAATCTGCAAGTGGCTATTTGGCTAGATTTGAGGATTTCGTTGGAAACGGGATTACATATAAAAAGCAGTCAGCAGCATTCTCAGAAAGTTCTTTGTGATGATTGCATTCAAGTCACAGAATTGAACATTCCCTTTCACAGAGCAGGTTTGAAACACTCTTTTTGTAGTGTGTGTAAGTGGACATTTGGAGCACTTACCGGCCTAAGGTGAAAAAGGAAATATCTTCCCATAAAAACTAGACAGAAGCATTCTCAGAAACTTACTCGTGATGTGTGTCCTCAACTAAAGGAGTAGAACCTTTCTTTTCATAGAGAAGTTTTGAAACGCTCTTTTTGTGGAATCTGCAAGTGGATATTTGGCTAGTTTTGAGGATTTCGTTGGAAGCGGGAATTCATACAAATTGCAGACTGCAGCGTTCTGAGAAACATCTTTGTGATGTTTGTATTCAGGACACAGAGTTGAACATTCCCTATCATAGAGCAGGTTTGAATCACTCCTTTTGTAGTATCTGGAAGTGGACATTTGGAGCGTTTTCAGGCCTATGTTGGAAAAGGAAATATCTTCCCATAACAACTAGACAGAAGCATTCTCAGAAACTTATTTGAGATGTGTGTACTCAACTAAGAGAATTGAACCACCGTTTTGAAGGAGCAGTTTTGAAACACTCTTTTTCTGGAATCTGCAAGTGGATATTTGGCTAGCTTTGGGGATTTCGCTGGAAGCGGGAATACATATAAAAAGCACACAGCAGCGTTCTGAGAAACTGCTTTCTGATGTTTGCATTCAAGTCAAAAGTTGAACACTCCCTTTCATAGAGCAGTCCTGAAACACCCCTTTTGTAGTATCTGGAACTGGACTTTTGGAGCGCTTTCAGGGCTAAGGTGAAAAAGGAAATATCTTCCCATAAAAACTGGACAGAAGCATTCTCAGAAACTTGTTTATGCTGTATCTACTCAACTAACAAAGTTGAACCTTTCTTTTGATAGAGCAGTTTTGAAATGCTCTTTTTGTGGAATCTGCAAGTGGATATTTGGCTAGTTTTGAGGATTTCGTTGGAAGCGGGAATTCATACAAATTGCAGACTGCAGCGTTCTGAGAAACATCTTTGTGATGTTTGTATTCAGGACACAGAGTTGAACATTCCCTATCATAGAGCAGGTTTGAATCACTCCTTTTGTAGTATCTGGAAGTGGACATTTGGAGCGCTTTCAGGCCCTATGTTGGAAAAGGAAATATCTTCCCATAACAAATAGACAGGAAGCATTCTCAGAAACTTATTTGAGATGTGTGTACTCAACTAAGAGAATTGAACCACCGTTTTGAAGGAGCAGTTTTGAAACACTCTTTTTCTGGAATCTGCAAGTGGATATTTGGCTAGCTTTGGGGATTTCGCTGGAAGCGGGAATACATATAAAAAGCACACAGCAGCGTTCTGAGAAACTTCTTTCTGATGTTCGCATTCAAGTCAAAAGTTGAACACTCCCTTTCATAGAGCAGTCTTGAAACACCCCTTTTGTAGTATCTGGAAGTGGACATTTGGAGTGCTTTCAGGGCTAAGGTGAAAAAGGAAATATCTTCCCATAAAAACTGGACAGAAGCATTCTCAGAAACTTGTTTATGCTGTATCTACTCAGCTAACAAAGTTGAACCTTTCTTTTGATAGAGCAGTTTTGAAATGCTCTTTTTGTGGAGTCTGCAAGTGGATATTTGGTTAGTTTTGAGGATTGCGTTGGAAGCGGGAATTCATACAAATTGCAGACTGCAGCGTTCTGAGAAACATCTTTGTGATGTTTGTATTCAGGACACAGAGTTGAACATTCCCTATCATAGAGCAGGTTTGAATCACTCCTTTTGTAGTATCTGGAAGTGGACATTTGGAGCGCTTTCCGGCCTCAGGTGAAAAAGGAAATATCTTCCCATAAAAACTAGACAGAAGCATTCTCAGAAACTTATTTGTGATGTGTGTCCTCAACTGACAGAGTTGAACATTTCTTTTGAGAGAGCAGTTTTGAAACACTCTTTTTGTGGAATCTGCAAGTGGATATTTGGCTGGCTTTGAGGATTTCGTTGGAAACGGGAATACATATAAAAAGCAGACAGCAGCATTCTCAGAAAGTTCTTTGTGATGATTGCATTCAAGTCACAGAATTGAACATTCCCTTTCACAGAGCAGGTTTGAAACACTCTTTTTGTAGTGTGTGTAAGTGGACATTTGGAGCGCTTTCCGGCCTAAGGTGAAAAAGGAAATATCTTCCCATAAAAACTAGACAGAAGCATTCTCAGAAACTTACTCGTGATGTGTGTCCTCAACTAAAGGAGTAGAACCTTTCTATTCTTAGAGAAGTTTTGAAACGCTCTTTTTGTGGAATCTCCAAGTGGATATTTGGCTAGTTTTGAGGATTTCGTTGGAAGCGGGAATTCATAAAAATTGCAGACTGCAGCGTTTTGAGAAACATCCTTTGTGATGTTTGTATTCAGGACACAGAGATGAACATTCCCTATCATAGAGCAGGTTGGAATCACTCCTTTTGTAGTATCTGGAAGTGGACATTTGGAGCGCTTTCAGGCCTATGTTGAAAAAGGAAATATCTTCCCATAACAACTAGACACAAGCATTCTCAGAAACTTGTTTGTGATGTGTGCCCTCTACTGACAGAGTTGAACCTTTCTTTTCATAGAGCAGTTTTGAAACACTCTTTTTGTAGAATCTGCAAGAGGATATTTGCATAGCTTTGAGGATTTCGTGGGAAACGGGATTGTCTTCAGGTAAAATCTAGACAGAAGCATTCTCAGAAACTTCTTTGGGATGTTTGCATTCAAGTCACAGAGTAGAACATTCCCTTTGGTAGAGCAGGTTTGAAACACTCTTTTTGTAGTATCTGGAAGTGGACATATGGAGCGCTTTCAGGCTCATGTTGGAAAGGGAAATATCTTCCCTTAACAACTAGGCAGAAGCATTCTCAGAAACTTATTTGAGATGTGTGTACTCAACTAAGAGAATTGAACCACCGTTTTGAAGGAGCAGTTTTGAAACACTCTTTTTCTGGATTCTGCAAGAATATATTTGCCTAGCCTTGAGGATTTCGTTGGAAACTGGATTGTCTTCAGATAAAATCTAGACAGAAGCATTCTCAGAAACTTCTTTGGGATGTTTGCATTCAAGTCACAGAGTAGAACATTCTCTTTGGTAGAGCAGGTTTGAAACACTCTTTTTTTAGTATATGGAAGTGGACATTTTGAGCGCTTTCAGGCCTACGTTGGAAAAGGAAATATCTTCTCATAAGAACTAGACAGAAGCATTCTCAGAAACTAGTTTCTGATGTGTGTCCTCAACTAACACAGTTGTACATTTCTTTAGACAGAACAGTTATGAAACTCTCTTTTTGTGGAATCTGCAAGTGGATATTTGGCTAGATTTGAGGATTTCGTTGGAAACGGGATTACATATAAAAAGCAGTCAGCAGCATTCTCAGATAGTTCTTTGTGATGATTGCATTCAAGTCACAGAATTGAAAATTCCCTTTCACAGAGCAGGTTTGAAACACTCTTTTTGTAGTGTGTGTAAGTGGACATTTGGAGCGCTTTCTGGCCTAAGGTGAAAAAGGAAATATCTTCCCATAAAAACTAGACAGAAGCATTCTCAGAAACTTACTCGTGATGTGTGTCCTCAACTAAAGGAGTAGAACCTTTCTTTTCATAGAGAAGTTTTGAAACGCTCTTTTTGTGGAATCTGCAAGTGGACATTTGGCTAGTTTTGAGGATTTCGTTGGAAGCGGGAATTCATACAAATTGCAGACTGCAGCGTTCTGAGAAACATCTTTGTGATGTTTGTATTCAGGACACAGAGATGAACATTCCCTATCATAGAGCAGGTTGGAATCACTCCTTTTGTAGTATCTGGAAGTGGACATTTGGAGCGCTTTCAGGCCTATGTTGAAAAAGGAAATATCTTCCCATAACAACTAGACACAAGCATTCTCAGAAACTTGTTTGTGATGTGTGCCCTCTACTGACAGAGTTGAACCTTTCTTTTCATAGAGCAGTTTTGAAACACTCTTTTTGTAGAATCTGCAAGAGGATATTTGCATAGCTTTGAGGATTTCGTGGGAAACGGGATTGTCTTCAGGTAAAATCTAGACAGAAGCATTCTCAGAAACTTTTTTGGGATGTTTGCATTCAAGTCACAGAGTAGAACATTCCCTTTGGTAGAGCAGGTTTGAAACACTCTTTTTGTAGTATCTGGAAGTGGACATTTGGAGCACTATCAGGCCCATGTTGGAAAGGGAAATATCTTCCCGTAACAACTAGGCAGAAGCATTCTCAGAAACTTATTTGAGATGTGTGTACTCAACTAAGAGAATTGAACCACCGTTTTGAAGGAGCAGTTTTGAAACACTCTTTTTCTGGAATCTGCAAGAGTATATTTGCCTAGCCTTGAGGATTTCGTTGGAAACGGGATTGTCTTCAGAGAAAATCTAGACAGAAGCATTCTCAGAAACTTCTTTGGGATGTTTGCATTCAAGTCACAGAGTAGAACATTCCCTTTGGTAGAGCAGGTTTGAAACACTCTTTTTTTAGTATATGGAAGTGGACATTTGGAGCGCTTTCAGGCCTACGTTGGAAAAGGAAATATCTTCCCATAACAACTAGACAGAAGCATTCTCAGAAACTAGTTTCTGATGTGTGTCCTCAACTAACACAGTTGAACATTTCTTTAGACAGAACAGTTTTGAAACACTCTTTTTGTGGAATCTGCAAGGGGCTATTTGGCTAGATTTGAGGATTTCGTTGGAAACGGGATTACATATAAAAAGCAGTCAGCAGCATTCTCAGAAAGTTCTTTGTGATGATTGCATTCAAGTCACAGAATTGAACATTCCCTTTCACAAAGCAGGTTTGAAACACTCTTTTTGTAGTGTGTGTAAGTGGACATTTGGAACCCTTACCGGCCTAAGGTGAAAAAGGAAATATCTTCCCATAAAAACTAGACAGAAGCATTCTCAGAAACTTACTCGTGATGTGTGCCCTCAGCTAAAGGAGTAGAACCTTTCTTTTCATAGAGAAGTTTTGAAACGCTCTTTTTGTGGAATCTGCAAGTGGATATTTGGCTAGTTTTGAGGATTTCGTTGGAAGCGGGAATTCATACAAATTGCAGACTGCAGCGTTCTGAGAAACTGCTTTCTGATGTTTGCATTCAAGTCAAAAGTTGAACACTCCCTTTCATAGAGCAGTCTTGAAACACCCCTTTTGTAGTATCCGGAAGTGGACATTTGGAGCGCTTTCAGGGCTAAGGTGAAAAAGGAAATATCTTCCCATAAAAACTGGACAGAAGCATTCTCAGAAACTTATTTGAGATGTGTGTACTCAACTAAGAGAATTGAACCACCGTTTTGAAGGAGCAGTTTTGAAACACTCTTTTTCTGGAATCTGCAAGTGGATATTTGGCTAGCTTTGGGGATTTCGCTGGAAGCGGGAATACATATAAAAAGCACACAGCAGCGTTCTGAGAAACTGCTTTCTGATGTTTGCATTCAAGTCAAAAGTTGAACACTCCCTTTCATAGAGCAGTCTTGAAACACCCCTTTTGTAGTATCTGGAACTGGACTTTTGGAGCGCTTTCAGGGCTAAGGTGAAAAAGGAAATATCTTCCCATAAAAACTGGACAGAAGCATTCTCAGAAACTTGTTTATGCTGTATCTACTCAACTAACAAAGTTGAACCTTTCTTTTGATAGAGCAGTTTTGAAATGCTCTTTTTGTGGAATCTGCAAGTGGATATTTGGCTAGTTTTGAGGATTTCGTTGGAAGCGGGAATTCATACAAATTGCAGACTGCAGCGTTCTGAGAAACATCTTTGTGATGTTTGTATTCAGGACAGAGAGTTGAACATTCCCTATCATAGAGCAGGTTGGAATCACTCCTTTTGTAGTATCTGGAAGTGGACATTTGGAGCGCTTTCAGGCCTATGTTGAAAAAGGAAATATCTTCCCATAACAACTAGACACAAGCATTCTCAGAAACTTGTTTGTGATGTGTGCCCTCTACTGACAGAGTTGAACCTTTCTTTTCATAGAGCAGTTTTGAAACACTCTTTTTGTAGAATCTGCAAGAGGATATTTGCATAGCTTTGAGGATTTCGTGGGAAACGGGATTGTCTTCAGGTAAAATCTAGACAGAAGCATTCTCAGAAACTTCTTTGGGATGTTTGCATTCAAGTCACAGAGTAGAACATTCCCTTTGGTAGAGCAGGTTTGAAACACTCTTTTTGTAGTATCTGGAAGTGGACATTTGGAGCGCTTTCAGGCCTATGTTGGAAAGGGAAATATCTTCCCGTAACAACTAGGCAGAAGCATTCTCAGAAACTTATTTGAGATGTGTGTACTCAACTAAGAGAATTGAACCACCGTTTTGAAGGAGCAGTTTTGAAACACTCTTTTTCTGGAATCTGCAAGAGGATATTTGCCTAGCCTTGAGGATTTCGTTGGAAACGGGATTGTCTTCAGATCAAATCTAGACAGAAGCATTCTCAGAAACTTCTTTGGGATGTTTGCATTCAAGTCACAGAGTAGAACATTCCCTTTGGTAGAGCAGGTTTGAAACACTCTTTTTTTAGTATATGGAAGTGGACATTTGGAGCGCTTTCAGGCCTACGTTGGAAAAGGAAATATCTTCCCATAACAACTAGACAGAAGCATTCTCAGAAACTAGTTTCTGATGTGTGTCCTCAACTAACACAGTTGAACATTTCTTTAGACAGAACAGTTTTGAAACACTCTTTTTGTGGAATCTGCAAGTGGCTATTTGGCTAGATTTGAGGATTTCGTTGGAAACGGGATTACATATAAAAAGCAGACAGCAGCATTCTCAGAAAGTTCTTTGTGATGATTGCATTCAAGTCACAGAATTGAACATTCCCTTTCACAGAGCAGGTTTGAAACACTCTTTTTGTAGTGTTTGTAAGTGGACATTTGGAGCACTTTCCGGCCTAAGGTGAAAAAGGAAATATCTTCCCATAAAAACTAGACAGAAGCACTCTCAGAAACTTACTCGTGATGTGTGTCCTCAACTAAAGGAGTAGAACCTTTCTTTTCATAGAGAAGTTTTGAAACGCTCTTTTTGTGGAATCTGCAAGTGGATATTTGGCTAGTTTGGAGGATTTCGTTGGAAGCGGGAATTCATACAAATTGCAGACTGCAGCGTTCTGAGAAACATCTTTGTGATGTTTGTATTCAGGACACAGAGTTGAACATTCCCTATCATAGAGCAGGTTTGAATCACTCCTTTTGTAGTATCTGGAAGTGGACATTTGGAGCGCTTTCAGGCCTATGTTGGAAAAGGAAATATCTTCCCATAACAACTAGACAGAAGCATTCTCAGAAACTTATTTGAGATGTGTGTGCTCAACTAAGAGAATTGAACCACCGTTTTGAAGGAGCAGTTTTGAAACACTCTTTTTCTGGAATCTGCAAGTGCATATTTGGCTAGCTTTGGGGATTTCGCTGGAAGCGGGAATACATATAAAAAGCACACAGCAGCGTTCTGAGAAACTTCTTTCTGATGTTCGCATTCAAGTCAAAAGTTGAACACTCCCTTTCATAGAGCAGTCTTGAAACTCCCCTTTTGTGGTATCTGGAAGTGGACATTTGGAGTGCTTTCAGGGCTAAGGTGAAAAAGGAAATATCTTCCCATAAAAACTGGACAGAAGCATTCTCAGAAACTTGTTTATGCTGTATCTACTCAGCTAACAAAGTTGAACCTTTCTTTTGATAGAGCAGTTTTGAAATGCTCTTTTTGTGGAGTCTGCAAGTGGATATTTGGTTAGTTTGGAGGATTTCGTTGGAAGCGGGAATTCATACAAATTGCAGACTGCAGCGTTCTGAGAAACATCTTTGTGATGTTTGTATTCAGGACACAGAGTTGAACATTCCCTATCATAGAGCAGGTTTGAATCACTCCTTTTGTAGTATCTGGAAGTGGACATTTGGAGCGCTTTCCGGCCTCAGGTGAAAAAGGAAATATCTTCCCATAAAAACTAGGCAGAAAGCATTCTCAGAAACTTATTTGAGATGTGTGTACTCAACTAAGAGAATTGAACCACCGTTTTGAAGGAGCAGTTTTGAAACACTCTTTTTCTGGAATCTGCAAGTGGATATTTGGCTAGCTTTGGGGATTTCGCTGGAGGCGGGAATACATATAAAAAGCACACAGCAGCGTTCTGAGAAACTGCTTTCTGATGTTTGCATTCAAGTCAAAAGTTGAACACTCCCTTTCATAGAGCAGTCTTGAAACACCCCTTTTGTAGTATCGGGAACTGGACATTTGGAGCGCTTTCAGGGCTAAGGTGAAAAAGGAAATATCTTCCCATAAAAACTGGACAGAAGCATTCTCAGAAACTTGTTTATGCTATATCTACTCAACTAACAAAGTTGAACCTTTCTTTTGATAGAGCAGTTTGAAATGCTCTTTTTGTGGAATCTGCAAGTGGATATTTGGCTAGGTTTGAGGATTTCGTTGGAAGCGGGAATTCATACAAATTGCAGACTGCAGCGTTCTGAGAAACATCTTTGTGATGTTTGTATTCAGGACAGAGAGTTGAACATTCCCTATCATAGAGCAGGTTGGAATCACTCCTTTTGTAGTATCTGGAAGTGGACATTTGGAGCGCTTTCAGGCCTATGTTGAAAAAGGAAATATCTTCCCATAACAACTAGACACAAGCATTCTCAGAAACTTGTTTGTGATGTGTGCCCTCTACTGACAGAGTTGAACCTTTCTTTTCATAGAGCAGTTTTGAAACACTCTTTTTGTAGAATCTGCAAGAGGATATTTGCATAGCTTTGAGGATTTCGTGGGAAACGGGATTGTCTTCAGGTAAAATCTAGACAGAAGCATTCTCAGAAACTTCTTTGGGATGTTTGCATTCAAGTCACAGAGTAGAACATTCCCTTTGGTAGAGCAGGTTTGAAACACTCTTTTTGTAGTATCTGGAAGTGGACATTTGGAGCGCTTTCAGGCCTATGTTGGAAAGGGAAATATCTTCCCGTAACAACTAGGCAGAAGCATTCTCAGAAACTTATTTGAGATGTGTGTACTCAACTAAGAGAATTGAACCACCGTTTTGAAGGAGCAGTTTTGAAACACTCTTTTTCTGGAATCTGCAAGAGTATATTTGCCTAGCCTTGAGGATTTCGTTGGAAACGGGATTGTCTTCAGAGAAAATCTAGACAGAAGCATTCTCAGAAACTTCTTTGGGATGCTTGCATTCAAGTCACAGAGTAGAACATTCCCTTTGGTAGAGCAGGTTTGAAACACTCTTTTTGTAGTATCTGGAAGTGGACATTTGGAGCGCTTTCAGGCCTACGTTGGAAAAGGAAATATCTTCCCATAACAACTAGACAGAAGCATTCTCAGAAACTAGTTTCTGATGTGTGTCCTCAACTAACACAGTTGAACATTTCTTTAGACAGAACAGTTTTGAAACACTCTTTTTGTGGAATCTGCAAGTGGCTATTTGGCTAGATTTGAGGATTTCGTTGGAAACGGGATTACATATAAAAAGCAGTCAGCAGCATTCTCAGAAAGTTCTTTGTGATGATTGCATTCAAGTCACAGAATTGAACATTCCCTTTCACAGAGCAGGTTTGAAACACTCTTTTTGTAGTGTGTGTAAGTGGACATTTGGAGCACTTACCGGCCTAAGGTGAAAAAGGAAATAATCTTCCCATAAAAACTAGACAGAAGCATTCTCAGAAACTTACTCGTGATGTGTGTCCTCAACTAAAGGAGTAGAACCTTTCTTTTCATAGAGAAGTTTTGAAACGCTCTTTTTGTGGAATCTGCAAGTGGATATTTGGCTAGTTTTGAGGATTTCGTTGGAAGCGGGAATTCATACAAATTGCAGACTGCAGCGTTCTGAGAAACATCTTTGTGATGTTTGTATTCAGGACACAGAGTTGAACATTCCCTATCATAGAGCAGGTTTGAATCACTCCTTTTGTAGTATCTGGAAGTGGACATTTGGAGCGCTTTCAGGCCTATGTTGGAAAAGGAAATATCTTCCCATAACAACTAGACAGAAGCATTCTCAGAAACTTATTTGAGATGTGTGTACTCAACTAAGAGAATTGAACCACCGTTTTGAAGGAGCAGTTTTGAAACACTCTTTTTCTGGAATCTGCAAGTGGATATTTGGCTAGCTTTGGGGATTTCGCTGGAAGCGGGAATACATATAAAAAGCACACAGCAGCGTTCTGAGAAACTGCTTTCTGATGTTTGCATTCAAGTCAAAAGTTGAACACTCCCTTTCATAGAGCAGTCTTGAAACACCCCTTTTGTAGTATCTGGAACTGGACTTTTGGAGCGATTTCAGGGCTAAGGTGAAAAAGGAAATATCTTCCCATAAAAACTGGACAGAAGCATTCTCAGAAACTTGTTTATGCTGTATCTACTCAACTAACAAAGTTGAACCTTTCTTTTGATAGAGCAGTTTTGAAATGGTCTTTTTGTGGAATCTGCAAGTGGATATTTGGCTAGTTTTGAGGATTTCGTTGGAAGCGGGAATTCATACAAATTGCAGACTGCAGCGTTCTGAGAAACATCTTTGTGATGTTTGTATTCAGGACACAGAGTTGAACATTCCCTATCATAGAGCAGGTTGGAATCACTCCTTTTGTAGTATCTGGAAGTGGACATTTGGAGCGCTTTCAGGCCTATTTTGGAAAGGGAAATATCTTCCCGTAACAACTATGCAGAAGCATTCTCAGAAACTTGTTTGTGATGTTGTGCCCTCTACTGACAGAGTTGAACCTTTCTTTTCATAGAGCAGTTTTGAAACACTCTTTTTGTAGAATCTGCAAGAGGATATTTGCATAGCTTTGAGGATTTCGTGGGAAACGGGATTGTCTTCAGGTAAAATCTAGACAGAAGCATTCTCAGAAACTTCTTTGGGATGTTTGCATTCAAGTCACAGAGTAGAACATTCCCTTTGGTAGAGCAGGTTTGAAACACTCTTTTTGTAGTATCTGGAAGTGGACATTTGGAGCGCTTTCAGGCCCATGTTGGAAAGGGAAATATCTTCCCGTAACAACTAGGCAGAAGCATTCTCAGAAACTTATTTGAGATGTGTGTACTCAACTAAGAGAATTGAACCACCGTTTTGAAGGAGCAGTTTTGAAACACTCTTTTTCTGGAATCTGCAAGAGGATATTTGCCTAGCCTTGAGGATTTCGTTGGAAACGGGATTGTCTTCAGAGAAAATCTAGACAGAAGCATTCTCAGAAACTTCTTTGGGATGCTTGCATTCAAGTCACAGAGTAGAACATTCCCTTTGGTAGAGCAGGTTTGAAACACTCTTTTTGTAGTATCTGGAAGTGGACATTTGGAGCGCTTTCAGGCCTACGTTGGAAAAGGAAATATCTTCCCATAACAACTAGACAGAAGCATTCTCAGAAACTAGTTTCTGATGTGTGTCCTCAACTAACACAGTTGAACATTTCTTTAGACAGAACAGTTTTGAAACACTCTTTTTGTGGAATCTGCAAGTGGCTATTTGGCTAGATTTGAGGATTTCGTTGGAAACGGGATTACATATAAAAAGCAGTCAGCAGCATTCTCAGAAAGTTCTTTGTGATGATTGCATTCAAGTCACAGAATTGAACATTCCCTTTCACAGAGCAGGTTTGAAACACTCTTTTTGTAGTGTGTGTAAGTGGACATTTGGAGCACTTACCGGCCTAAGGTGAAAAAGGAAATAATCTTCCCATAAAAACTAGACAGAAGCATTCTCAGAAACTTACTCGTGATGTGTGTCCTCAACTAAAGGAGTAGAACCTTTCTTTTCATAGAGAAGTTTTGAAACGCTCTTTTTGTGGAATCTGCAAGTGGATATTTGGCTAGTTTTGAGGATTTCGTTGGAAGCGGGAATTCATACAAATTGCAGACTGCAGCGTTCTGAGAAACATCTTTGTGATGTTTGTATTCAGGACACAGAGTTGAACATTCCCTATCATAGAGCAGGTTTGAATCACTCCTTTTGTAGTATCTGGAAGTGGACATTTGGAGCGCTTTCAGGCCTATGTTGGAAAAGGAAATATCTTCCCATAACAACTAGACAGAAGCATTCTCAGAAACTTATTTGAGATGTGTGTACTCAACTAAGAGAATTGAACCACCGTTTTGAAGGAGCAGTTTTGAAACTCTCTTTTTCTGGAATCTGCAAGTGGATATTTGGCTAGCTTTGGGGATTTCGCTGGAAGCGGGAATACATATAAAAAGCACACAGCAGCGTTCTGAGAAACTGCTTTCTGATGTTTGCATTCAAGTCAAAAGTTGAACACTCCCTTTCATAGAGCAGTCTTGAAACACCCCTTTTGTAGTATCTGGAACTGGACTTTTGGAGCGATTTCAGGGCTAAGGTGAAAAAGGAAATATCTTCCCATAAAAACTGGACAGAAGCATTCTCAGAAACTTGTTTATGCTGTATCTACTCAACTAACAAAGTTGAACCTTTCTTTTGATAGAGCAGTTTTGAAATGGTCTTTTTGTGGAATCTGCAAGTGGATATTTGGCTAGTTTTGAGGATTTCGTTGGAAGCGGGAATTCATACAAATTGCAGACTGCAGCGTTCTGAGAAACATCTTTGTGATGTTTGTATTCAGGACACAGAGTTGAACATTCCCTATCATAGAGCAGGTTGGAATCACTCCTTTTGTAGTATCTGGAAGTGGACATTTGGAGCGCTTTCAGGCCTATGTTGGAAAGGGAAATATCTTCCCGTAACAGCTATGCAGAAGCATTCTCAGAAACTTGTTTGTGATGTGTGCCCTCTACTGACAGAGTTGAACCTTTCTTTTCATAGAGCAGTTTTGAAACACTCTTTTTGTAGAATCTGCAAGAGGATATTTGCATAGCTTTGAGGATTTCGTGGGAAACGGGATTGTCTTCAGGTAAAATCTAGACAGAAGCATTCTCAGAAACTTCTTTGGGATGTTTGCATTCAAGTCACAGAGTAGAACATTCCCTTTCGTAGAGCAGGTTTGAAACACTCTTTTTGTAGTATCTGGAAGTGGACATTTGGAGCGCTTTCAGGCCTATTTTGGAAAGGGAAATATCTTCCCGTAACAACTAGGCAGAAGCATTCTCAGAAACTTATTTGAGATGTGTGTACTCAACTAAGAGAATTGAACCACCGTTTTGAAGGAGCAGTTTTGAAACACTCTTTTTCTGGAATCTGCAAGAGTATATTTGCCTAGCCTTGAGGATTTCGTTGGAAACGGGATTGTCTTCAGAGAAAATCTAGACAGAAGCATTCTCAGAAACTTCTTTGGGATGTTTGCATTCAAGTCACAGAGTAGAACATTCCCTTTGGTAGAGCAGGTTTGAAACACTCTTTTTTTAGTATATGGAAGTGGACATTTTGATCGCTTTCAGGCCTACGTTGGAAAAGGAAATATCTTCCCATAACAACTAGACAGAAGCATTCTCAGAAACTAGTTTCTGATGTGTGTCCTCAACTAACACAGTTGAACATTTCTTTAGACAGAACAGTTTTGAAACACTCTTTTTGTGGAATCTGCAAGTGGCTATTTGGCTAGATTTGAGGATTTCGTTGGAAACGGGATTACATATAAAAAGCAGTCAGCAGCATTCTCAGAAAGTTCTTTGTGATGATTGCATTCAAGTCACAGAATTGAACATTCCCTTTCACAGAGCAGGTTTGAAACACTCTTTTTGTAGTGTGTGTAAGTGGACATTTGGAGCACTTACCGGCCTAAGGTGAAAAAGGAAATATCTTCCCATAAAAACTAGACAGAAGCATTCTCAGAAACTTACTCGTGATGTGTGTCCTCAACTAAAGGAGTAGAACCTTTCTTTTCATAGAGAAGTTTTGAAACGCTCTTTTTGTGGAATCTGCAAGTGGATATTTGGCTAGTTTTGAGGATTTCGTTGGAAGCGGGAATTCATACAAATTGCAGACTGCAGCGTTCTGAGAAACATCTTTGTGATGTTTGTATTCAGGACACAGAGTTGAACATTCCCTATCATAGAGCAGGTTGGAATCACTCCTTTTGTAGTATCTGGAAGTGGACATTTGGAGCGCTTTCAGGCCTATGTTGGAAAAGGAAATATCTTCCCATAACAACTAGACAGAAGCATTCTCAGAAACTTATTTGAGATGTGTGTACTCAACTAAGAGAATTGAACCACCGTTTTGAAGGAGCAGTTTTGAAACTCTCTTTTTCTGGAATCTGCAAGTGGATATTTGGCTAGCTTTGGGGATTTCGCTGGAAGCGGGAATACATATAAAAAGCACACAGCAGCGTTCTGAGAAACTGCTTTCTGATGTTTGCATTCAAGTCAAAAGTTGAACACTCCCTTTCATAGAGCAGTCCTGAAACACCCCTTTTGTAGTATCTGGAACTGGACTTTTGGAGCGATTTCAGGGCTAAGGTGAAAAAGGAAATATCTTCCCATAAAAACTGGACAGAAGCATTCTCAGAAACTTGTTTATGCTGTATCTACTCAACTAACAAAGTTGAACCTTTCTTTTGATAGAGCAGTTTTGAAATGGTCTTTTTGTGGAATCTGCAAGTGGATATTTGGCTAGTTTTGAGGATTTCGTTGGAAGCGGGAATTCATACAAATTGCAGACTGCAGCGTTCTGAGAAACATCTTTGTGATGTTTGTATTCAGGACACAGAGTTGAACATTCCCTATCATAGAGCAGGTTGGAATCACTCCTTTTGTAGTATCTGGAAGTGGACATTTGGAGCGCTTTCAGGCCTATTTTGGAAAGGGAAATATCTTCCCGTAACAACTATGCAGAAGCATTCTCAGAAACTTGTTTGTGATGTGTGCCCTCTACTGACAGAGTTGAACCTTTCTTTTCATAGAGCAGTTTTGAAACACTCTTTTTGTAGAATCTGCAAGAGGATATTTGCATAGCTTTGAGGATTTCGTGGGAAACGGGATTGTCTTCAGGTAAAATCTAGACAGAAGCATTCTCAGAAACTTCTTTGGGATGTTTGCATTCAAGTCACAGAGTAGAACATTCCCTTTGGTAGAGCAGGTTTGAAACACTCTTTTTGTAGTATCTGGAAGTGGACATTTGGAGCGCTTCAGGCCCATGTTGGAAAGGGAAATATCTTCCCGTAACAACTAGGCAGAAGCATTCTCAGAAACTTATTTGAGATGTGTGTACTCAACTAAGAGAATTGAACCACCGTTTTGAAGGAGCAGTTTTGAAACACTCTTTTTCTGGAATCTGCAAGAGTATATTTGCCTAGCCTTGAGGATTTCGTTGGAAACGGGATTGTCTTCAGATAAAATCTAGACAGAAGCATTCTCAGAAACTTCTTTGGGATGTTTGCATTCAAGTCACAGAGTAGAACATTCCCTTTGGTAGAGCAGGTTTGAAACACTCTTTTTTTAGTATATGGAAGTGGACATTTGGAGCGCTTTCAGGCCTACGTTGGAAAAGGAAATATCTTCCCATAACAACTAGACAGAAGCATTCTCAGAAACTAGTTTCTGATGTGTGTCCTCAACTAACACAGTTGAACTTTTCTTTACACAGAACAGTTTTGAAACACTCTTTTTGTGGAATCTGCAAGTGGATATTGGACTAGATTTGAGGATTTCGTTGCAAACGGGATTACATATAAAAAGCAGACAGCAGCATTCTCAGAAAGTTCCTTGTGATGATTGCATTCAAGTCACAGAATTGAACATTCCCTTTCACAGAGCAGGTTTGAAACACTCTTTTTGTAGTGTGTGTAAGTGGACATTTGGAGCGCTTTCCGGCCTAAGGTGAAAAAAGAAATATCTTCCCATAAAAACTAGACAGAAGCATCCTCAGAAACTTACTCGTGATGTGTGTCCTCAACTAAAGGAGTAGAACCTTTCTATTCATAGAGAAGTTTTGAAACGCTCTTTTTGTGGAATCTCCAAGTGGATATTTGGCTAGTTTTGAGGATTTCGTTGGAAGCGGGAATTCATACAAATTGCAGACTGCAGCGTTCTGAGAAACTGCTTTCTGATGTTTGCATTCAAGTCAAAAGTTGAACACTCCCTTTCATAGAGCAGTCCTGAAACACTCCTTTTGTAGTATCTGGAACTGGACTTTTGGAGCGCTTTCAGGGCTAAGGTGAAAAAGGAAATATCTTCCCATAAAAACTGGACAGAAGCATTCTCAGAAACTTGTTTATGCTGTATCTACTCAACTAACAAAGTTGAACCTTTCTTTTGATAGAGCAGTTTTGAAATGCTCTTTTTGTGGAATCTGCAAGTGGATATTTGGCTAGTTTTGAGGATTTCGTTGGAAGCGGGAATTCATACAAATTGCAGACTGCAGCATTCTGAGAAACATCTTTGTGATGTTTGTATTCAGGACACAGAGTTGAACATTCCCTATCATAGAGCAGGTTGGGATCACTCCTTTTGTAGTATCTGGAAGTGGACATTTGGAGCGCTTTCAGGCCTATGTTGAAAAAGGAAAAATCTTCCCATAACAACTAGACAGAAGCATTCTCAGAAACTTGTTTGTGATGTGTGCCCTCTACTGACAGAGTTGAACCTTTCTTTTCATAGAGCAGTTTTGAAACACTCTTTTTGTAGAATCTGCAAGAGGATATTTGCATAGCTTTGAGGATTTCGTGGGAAACGGGATTGTCTTCAGGTAAAATCTAGACAGAAGCATTCTCAGAAACTTCTTTGGGATGTTTGCATTCAAGTCACAGAGCAGAACATTCCCTTTGGTAGAGCAGGTTTGAAACACTCTTTTTGTAGTATCTGGAAGTGGACATTTGGAGCGCTTTCAGGCCTATGTTGGAAAGGGAAATATCTTCCCGTAACAACTAGGCAGAAGCATTCTCAGAAACTTATTTGAGATGTGTGTACTCAACTAAGAGAATTGAACCACCGTTTTGAAGGAGCAGTTTTGAAACACTCTTTTTCTGGAATCTGCAAGAGGATATTTGCCTAGCCTTGAGGATTTCGTTGGAAACGGGATTGTCTTCAGATCAAATCTAGACAGAAGCATTCTCAGAAACTTCTTTGGGATGTTTGCATTCAAGTCACAGAGTAGAACATTCCCTTTGGTAGAGCAGGTTTGAAACACTCTTTTTTTAGTATATGGAAGTGGACATTTGGAGCGCTTTCAGGCCTACGTTGGAAAAGGAAATATCTTCCCATAACAACTAGACAGAAGCATTCTCAGAAACTAGTTTCTGATGTGTGTCCTCAACTAACACAGTTGAACATTTCTTTAGACAGAACAGTTTTGAAACTCTCTTTTTGTGGAATCTGCAAGTGGATATTTGGCTAGATTTGAGGATTTCGTTGGAAACGGGATTACATATAAAAAGCAGACAGCAGCATTCTCAGAAAGTTCTTTGTGATGATTGCATTCAAGTCACAGAATTGAACATTCCCTTTCACAGAGCAGGTTTGAAACACTCTTTTTGTAGTGTGTGTAAGTGGACATTTGGAGCACTTACCGGCCTAAGGTGAAAAAGGAAATATCTTCCCATAAAAACTAGACAGAAGCATTCTCAGAAACTTACTCGTGATGTGTGTCCTCAACTAAAGGAGTAGAACCTTTCTTTTCATAGAGAAGTTTTGAAACGCTCTTTTTGTGGAATCTGCAAGTGGATATTTGGCTAGTTTGGAGGATTTCGTTGGAAGCGGGAATTCATACAAATTGCAGACTGCAGCGTTCTGAGAAAACATCTTTGTGATGTTTGTATTCAGGACACAGAGTTGAACATTCCCTATCATAGAGCAGGTTTGAATCACTCCTTTTGTAGTATCTGGAAGTGGACATTTGGAGCGCTTTCAGGCCTATGTTGGAAAAGGAAATATCTTCCCATAACAACTAGACAGAAGCATTCTCAGAAACTTATTTGAGATGTGTGTACTCAACTAAGAGAATTGAACCACCGTTTTGAAGGAGCAGTTTTGAAACTCTCTTTTTCTGGAATCTGCAAGTGGATATTTGGCTAGCTTTGGGGATTTCGCTGGAAGCGGGAATACATATAAAAAGCACACAGCAGCGTTCTGAGAAACTGCTTTCTGATGTTTGCATTCAAGTCAAAAGTTGAACACTCCCTTTCATAGAGCAGTCTTGAAACACCCCTTTTGTAGTATCTGGAACTGTTCTTTTGGAGCGATTTCAGGGCTAAGGTGAAAAAGGAAATATCTTCCCATAAAAACTGGACAGAAGCATTCTCAGAAACTTGCTTATGCTGTATCTACTCAACTAACAAAGTTGAACCTTTCTTTTGATAGAGCAGTTTTGAAATGGTCTTTTTGTGGAATCTGCAAGTGGATATTTGGCTAGTTTTGAGGATTTCGTTGGAAGCGGGAATTCATACAAATTGCAGACTGCAGCGTTCTGAGAAACATCTTTGTGATGTTTGTATTCAGGACACAGAGATGAACATTCCCTATCATAGAGCAGGTTGGAATCACTCCTTTTGTAGTATCTGGAAGTGGACATTTGGAGCGCTTTCAGGCCTATTTTGGACAGGGAAATATCTTCCCATAACAACTATGCAGAAGCATTCTCAGAAACTTGTTTGTGATGTGTGCCCTCTACTGACAGAGTTGAACCTTTCTTTTCATAGAGCAGTTTCGAAACACTCTTTTTGTAGAATCTGCAAGAGGATATTTGCATAGCTTTGAGGATTTCGTGGGAAACGGGATTGTCTTCAGGTAAAATCTAGACAGAAGCATTCTCAGAAAATTCTTCGGGATGTTTGCATTCAAGTCACAGAGTAGAACATTCCCTTTGGTAGAGCAGGTTTGAAACACTCTTTTTGTAGTATCTGGAAGTGGACATTTGGAGCGCTTTCAGGCCTATGTTGGAAAGGGAAATATCTTCCCGTAACAACTAGGCAGAAGCATTCTCAGAAACTTATTTGAGATGTGTGTACTCAACTAAGAGAATTGAACCACCGTTTTGAAGGAGCAGTTTTGAAACACTCTTTTTCTGGAATCTGCAAGAGGATATTTGCATAGATTTGAGGATTTCGTTGGAAACGGGATTGTCTTCAGATCCAATCTAGACAGAAGCATTCTCAGAAACTTCTTTGGGATGTTTGCATTCAAGTCACAGAGTAGAACATTCCCTTTGGTAGAGCAGGTTTGAAACACTCTTTTTTTAGTATATGGAAGTGGACATTTGGAGCGCTTTCAGGCCTACGTTGGAAAGGGAAATATCTTCCCATAACAACTAGACAGAAGCATTCTCAGAAACTAGTTTCTGATGTGTGTCCTCAACTAACACAGTTGAACATTTCTTTAGACAGAACAGTTTTGAAACTCTCTTTTTGTGGAATCTGCAAGTGGCTATTTGGCTAGATTTGAGGATTTCGTTGGAAACGGGATTACATATAAAAAGCAGACAGCAGCATTCTCAGAAAGTTCCTTGTGATGATTGCATTCAAGTCACAGAATTGAACATTCCCTTTCACAGAGCAGGTTTGAAACACTCTTTTTATAGTGTGTGTAAGTGGACATTTGGAGCACTTTCCGGCCTAAGGTGAAAAAGGAAATATCTTCCCATAAAAACTAGACAGAAGCATTCTCAGAAACTTACTCGTGATGTGTGTCCTCAACTAAAGGAGTAGAACCTTTGTTTTCATAGAGAAGTTTTGAAACGCTCTTTTTGTGGAATCTGCAAGTGGATATTTGGCTAGTTTGGAGGATTTCGTTGGAAGCGGGAATTCATACAAATTGCAGACTGCAGCGTTCTGAGAAACATCTTTGTGATGTTTGTATTCAGGACACAGAGTTGAACATTCCCTATCATAGAGCAGGTTTGAATCACTCCTTTTCTAGTATCTGGAAGTGGACATTTGGAGCGCTTTCAGGCCTATGTTGGAAAAGGAAATATCTTCCCATAACAAATAGACAGAAGCATTCTCAGAAACTTATTTGAGATGTGTGTACTCAACTAAGAGAATTGAACCACCGTTTTGAAGGAGCAGTTTTGAAACACTCTTTTTCTGGAATCTGCAAGTGGATATTTGGCTAGCTTTGGGGATTTCGCTGGAAGCGGGAATACATATAAAAAGCACACAGCAGCGTTCTGAGAAACTGCTTTCTGATGTTTGCATTCAAGTCAAAAGTTGAACACTCCCTTTCATAGAGCAGTCCTGAAACACTCCTTTTGTAGTATCTGGAACTGGACTTTTGGAGCGCTTTCAGGGCTAAGGTGAAAAAGGAAATATCTTCCCATAAAAACTGGACAGAAGCATTCTCAGAAACTTGTTTATGCTGTATCTACTCAACTAACAAAGTTGAACCTTTCTTTTGATAGAGCAGTTTTGAAATGCTCTTTTTGTGGAATCTGCAAGTGGATATTTGGCTAGTTTAGAGGATTTCGTTGGAAGCGGGAATTCATACAAATTGCAGACTGCAGCGTTCTGAGAAACATCTTTGTGATGTTTGTATTCAGGACAGAGAGTTGAACATTCCCTATCATAGAGCAGGTTGGAATCACTCCTTTTGTAGTATCTGGAAGTGGACATTTGGAGCGCTTTCAGGCCTATGTTGAAAAAGGAAATATCTTCCCATAACAACTAGACACAAGCATTCTCAGAAACTTGTTTGTGATGTGTGCCCTCTACTGACAGAGTTGAACCTTTCTTTTCATAGAGCAGTTTTGAAACACTCTTTTTGTAGAATCTGCAAGAGGATATTTGCATAGCTTTGAGGATTTCGTGGGAAACGGGATTGTCTTCAGGTAAAATCTAGACAGAAGCATTCTCAGAAACTTCTTTGGGATGTTTGCATTCAAGTCACAGAGTAGAACATTCCCTTTGGTAGAGCAGGTTTGAAACACTCTTTTTGTAGTATCTGGAAGTGGACATTTGGAGCGCTTTCAGGCCCATGTTGGAAAGGGAAATATCTTCCCGTAACAACTAGGCAGAAGCATTCTCAGAAACTTATTTGAGATGTGTGTACTCAACTAAGAGAATTGAACCACCGTTTTGAAGGAGCAGTTTTGAAACACTCTTTTTCTGGAATCTGCAAGAGTATATTTGCCTAGCCTTGAGGATTTCGTTGGAAACGGGATTGTCTTCAGAGAAAATCTAGACAGAAGCATTCTCAGAAACTTCTTTGGGATGTTTGCATTCAAGTCACAGAGTAGAACATTCCCTTTGGTAGAGCAGGTTTGAAACACTCTTTTTTTAGTATATGGAAGTGGACATTTGGATCGCTTTCAGGCCTACGTTGGAAAAGGAAATATCTTCCCATAACAACTAGACAGAAGCATTCTCAGAAACTAGTTTCTGATGTGTGTCCTCAACTAACACAGTTGAACATTTCTTTAGACAGAACAGTTTTGAAACACTCTTTTTGTGGAATCTGCAAGTGGCTATTTGGCTAGATTTGAGGATTTCGTTGGAAACGGGATTACATATAAAAAGCAGTCAGCAGCATTCTCAGAAAGTTCTTTGTGATGATTGCATTCAAGTCACAGAATTGAACATTCCCTTTCACAGAGCAGGTTTGAAACACTCTTTTTGTAGTGTGTGTAAGTGGACATTTGGAGCACTTACCGGCCTAAGGTGAAAAAGGAAATATCTTCCCATAAAAACTAGACAGAAGCATTCTCAGAAACTTACTCGTGATGTGTGTCCTCAACTAAAGGAGTAGAACCTTTCTTTTCATAGAGAAGTTTTGAAACGCTCTTTTTGTGGAATCTGCAAGTGGATATTTGGCTAGTTTTGAGGATTTCGTTGGAAGCGGGAATTCATACAAATTGCAGACTGCAGCGTTCTGAGAAACATCTTTGTGATGTTTGTATTCAGGACACAGAGTTGAACATTCCCTATCATAGAGCAGGTTTGAATCACTCCTTTTGTAGTATCTGGAAGTGGACATTTGGAGCGCTTTCAGGCCTATGTTGGAAAAGGAAATATCTTCCCATAACAACTAGACAGAAGCATTCTCAGAAACTTATTTGAGATGTGTGTACTCAACTAAGAGAATTGAACCACCGTTTTGAAGGAGCAGTTTTGAAACTCTCTTTTTCTGGAATCTGCAAGTGGATATTTGGCTAGCTTTGGGGATTTCGCTGGAAGCGGGAATACATATAAAAAGCACACAGCAGCGTTCTGAGAAACTGCTTTCTGATGTTTGCATTCAAGTCAAAAGTTGAACACTCCCTTTCATAGAGCAGTCTTGAAACACCCCTTTTGTAGTATCTGGAACTGGACTTTTGGAGCGATTTCAGGGCTAAGGTGAAAAAGGAAATATCTTCCCATAAAAACTGGACAGAAGCATTCTCAGAAACTTGGTTATGCTGTATCTACTCAACTAACAAAGTTGAACCTTTCTTTTGATAGAGCAGTTTTGAAATGGTCTTTTTGTGGAATCTGCAAGTGGATATTTGGCTAGTTTTGAGGATTTCGTTGGAAGCGGGAATTCATACAAATTGCAGACTGCAGCGTTCTGAGAAACATCTTTGTGATGTTTGTATTCAGGACACAGAGTTGAACATTCCCTATCATAGAGCAGGTTGGAATCACTCCTTTTGTAGTATCTGGAAGTGGACATTTGGAGCGCTTTCAGGCCTATTTTGGAAAGGGAAATATCTTCCCGTAACAACTATGCAGAAGCATTCTCAGAAACTTGTTTGTGATGTGTGCCCTCTACTGACAGAGTTGAACCTTTCTTTTCATAGAGCAGTTTTGAAACACTCTTTTTGTAGAATCTGCAAGAGGATATTTGCATAGCTTTGAGGATTTCGTGGGAAACGGGATTGTCTTCAGGTAAAATCTAGACAGAAGCATTCTCAGAAACTTCTTTGGGATGTTTGCATTCAAGTCACAGAGTAGAACATTCCCTTTGGTAGAGCAGGTTTGAAACACTCTTTTTGTAGTATCTGGAAGTGGACATTTGGAGCGCTTTCAGGCCCATGTTGGAAAGGGAAATATCTTCCCGTAACAACTAGGCAGAAGCATTCTCAGAAACATATTTGAGATGTGTGTACTCAACTAAGAGAATTGAACCACCGTTTTGAAGGAGCAGTTTTGAAACACCCTTTTTCTGGAATCTGCAAGAGTATATTTGCCTAGCCTTGAGGATTTCGTTGGAAACGGGATTGTCTTCAGATCAAATCTAGACAGAAGCATTCTCAGAAACTTCTTTGGGATGTTTGCATTCAAGTCACAGAGTAGAACATTCCCTTTGGTAGAGCAGGTTTGAAACAATCTTTTTGTAGTGTGTGTAAGTGGACATTTGGAGCGCTTTCAGGCCTACGTTGGAAAAGGAAATATCTTCCCATAACAACTAGACAGAAGCATTCTCAGAAACTAGTTTGTGATGTGTGTCCTCAACTAACACAGTTGTACATTTCTTTATACAGAACAGTTTTGAAACACTCTTTTTGTGGAATCTGCAAGTGGATATTGGGCTAGATTTGAGGATTTCGTTGGAAACGGGATTACATATAAAAAGCAGACAGCAGCATTCTCAGAAACTTCTTTGTGATGATTGCATTCAAGTCACAGAATTGAACATTCCCTTTCACAGAGCAGGTTTGAAACACTCTTTTTGTAGTGTGTGTAAGTGGACATTTGGAGCGCTTTCCGGCCTAAGGTGAACAAGGAAATATCTTCCCATAACAACTAGGCAGAGGCATTCTCAGAAACTTGTTTGTGATGTGTGCCCTCTACTGACACAGTTGAACCTTTCTTTTCATAGAGCAGTTTCGAAACACTCTTTTTGTATAATCTCCAAGAGGATATTTGCATAGCTTTGAGGATTTCGTGGGAAACGGGATTGTCTTCAGGTAAAATCTAGACAGAAGCATTCTCAGAAACTTCTTTGGGACGTTTGCATTCAAGTCACAGATTAGAACATTCACTTTGGTAGAGCAGGTTTGAAACACTCTTTTTGTAGTGTGTGTAAGTGGACATTTGGAGCGCTCTCAGGCCTACGTTGGAAAAGGAAATATCTTCCCATAACAACTAGACACAAGCATTCTCAGAAACTAGTTTCTGATGTGTGTCCTCAACTAACACAGTTGAACATTTCTTTAGACAGAACAGTTTTGAAACACTCTTTTTGTGGAATCTGCAAGTGGCTATTTGGCTAGATTTGAGGATTTCGTTGGAAACGGGATTACATATAAAAAGCAGTCAGCGGCATTCTCAGAAAGTTCTTTGTGATGATTGCATTCAAGTCACAGAATTGAACATTCCCTTTCACAGAGCAGGTTTGAAACACTCTTTTTGTAGTGTGTGTAAGTGGACATTTGGAGCACTTACCGGCCTAAGGTGAAAAAGGAAATAATCTTCCCATAAAAACTAGACAGAAGCATTCTCAGAAACTTACTCGTGATGTGTGTCCTCAACTAAAGGAGTAGAACCTTTCTTTTCATAGAGAAGTTTTGAAACGCTCTTTTTGTGGAATCTGCAAGTGGATATTTGGCTAGTTTTGAGGATTTCGTTGGAAGCGGGAATTCATACAAATTGCAGACTGCAGCGTTCTGAGAAACATCTTTGTGATGTTTGTATTCAGGACACAGAGTTGAACATTCCCTATCATAGAGCAGGTTGGAATCACTCCTTTTGTAGTATCTGGAAGTGGACATTTGGAGCGCTTTCAGGCCTATGTTGGAAAAGGAAATATCTTCCCATAACAACTAGACAGAAGCATTCTCAGAAACTTATTTGAGATGTGTGTACTCAACTAAGAGAATTGAACCACCGTTTTGAAGGAGCAGTTTTGAAACTCTCTTTTTCTGGAATCTGCAAGTGGATATTTGGCTAGCTTTGGGGATTTCGCTGGAAGCGGGAATACATATAAAAAGCACACAGCAGCGTTCTGAGAAACTGCTTTCTGATGTTTGCATTCAAGTCAAAAGTTGAACACTCCCTTTCATAGAGCAGTCTTGAAACACCCCTTTTGTAGTATCTGGAACTGGACTTTTGGAGCGATTTCAGGGCTAAGGTGAAAAAGGAAATATCTTCCCATAAAAACTGGACAGAAGCATTCTCAGAAACTTGTTTATGCTGTATCTACTCAACTAACAAAGTTGAACCTTTCTTTTGATAGAGCAGTTTTGAAATGGTCTTTTTGTGGAATCTGCAAGTGGATATTTGGCTAGTTTTGAGGATTTCGTTGGAAGCGGGAATTCATACAAATTGCAGACTGCAGCGTTCTGAGAAACATCTTTGTGATGTTTGTATTCAGGACACAGAGTTGAACATTCCCTATCATAGAGCAGGTTGGAATCACTCCTTTTGTAGTATCTGGAAGTGGACATTTGGAGCGCTTTCAGGCCCATGTTGGAAAGGGAAATATCTTCCCGTAACAACTAGGCAGAAGCATTCTCAGAAACTTATTTGAGATGTGTGTACTCAACTAAGAGAATTGAACCACCGTTTTGAAGGAGCAGTTTTGAAACACTCTTTTTCTGGAATCTGCAAGTGGATATTTGGCTAGCTTTGGGGATTTCGCTGGAAGCGGGAATACATATAAAAAGCACACAGCAGCGTTCTGAGAAACTGCTTTCTGATGTTTGCATTCAAGTCAAAAGTTGAACACTCCCTTTCATAGAGCAGTCTTGAAACACCCCTTTTGTAGTATCTGGAACTGGACTTTTGGAGCGATTTCAGGGCTAAGGTGAAAAAGGAAATATCTTCCCATAAAAACTGGACAGAAGCATTCTCAGAAACTTGGTTATGCTGTATCTACTCAACTAACAAAGTTGAACCTTTCTTTTGATAGAGCAGTTTTGAAATGGTCTTTTTGTGGAATCTGCAAGTGGATATTTGGCTAGTTTTGAGGATTTCGTTGGAAGCGGGAATTCATACAAATTGCAGACTGCAGCGTTCTGAGAAACATCTTTGTGATGTTTGTATTCAGGACACAGAGTTGAACATTCCCTATCATAGAGCAGGTTGGAATCACTCCTTTTGTAGTATCTGGAAGTGGACATTTGGAGCGCTTTCAGGCCTATGTTGGAAAAGGAAATATCTTCCCATAACAACTAGACAGAAGCATTCTCAGAAACTTATTTGAGATGTGTGTACTCAACTAAGAGAATTGAACCACCGTTTTGAAGGAGCAGTTTTGAAACTCTCTTTTTCTGGAATCTGCAAGTGGATATTTGGCTAGCTTTGGGGATTTCGCTGGAAGCGGGAATACATATAAAAAGCACACAGCAGCGTTCTGAGAAACTGCTTTCTGATGTTTGCATTCAAGTCAAAAGTTGAACACTCCCTTTCATAGAGCAGTCCTGAAACACCCCTTTTGTAGTATCTGGAACTGGACTTTTGGAGCGATTTCAGGGCTAAGGTGAAAAAGGAAATATCTTCCCATAAAAACTGGACAGAAGCATTCTCAGAAACTTGTTTATGCTGTATCTACTCAACTAACAAAGTTGAACCTTTCTTTTGATAGAGCAGTTTTGAAATGGTCTTTTTGTGGAATCTGCAAGTGGATATTTGGCTAGTTTTGAGGATTTCGTTGGAAGCGGGAATTCATACAAATTGCAGACTGCAGCGTTCTGAGAAACATCTTTGTGATGTTTGTATTCAGGACACAGAGTTGAACATTCCCTATCATAGAGCAGGTTGGAATCACTCCTTTTGTAGTATCTGGAAGTGGACATTTGGAGCGCTTTCAGGCCTATTTTGGAAAGGGAAATATCTTCCCGTAACAACTATGCAGAAGCATTCTCAGAAACTTGTTTGTGATGTGTGCCCTCTACTGACAGAGTTGAACCTTTCTTTTCATAGAGCAGTTTTGAAACACTCTTTTTGTAGAATCTGCAAGAGGATATTTGCATAGCTTTGAGGATTTCGTGGGAAACGGGATTGTCTCAGGAAAAATCTAGACAGAAGCATTCTCAGAAACTTCTTCGGGATGTTTGCATTCAAGTCACAGAGTAGAACATTCCCTTTGGTAGAGCAGGTTTGAAACACTCTTTTTGTAGTATCTGGAAGTGGACATTTGTTGCGCTTTCAGGCCTATGTTGGAAAGGGAAATATCTTCCCGTAACAACTAGGCAGAAGCATTCTCAGAAACTTATTTGAGATGTGTGTACTCAACTAAGAGAATTGAACCACCGTTTTGAAGGAGCAGTTTGGAAACACTCTTTTTCTGGAATCTGCAAGAGGATATTTGCCTAGCTTTGAGGATTTCGTTGGAAAAGGGATTGTCTTCAGATCAAATCTAGACAGAAGCATTCTCAGTAAACTTCTTTGGGATGTTTGCATTCAAGTCACAGAGTAGAACATTCCTTTGGTAGAGCAGGTTTGAAACACTCTTTTTTTAGTATATGGAAGTGGACATTTGGAGCGCTTTCAGGCCTACGTTGGAAAAGGAAATATCTTCCCATAACAACTAGACAGAAGCATTCTCAGAAACTAGTTTCTGATGTGTGTCCTCAACTAACACAGTTGAACATTTCTTTAGACAGAACAGTTTTGAAACACTCTTTTTGTGGAATCTGCAAGTGGATATTTGGCTAGATTTGAGGATTTCGTTGGAAACGGGATTACATATAAAAAGCAGACAGCAGCATTCTCAGAAACTTCTTTGTGATGATTGCATTCAAGTCACAGAATTGAACATTCCCTTTCACAGAGCAGGTTTGAAACACTCTTTTTGTAGTGTGTGTAAGTGGACATTTGGAGCGCTTTCCGGCCTAAGGTGAACAAGGAAATATCTTCCCATAAAAACTAGACAGAAGCATTCTCAGAAACTTACTCGTGATGTGTGTCCTCAACTAAAGGAGTAGAACCTTTCTTTTCATAGAGAAGTTTTGAAACGCTCTTTTTGTGGAATCTGCTAGTGGATATTTGGCTAGTTTGGAGGATTTCGTTGGAAGCGGGAATTCATACAAATTGCAGAGTGCAGCGTTCTGAGAAACATCTTTGTGATGTTTGTATTCAGGACACAGAGTTGAACATTCCCTATCATAGAGCAGGTTGGAATCACTCCTTTTGTAGTATCTGGAAGTGGACATTTGGAGCGCTTTCAGGCCTATGTTGGAAAAGGAAATATCTTCCCATAACAACTAGACAGAAGCATTCTCAGAAACTTATTTGAGATGTGTGTACTCAACTAAGAGAATTGAACCACCGTTTTGAAGGAGCAGTTTTGAAACTCTCTTTTTCTGGAATCTGCAAGTGGATATTTGGCTAGCTTTGGGGATTTCGCTGGAAGCGGGAATACATATAAAAAGCACACAGCCAGCGTTCTGAGCAAACTGCTTTCTGATGTTTGCATTCA
Organism: Homo sapiens; assembly: GCF_000001405.40. Taxonomy (NCBI): domain Eukaryota; kingdom Metazoa; phylum Chordata; class Mammalia; order Primates; family Hominidae; genus Homo; species Homo sapiens. The sequence goes on from NC_000018.10 coordinate 17,408,608, forward strand.
AGTCAAAAGTTGAACACTCCCTTTCATAGAGCAGTCTTGAAACACCCCTTTTGTAGTATCTGGAACTGGACTTTTGGAGCGATTTCAGGGCTAAGGTGAAAAAGGAAATATCTTCCCATAAAAACTGGACAGAAGCATTCTCAGAAACTTGTTTATGCTGTATCTACTCAACTAACAAAGTTGAACCTTTCTTTTGATAGAGCAGTTTTGAAATGGTCTTTTTGTGGAATCTGCAAGTGGATATTTGGCTAGTTTTGAGGATTTCGTTGGAAGCGGGAATTCATACAAATTGCAGACTGCAGCGTTCTGAGAAACATCTTTGTGATGTTTGTATTCAGGACACAGAGTTGAACATTCCCTATCATAGAGCAGGTTGGAATCACTCCTTTTGTAGTATCTGGAAGTGGACATTTGGAGCGCTTTCAGGCCTATTTTGGAAAGGGAAATATCTTCCCGTAACAACTATGCAGAAGCATTCTCAGAAACTTGTTTGTGATGTGTGCCCTCTACTGACAGAGTTGAACCTTTCTTTTCATAGAGCAGTTTTGAAACACTCTTTTTGTAGAATCTGCAAGAGGATATTTGCATAGCTTTGAGGATTTCGTGGGAAACGGGATTGTCTTCAGGTAAAATCTAGACAGAAGCATTCTCAGAAACTTCTTTGGGATGTTTGCATTCAAGTCACAGAGTAGAACATTCCCTTTGGTAGAGCAGGTTTGAAACACTCTTTTTGTAGTATCTGGAAGTGGACATTTGGAGCGCTTTCAGGCCCATGTTGGAAAGGGAAATATCTTCCCGTAACAACTAGGCAGAAGCATTCTCAGAAACTTATTTGAGATGTGTGTACTCAACTAAGAGAATTGAACCACCGTTTTGAAGGAGCAGTTTTGAAACACTCTTTTTCTGGAATCTGCAAGAGTATATTTGCCTAGCCTTGAGGATTTCGTTGGAAACGGGATTGTCTTCAGAGAAAATCTAGACAGAAGCATTCTCAGAAACTTCTTTGGGATGTTTGCATTCAAGTCACAGAGTAGAACATTCCCTTTGGTAGAGCAGGTTTGAAACACTCTTTTTTTAGTATATGGAAGTGGACATTTGGATCGCTTTCAGGCCTACGTTGGAAAAGGAAATATCTTCCCATAACAACTAGACAGAAGCATTCTCAGAAACTAGTTTCTGATGTGTGTCCTCAACTAACACAGTTGAACATTTCTTTAGACAGAACAGTTTTGAAACACTCTTTTTGTGGAATCTGCAAGTGGCTATTTGGCTAGATTTGAGGATTTCGTTGGAAACGGGATTACATATAAAAAGCAGTCAGCAGCATTCTCAGAAAGTTCTTTGTGATGATTGCATTCAAGTCACAGAATTGAACATTCCCTTTCACAGAGCAGGTTTGAAACACTCTTTTTGTAGTGTGTGTAAGTGGACATTTGGAGCACTTACCGGCCTAAGGTGAAAAAGGAAATATCTTCCCATAAAAACTAGACAGAAGCATTCTCAGAAACTTACTCGTGATGTGTGTCCTCAACTAAAGGAGTAGAACCTTTCTTTTCATAGAGAAGTTTTGAAACGCTCTTTTTGTGGAATCTGCAAGTGGATATTTGGCTAGTTTTGAGGATTTCGTTGGAAGCGGGAATTCATACAAATTGCAGACTGCAGCGTTCTGAGAATCATCTTTGTGATGTTTGTATTCAGGACACAGAGTTGAACATTCCCTATCATAGAGCAGGTTTGAATCACTCCTTTTGTAATATCTGGAAGTGGACATTTGGAGCGCTTTCAGGCCTATGTTGGAAAAGGAAATATCTTCCCATAACAACTAGACAGAAGCATTCTCAGAAACTTATTTGAGATGTGTCTACTCAACTAAGAGAATTGAACCACCGTTTTGAAGGAGCAGTTTTGAAACACTCTTTTTCTGGAATCTGCAAGTGGATATTTGGCTAGCTTTGGGGATTTCGCTGGAAGCGGGAATACATATAAAAAGCACACAGCAGCGTTCTGAGAAACTGCTTTCTGATGTTTGCATTCAAGTCAAAAGTTGAACACTCCCTTTCATAGAGCAGTCCTGAAACACCCCTTTTGTAGTATCTGGAACTGGACTTTTGGAGCGATTTCAGGGCTAAGGTGAAAAAGGAAATATCTTCCCATAAAAACTGGACAGAAGCATTCTCAGAAACTTGTTTATGCTGTATCTACTCAACTAACAAAGTTGAACCTTTCTTTTGATAGAGCAGTTTTGAAATGCTCTTTTTGTGGAATCTGCAAGTGGATATTTGGCTAGTTTTGAGGATTTCGTTGGAAGCGGGAATTCATACAAATTTCAGACTGCAGCGTTCTGAGAAACATCTTTGTGATGTTTGTATTCAGGCACACAGAGTTGAACATTCCCTATCATAGAGCAGGTTTGAATCACTCCTTTTGTAGTATCTGGAAGTGGACATTTGGAGCGCTTTCAGGCCTATGTTGGAAAAGGAAATATCTTCCCATAACAACTAGACAGAAGCATTCTCAGAAACTTGTTTGTGATGTGTGCCCTCTACTGACAGAGTTGAACCTTTCTTTTCATAGAGCAGTTTTGAAACACTCTTTTTGTAGAATCTGCAAGAGGATATTTGCATAGCTTTGAGGATTTCGTGGGAAACGGGATTGTCTTCAGGTAAAATCTAGACAGAAGCATTCTCAGAAACTTCTTTGGGATGTTTGCATTCAAGTCACAGAGTAGAACATTCCCTTTGGTAGAGCAGGTTTGAAACACTCTTTTTGTAGTATCTGGAAGTGGACATTTGGAGCGCTTTCAGGCCCATGTTGGAAAGGGAAATATCTTCCCGTAACAACTAGGCAGAAGCATTCTCAGAAACTTATTTGAGATGTGTGTACTCAACTAAGAGAATTGAACCACCGTTTTGAAGGAGCAGTTTTGAAACACTCTTTTTCTGGAATCTGCAAGAGTATATTTGCCTAGCCTTGAGGATTTCGTTGGAAACGGGATTGTCTTCAGAGAAAATCTAGACAGAAGCATTCTCAGAAACTTCTTTGGGATGTTTGCATTCAAGTCACAGAGTAGAACATTCCCTTTGGTAGAGCAGGTTTGAAACACTCTTTTTTTAGTATATGGAAGTGGACATTTGGAGCGCTTTCAGGCCTACGTTGGAAAAGGAAATATCTTCCCATAACAACTAGACAGAAGCAATCTCAGAAACTAGTTTCTGATGTGTGTCCTCAACTAACACAGTTGAACATTTCTATAGACAGAACAGTTTTGAAACACTCTTTTTGTGGAATCTGCAAGTGGCTATTTGGCTAGATTTTAGGATTTCGTTGGAAACGGGATTACATATAAAAAGCAGTCAGCAGCATTCTCAGAAAGTTCTTTGTGATGATTGCATTCAAGTCACAGAATTGAACATTCCCTTTCACAGAGCAGGTTTGAAACACTCTTTTTGTAGTGTGTGTAAGTGGACATTTGGAACCCTTACCGGCCTAAGGTGAAAAAGGAAATATCTTCCCATAAAAACTAGACAGAAGCATTCTCAGAAACTTACTCGTGATGTGTGTCCTCAACTAAAGGAGTAGAACCTTTCTTTTCATAGAGAAGTTTTGAAACGCTCTTTTTGTGGAATCTGCAAGTGGATATTTGGCTAGTTTTGAGGATTTCGTTGGAAGCGGGAATTCATACAAATTGCAGACTGCAGCGTTCTGAGAAACATCTTTGTGATGTTTGTATTCAGGACACAGAGTTGAACATTCCCTATCATAGAGCAGGTTTGAATCACTCCTTTTGTAGTATCTGGAAGTGGACATTTGGAGCGCTTTCAGGCTTATGTTGGAAAAGGAAATATCTTCCCATAACAACTAGACAGAAGCATTCTCAGAAACTTATTTGAGATGTGTGTACTCAACTAAGAGAATTGAACCACTGTTTTGAAGGAGCAGTTTTGAAACACTCTTTTTCTGGAATCTGCAAGTGGATATTTGGCTAGCTTTTGGGATTTCGCTGGAAGCGGGAATACATCTAAAAAGCACACAGCAGCGTTCTGAGAAACTGCTTTCTGATGTTTGCATTCAAGTCAAAAGTTGAACACTCCCTTTCATAGAGCAGTCTTGAAACACCCCTTTTGTAGTATCTGGAACTGGACTTTTGGAGCGATTTCAGGGCTAAGGTGAAAAAGGAAATATCTTCCCATAAAAACTGGACAGAAGCATTCTCAGAAACTTGGTTATGCTGTATCTACTCAACTAACAAAGTTGAACCTTTCTTTTGATAGAGCAGTTTTGAAATGGTCTTTTTGTGGAATCTGCAAGTGGATATTTGGCTAGTTTTGAGGATTTCGTTGGAAGCGGGAATTCATACAAATTGCAGACTGCAGCGTTCTGAGAAACATCTTTGTGATGTTTGTATTCAGGACACAGAGTTGAACATTCCCTATCATAGAGCAGGTTGGAATCACTCCTTTTGTAGTATCTGGAAGTGGACATTTGGAGCGCTTTCAGGCCTATTTTGGAAAGGGAAATATCTTCCCGTAACAACTATGCAGAAGCATTCTCAGAAACTTGTTTGTGATGTGTGCCCTCTACTGACAGAGTTGAACCTTTCTTTTCATAGAGCAGTTTTGAAACACTCTTTTTGTAGAATCTGCAAGAGGATATTTGCATAGCTTTGAGGATTTCGTGGGAAACGGGATTGTCTTCAGGAAAATCTAGACAGAAAGCATTCTCAGAAACTTCTTTGGGATGTTTGTATTCAAGTCACAGAGTAGAACATTCCCTTTGGTAGAGCAGGTTTGAAACACTCTTTTTGTAGTATCTGGAAGTGGACATTTGGAGCGCTTTCAGGCCTATGTTGGAAAGGGAAATATCTTCCCGTAACAACTAGGCAGAAGCATTCTCAGAAACTTATTTGAGATGTGTGTACTCAACTAAGAGAATTGAACCACCGTTTTGAAGGAGCAGTTTTGAAACACTCTTTTTCTGGAATCTGCAAGAGGATATTTGCCTAGCCTTGAGGATTTCGTTGGAAACGGGATTGTCTTCAGATCAAATCTAGACAGAAGCATTCTCAGAAACTTCTTTGGGATGTTTGCATTCAAGTCACAGAGTAGAACATTCCCTTTGGTAGAGCAGGTTTGAAACACTCTTTTTTTAGTATATGGAAGTGGACATTTGGAGCGCTTTCAGGCCTACGTTGGAAAAGGAAATATCTTCCCATAACAACTAGACAGAAGCATTCTCAGAAACTAGTTTCTGATGTGTGTCCTCAACTAACACAGTTGAACATTTCCTTAGACAGAACAGTTTTGAAACACTCTTTTTGTGGAATCTGCAAGTGGCTATCTGGCTAGATTTGAGGATTTCGTTGGAAACGGGATTACATATAAAAAGCAGTCAGCAGCATTCTCAGAAAGTTCTTAGTGATGATTGCATTCAAGTCACAGAATTGAACATTCCCTTTCACAGAGCAGGTTTGAAACACTCTTTTTGTAGTGTGTGTAAGTGGACATTTGGAGCACTTACCGGCCTAAGGTGAAAAAGGAAATATCTTCCCATAAAAACTAGACGGAAGCACTCTCAGAAACTTACTCGTGATGTGTGTCCTCAACTAAAGGAGTAGAACCTTTCTTTTCATACAGAAGTTTTGAAACGCTCTTTTTGTGGAATCTGCAAGTGGATATTTGGCTAGTTTGGAGGATTTCGTTGGAAGCGGGAATTCATACAAATTGCAGACTGCAGCGTTCTGAGAAACTGCTTTCTGATGTTTGCATTCAAGTCAAAAGTTGAACACTCCCTTTCATAGAGCAGTCTTGAAACACCCCTTTTGTAGTATCTGGAACTGGACTTTTGGAGCGATTTCAGGGCTAAGGTGAAAAAGGAAATATCTTCCCATAAAAACTGGACAGAAAGCATTCTCAGAAACTTACTCGTGATGTGTGTACTCAAGTAAAGGAGTAGAAACTTTCTTTTCATAGAGAAGTTTTGAAACGCTCTTTTTGTGGAATCTGCAAGTGGATATTTGGCTAGTTTTGAGGATTTCGTTGGAAGCGGGAATTCATACAAATTGCAGACTGCAGCGTTCTGAGAAACATCTTTGTGATGTTTGTATTCAGGACACAGAGTTGAACATTCCCTATCATAGAGCAGGTTGGAATCACTCCTTTTGTAGTATCTGGAAGTGGACATTTGGAGCGCTTTCAGGCCTATGTTGGAAAAGGAAATATCTTCCCATAAACAACTAGACAGAAACATTCTCAGAAACTTATTTGAGATGTGTGTACTCAACTAAGAATTGAACCACCGTTTTGAAGGAGCAGTTTTGAAACACTCTTTTTCTGGAATCTGCAAGTGGATATTTGGCTAGCTTTGGGGATTTCGCTGGAAGCGGGAATACATATAAAAAGCACACAGCAGCGTTCTGAGAAACTTCTTTCTGATGTTCGCATTCAAGTCAAAATTTGAACACTCCCTTTCGTAGAGCAGTCTTGAAACTCCCCTTTTGTGGTATCTGGAAGTGGACATTTGGAGTGCTTTCAGGGCTAGGGTGAAAAAGGAAATATCTTCCCATAAAAACTGGACAGAAGCATTCTCAGAAACTTGTTTATGCTATATCTACTCAGCTAACAAAGTTGAACCTTTCTTTTGATAGAGCAGTTTTGAAATGCTCTTTTTGTGGAGTCTGCAAGTGGATATTTGGCTAGTATTGAGGAATTCGTTGGAAGCGGGAATTCATACAAATTGCAGACTGCAGCGTTCTGAGAAACATCTTTGTGATGTTTGTATTCAGGACACAGAGTTGAACATTCCCTATCATAGAGCAGGTTGGAATCACTCCTTTTGTAGTATCTGGAAGTGGACATTTGGAGCGCTTTCAGGCCTATGTTGAAAAAGGAAATATCTTCCCATAACAAGTAGACACAAGCATTCTCAGAAACTTGTTTGTGATGTGTGCCCTCTACTGACAGAGTTGAACCTTTCTTTTCATAGAGCAGTTTCGAAACACTCTTTTTGTAGAATCTGCAAGAGGATATTTGCATAGCTTTGAGGATTTCGTGGGAAACGGGATTGTCTTCAGGGAAAATCTAGACAGAAGCATTCTCAGAAAATTCCTCGGGATGTTTGCATTCAAGTCACAGAGTAGAACATTCCCTTTGTTAGAGCAGGTTTGAAACACTCTTTTTGTAGTATCTGGAAGTGGACATTTGGAGCGCTTTCAGGCCTATGTTGGAAAGGGAAATATCTTCCCGTAACAACTAGGCAGAAGCATTCTCAGAAACTTATTTGAGATGTGTGTACTGAACTAAGAGAATTGAACCACCGTTTTGAAGGAGCAGGTTTGAAACACTCTTTTTGTAGTATCTGGAAGTGGACATTTGGAGCGCTTTCAGGCCTATGTTGGAAAGGGAAATATCTTCCCGTAACAACTAGGCAGAAAGCATTCTCAGAAACTTATTTGAGATGTGTGTACTCAACTAAGAGAATTGAACCACCGTTTTGAAGGAGCAGTTTTGAAACACTCTTTTTCTGGAATCTGCAAGAGGATATTTGCATAGATTTGAGGATTTCGTTGGCAACGGGATTGTCTTCAGATCCAATCTAGACAGAAGCATTCTCAGAAACTTCTTTGGGATGTTTGCATTCAAGTCACAGAGTAGAACATTCCCTTTGGTAGAGCAGGTTTGAAACACTCTTTTTTTAGTATATGGAAGTGGACATTTGGAGCGCTTTCAGGCCTACGTTGGAAAAGGAAATATCTTCCCATAACAACCAGACAGAAGCATTCTCAGAAACTAGTTTCTGATGTGTGTCCTCAACTAACACAGTTGAACATTTCTTTAGACAGAACAGTTTTGAAACACTCTCTTTGTGGAATCTGCAAGTGGATATTTGGCTAGATTTGAGGATTTCGTTGGAAACGGGATTACATATAAAAAGCAGACAGCAGCATTCTCAGAAACTTCTTTGTGATGATTGCATTCAAGTCACAGAATTGAACATTCCGTTTCACAGAGCAGGTTTGAAACACTCTTTTTGTAGTGTGTGTAAGTGGACATTTGGAGCGCTTTCCGGCCTAAGGTGAACAAGGAAATATCTTCCCATAAAAATTAGACAGAAGCATTCTCAGAAACTTACTCGTGATGTGTGTCCTCAACTAAAGGAGTAGAACCTTTCTTTTCATAGAGAAGTTTTGAAACGCTCTTTTTGTGGAATCTGCAAGTGGATATTTGGCTAGTTTGGAGGATTTCGTTGGAAGCGGGAATTCATACAAATTGCAGACTGCAGCGTTCTGAGAAACATCTTTGTGATGTTTGTATTCAGGACACAGAGTTGAACATTCCCTATCATAGAGCAGGTTGGAATCACTCCTTTTGTGGTATCTGGAAGTGGACATTTGGAGCGCTTTCAGGCCTATGTTGGAAAAGGAAATATCTTCCCATAACAACTAGACAGAAGCATTCTCAGAAACTTATTTGAGATGTGTGTACTCAACTAAGAGAATTGAACCACCGTTTTGAAGGAGCAGTTTTGAAACACTCTTTTTCTGGAATCTGCAAGTGGATATTTGGCTAGCTTTGGGGATTTCGCTGGAAGCGGGAATACATATAAAAAGCACACAGCAGCGTTCTGAGAAACTGCTTTCTGATGTTTGCATTCAAGTCAAAAGTTGAACACTCCCTTTCATAGAGCAGTCCTGAAACACTCCTTTTGTAGTATCTGGAACTGGACTTTTGGAGCGCTTTCAGGGCTAAGGTGAAAAAGGAAATATCTTCCCATAAAAACTGGACAGAAGCATTCTCAGAAACTTGTTTATGCTGTATCTACTCAACTAACAAAGTTGAACCTTTCTTTTGATAGAGCAGTTTTGAAATGCTCTTTTTGTGGAATCTGCAAGTGGATATTTGGCTAGTTTTGAGGATTTCGTTGGAAGCGGGAATTCATACAAATTGCAGACTGCAGCGTTCTGAGAAACATCTTTGTGATGTTTGTATTCAGGACAGAGAGTTGAACATTCCCTATCATAGAGCAGGTTGGAATCACTCCTTTTGTAGTATCTGGAAGTGGACATTTGGAGCGCTTTCAGGACTATGTTGAAAAAGGAAATATCTTCCCATAACAACTAGACACAAGCATTCTCAGAAACTTGTTTGTGATGTGTGCCCTCTACTGACAGAGTTGAACCTTTCTTTTCATAGAGCAGTTTTGAAACACTCTTTTTGTAGAATCTGAAAGAGGATATTTGCATAGCTTTGAGGATTTCGTGGGAAACGGGATTGTCTTCAGGTAAAATCTAGACAGAAGCATTCTCAGAAACTTCTTTGGGATGTTTGCATTCAAGTCACAGAGTAGAACATTCCCTTTGGTAGAGCAGGTTTGAAACCCTCTTTTTGTAGTATCTGGAAGTGGACATTTGGAGCGCTTTCAGGCCCATGTTGGAAAGGGAAATATCTTCCCGTAACAACTAGGCAGAAGCATTCTCAGAAACTTATTTGAGATGTGTGTACTCAAGTAAGAGAACTGAACCACCGTTTTGAAGGAGCAGTTTTGAAACACTCTTTTTCTGGAATCTGCAAGAGTATATTTGCCTAGCCTTGAGAATTTCGTTGGAAACGGGATTGTCTTCAGATAAAATCTAGACAGAAGCATTCTCAGAAACTTCTTTGGGATGTTTGCATTCAAGTCACAGAGTAGAACATTCCCTTTGGTAGAGCAGGTTTGAAACACTCTTTTTTTAATATATGGAAGTGGACATTTGGAGCGCTTTCAGGCCTACGTTGGAAAAGGAAATATCTTCCCACAACAACTAGACAGAAGCATTCTCAGAAACTAGTTTCTGATGTGTGTCCTCAACTAACACAGTTGAACATTTCTTTAGACAGAACAGTTTTGAAACACTCTTTTTGTGGAATCTGCAAGTGGCTATTTGGCTAGATTTGAGGATTTCGTTGGAAACGGGATTACATATAAAAAGCAGTCAGCGGCATTCTCAGAAAGTTCTTTGTGATGATTGCATTCAAGTCACAGAATTGAACATTCCCTTTCACAGAGCAGGTTTGAAACACTCTTTTTGTAGTGTGTGTAAGTGGACATTTGGAGCACTTACCGGCCTAAGGTGAAAAAGGAAATATCTTCCCATAAAAACTAGACAGAAGCATTCTCAGAAACTTACTCGTGATGTGTGTCCTCAACTAAAGGAGTAGAACCTTTCTTTTCATAGAGAAGTTTTGAAACGCTCTTTTTGTGGAATCTGCAAGTGGATATTTGGCTAGTTTTGAGGATTTCGTTGGAAGCGGGAATTCATACAAATTGCAGACTGCAGCGTTCTGAGAAACATCTTTGTGATGTTTGTATTCAGGACACAGAGTTGAACATTCCCTATCATAGAGCAGGTTTGAATCACTCCTTTTGTAGTATCTGGAAGTGGACATTTGGAGCGCTTTCAGGCCTATGTTGGAAAAGGAAATATCTTCCCATAACAACTAGACAGAAGCATTCTCAGAAACTTATTTGAGATGTGTGTACTCAACTAAGAGAATTGAACCACCGTTTTGAAGGAGCAGTTTTGAAACTCTCTTTTTCTGGAATCTGCAAGTGGATATTTGGCTAGCTTTGGGGATTTCGCTGGAAGCGGGAATACATATAAAAAGCACACAGCAGCGTTCTGAGAAACTGCTTTCTGATGTTTGCATTCAAGTCAAAAGTTGAACACTCCCTTTCATAGAGCAGTCTTGAAACACCCCTTTTGTAGTATCTGGAACTGGACTTTTGGAGCGATTTCAGGGCTAAGGTGAAAAAGGAAATATCTTCCCATAAAAACTGGACAGAAGCATTCTCAGAAACTTGGTTATGCTGTATCTACTCAACTAACAAAGTTGAACCTTTCTTTTGATAGAGCAGTTTTGAAATGGTCTTTTTGTGGAATCTGCAAGTGGATATTTGGCTAGTTTTGAGGATTTCGTTGGAAGCGGGAATTCATACAAATTGCAGACTGCAGCGTTCTGAGAAACATCTTTGTGATGTTTGTATTCAGGACACAGAGTTGAACATTCCCTATCATAGAGCAGGTTGGAATCACTCCTTTTGTAGTATCTGGAAGTGGACATTTGGAGCGCTTTCAGGCCTATTTTGGAAAGGGAAATATCTTCCCGTAACAACTATGCAGAAGCATTCTCAGAAACTTGTTTGTGATGTGTGCCCTCTACTGACAGAGTTGAACCTTTCTTTTCATAGAGCAGTTTTGAAACACTCTTTTTGTAGAATCTGCAAGAGGATATTTGCATAGCTTTGAGGATTTCGTGGGAAACGGGATTGTCTTCAGGTAAAATCTAGACAGAAGCATTCTCAGAAACTTCTTTGGGATGTTTGCATTCAAGTCACAGAGTAGAACATTCCCTTTGGTAGAGCAGGTTTGAAACACTCTTTTTGTAGTATCTGGAAGTGGACATTTGGAGCGCTTTCAGGCCCATGTTGGAAATGGAAATATCTTCCCGTAACAACTAGGCAGAAGCATTCTCAGAAACTTATTTGAGATGTGTGTACTCAACTAAGAGAATTGAACCACCGTTTTGAAGGAGCAGTTTTGAAACACTCTTTTTCTGGAATCTGCAATAGGATATTTGCCTAGCCTTGAGGATTTCGTTGGAAACGGGATTGTCTTCAGATCAAATCTAGACAGAAGCATTCTCAGAAACTTCTTTGGGATGTTTGCATTCAAGTCACAGAGTAGAACATTCCCTTTGGTAGAGCAGGTTTGAAACACTCTTTTTTTAGTATATGGAAGTGGACATTTGGAGCGCTTTCAGGCCTACGTTGGAAAAGGAAATATCTTCCCATAACAACTAGACAGAAGCATTCTCAGAAACTAGTTTCTGATGTGTGTCCTCAACTAACACAGTTGAACATTTCTTTAGACAGAACAGTTTTGAAACACTCTTTTTGTGGAATCTGCAAGTGGCTATTTGGCTAGATTTGAGGATTTCGTTGGAAACGGGATTACATATAAAAAGCAGTCAGCAGCATTCTCAGAAAGTTCTTTGTGATGATTGCATTCAAGTCACAGAATTGAACATTCCCTTTCACAGAGCAGGTTTGAAAGACTCTTTTTGTAGTGTGTGTAAGTGGACATTTGGAGCACTTACCGGCCTAAGGTGAAAAAGGAAATATCTTCCCATAAAAACTAGACAGAAGCATTCTCAGAAACTTACTCGTGATGTGTGTCCTCAACTAAAGGAGTAGAACCTTTCTTTTCATAGAGAAGTTTTGAAACGCTCTTTTTGTGGAATCTGCAAGTGGATATTTGGCTAGTTTTGAGGATTTCGTTGGAAGCGGGAATTCATACAAATTGCAGACTGCAGCGTTCTGAGAAACATCTTTGTGATGTTTGTATTCAGGACACAGAGTTGAACATTCCCTATCATAGAGCAGGTTTGAATCACTCCTTTTGTAGTATCTGGAAGTGGACATTTGGAGCGCTTTCAGGCCTATGTTGGAAAAGGAAATATCTTCCCATAACAACTAGACAAGAAGCATTCTCAGAAACTTATTTGAGATGTGTGTACTCAACTAAGAGAATTGAACCACCGTTTTGAAGGAGCAGTTTTGAAACTCTCTTTTTCTGGAATCTGCAAGTGGATATTTGGCTAGCTTTGGGGATTTCGCTGGAAGCGGGAATACATATAAAAAGCACACAGCAGCGTTCTGAGAAACTGCTTTCTGATGTTTGCATTCAAGTCAAAAGTTGAACACTCCCTTTCATAGAGCAGTCCTGAAACACCCCTTTTGTAGTATCTGGAACTGGACTTTTGGAGCGATTTCAGGGCTAAGGTGAAAAAGGAAATATCTTCCCATAAAAACTGGACAGAAGCATTCTCAGAAACTTGTTTATGCTGTATCTACTCAACTAACAAAGTTGAACCTTTCTTTTGATAGAGCAGTTTTGAAATGGTCTTTTTGTGGAATCTGCAAGTGGATATTTGGCTAGTTTTGAGGATTTCGTTGGCAGCGGGAATTCATACAAATTGCAGACTGCAGCGTTCTGAGAAACATCTTTGTGATGTTTGTATTCAGGACACAGAGTTGAACATTCCCTATCATAGAGCAGGTTGGAATCACTCCTTTTGTAGTATCTGGAAGTGGACATTTGGAGCGCTTTCAGGCCTATTTTGGAAAGGGAAATATCTTCCCGTAACAACTATGCAGAAGCATTCTCAGAAACTTGTTTGTGATGTGTGCCCTCTACTGACAGAGTTGAACCTTTCTTTTCATAGAGCAGTTTTGAAACACTCTTTTTGTAGAATCTGCAAGAGGATATTTGCATAGCTTTGAGGATTTCGTGGGAAACGGGATTGTCTTCAGGTAAAATCTAGACAGAAGCATTCTCAGAAACTTCTTTGGGATGTTTGCATTCAAGTCACAGAGTAGAACATTCCCTTTGGTAGAGCAGGTTTGAAACACTCTTTTTGTAGTATCTGGAAGTGGACATTTGGAGCGCTTTCAGGCCCATGTTGGAAAGGGAAATATCTTCCCGTAACAACTAGGCAGAAGCATTCTCAGAAACTTATTTGAGATGTGTGTACTCAACTAAGAGAATTGAACCACCGTTTTGAAGGAGCAGTTTTGAAACACTCTTTTTCTGGAATCTGCAAGAGTATATTTGCCTAGCCTTGAGGATTTCGTTGGAAACGGGATTGTCTTCAGAGAAAATCTAGACAGAAGCATTCTCAGAAACTTCTTTGGGATGTTTGCATTCAAGTCACAGAGTAGAACATTCCCTTTGGTAGAGCAGGTTTGAAACACTCTTTTTTTAGTATATGGAAGTGGACATTTGGAGCGCTTTCAGGCCTACGTTGGAAAAGGAAATATCTTCCCATAACAACTAGACAGAAGCATTCTCAGAAACTAGTTTCTGATGTGTGTCCTCAACTAACACAGTTGAACATTTCTTTAGACAGAACAGTTTTGAAACACTCTTTTTGTGGAATCTGCAAGTGGCTATTTGGCTAGATTTCAGGATTTCGTTGGAAACGGGATTACATATAAAAAGCAGACAGCAGCATTCTCAGAAAGTTCTTTGTGATGATTGCATTCAAGTCACAGAATTGAACATTCCCTTTCACAGAGCAGGTTTGAAACACTCTTTTTGTAGTGTGTGTAAGTGGACATTTGGAGCGCTTTCCGGCCTAAGGTGAAAAAGGAAATATCTTCCCATAAAAACTAGACAGAAGCATTCTCAGAAACTTACTCGTGATGTGTGTCCTCAACTAAAGGAGTAGAACCTTTCTTTTCATAGAGAAGTTTTGAAACGCTCTTTTTGTGGAATCTGCAAGTGGATATTTGGCTAGTTTTGAGGATTTCGTTGGAAGCGGGAATTCATACAAATTGCAGACTGGCAGCGTTCTGAGAAACATCTTTGTGATGTTTGTATTCAGGACACAGAGTTGAATATTCCCTATCATAGAGCAGGTTGGAATCACTCCTTTTGTCGTATCTGGAAGTGGACGTTTGGAGCATTTTCAGGCCTATGTTGGAAAAGGAAATATCCTCCCATAACAGCTAGACAGAAGCATTCTCAGAAACTTATTTGAGATGTGTGTACTCAACTAAGAGAATTGAACCACCGTTTTGAAGGAGCAGTTTTGAAACACTCTTTTTCTGGAATCTGCAAGTGGATATTTGGCTAGCTTTGGGGATTTCGCTGGAAGCGGGAATACATATAAAAAGCACACAGCAGCGTTCTGAGAAACTGCTTTCTGATGTTTGCATTCAAGTCAAAAGTTGAACACTCCCTTTCATAGAGCAGTCCTGAAACACTCCTTTTGTAGTATCTGGAACTGGACTTTTGGAGCGCTTTCAGGGCTAAGGTGAAAAAGGAAATATCTTCCCATAAAAACTGGACAGAAGCATTCTCAGAAACTTGTTTATGCTGTATCTACTCTACTAAAAAAGTTGAACCTTTCTTTTGATAGAGCAGTTTTGAAATGCTCTTTTTGTGGAATCTGCAATTGGATATTTGGCTAGATTTGAGGATTTCGTTGGAAGCTGGAATACATACAAATTGCAGACTGCAGCGTTCTGAGAAACATCTTTGTGATGTTTGTATTCAGGACACAGAGTTGAACATTCCCTATCATAGAGCAGGTTTGAATCACTCCTTTTGTAGTATCTGGAAGTGGACATTTGGAGCGCTTTCAGGCCTATGTTGGAAAAGGAAATATCTTCCCATAACAACTAGACAGAAGCATTCTCAGAAACTTATTTGAGATGTGTGTACTCAAACTAAGAGAATTGAACCACCGTTTTGAAGGAGCAGTTTTGAAACTCTCTTTTTCTGGAATCTGCAAGTGGATATTTGGCTAGCTTTGGGGATTTCGCTGGAAGCGGGAATACATATAAAAAGCACACAGCAGCGTTCTGAGAAACTGCTTTCTGATGTTTGCATTCAAGTCAAAAGTTGAACACTCCCTTTCATAGAGCAGTCCTGAAACACCCCTTTTGTAGTATCTGGAACTGGACTTTTGGAGCGATTTCAGGGCTAAGGTGAAAAAGGAAATATCTTCCCATAAAAACTGGACAGAAGCATTCTCAGAAACTTTTTTATGCTGTATCTACTCAACTAACAAAGTTGAACCTTTCTTTTGATAGAGCAGTTTTGAAATGCTCTTTTTGTGGAATCTGCAAGTGGATATTTGGCTAGTTTTGAGGATTTCGTTGGAAGCGGGAATTCATACAAATTGCAGACTGCAGCGTTCTGAGAAACATCTTTGTGATGTTTGTATTCAGGACAGAGAGTTGAACATTCCCTATCATAGAGCAGGTTGGAATCACTCCTTTTGTAGTATCTGGAAGTGGACATTTGGAGCGCTTTCTGGCCTATGTTGAAAAAGGAAATATCTTCCCATAACAACTAGACACAAGCATTCTCAGAAACTTGTTTGTGATGTGTGCCCTCTACTGACAGAGTTGAACCTTTCTTTTCATAGAGCAGTTTTGAAACACTCTTTTTGTAGAATCTGCAAGAGGATATTTGCATAGCTTTGAGGATTTCGTGGGAAACGGGATTGTCTTCAGGTAAAATCTAGACAGAAGCATTCTCAGAAACTTCTTTGGGATGTTTGCATTCAAGTCACAGAGTAGAACATTCCCTTTGGTAGAGCAGGTTTGAAACACTCTTTTTGTAGTATCTGGAAGTGGACATTTGGAGCGCTTTCAGGCCTATGTTGGAAAGGGAAATATCTTCCCGTAACAACTAGGCAGAAGCATTCTCAGAAACTTATTTGAGATGTGTGTACTCAACTAAGAGAATTGAATCACCGTTTTGAAGGAGCAGTTTTGAAACACTCTTTTTCTGGAATCTGCAAGAGGATATTTGCCTAGCCTTGAGGATTTCGTTGGAAACGGGATTGTCTTCAGATCAAATCTAGACAGAAGCATTCTCAGAAACTTCTTTGGGATGTTTGCATTCAAGTCACAGAGTAGAACATTCCCTTTGGTAGAGCAGGTTTGAAACACTCTTTTTTTAGTATATGGAAGTGGACATTTGGAGCGCTTTCAGGCCTACGTTGGAAAAGGAAATATCTTCCCATAACAACTAGACAGAAGCATTCTCAGAAACTAGTTTCTGATGTGTGTCCTCAACTAACACAGTTGAACATTTCTTTAGACAGAACAGTTTTGAAACACTCTTTTTGTGGAATCTGCAAGTGGCTATTTGGCTAGATTTGAGGATTTCGTTGGAAACGGGATTACATATAAAAAGCAGACAGCAGCATTCTCAGAAAGTTCTTTGTGATGATTGCATTCAAGTCACAGAATTGAACATTCCCTTTCACAGAGCAGGTTTGAAACACTCTTTTTGTAGTGTGTGTAAGTGGACATTTGGAGCACTTTCCGGCCTAAGGTGAAAAAGGAAATATCTTCCCATAAAAACTAGACAGAAGCATTCTCAGAAACTTACTCGTGATGTGTGTCCTCAACTAAAGGAGTAGAACCTTTCTTTTCATAGAGAAGTTTTGAAACGCTCTTTTTGTGGAATCTGCAAGTGGATATTTGGCTAGTTTTGAGGATTTCGTTGGAAGCGGGAATTCATACAAATTGCAGACTGCAGCGTTCTGAGAAACATCTTTGTGATGTTTGTATTCAGGACAGAGAGTTGAACATTCCCTATCATAGAGCAGGTTGGAATCACTCCTTTTGTAGTATCTGGAAGTGGACATTTGGAGCGCTTTCAGGCCTATGTTGAAAAAGGAAATATCTTCCCATAACAACTAGACACAAGCATTCTCAGAAACTTGTTTGTGATGTGTGCCCTCTACTGACAGAGTTGAACCTTTCTTTTCATAGAGCAGTTTTGAAACACTCTTTTTGTAGAATCTGCAAGAGGATATTTGCATAGCTTTGAGGATTTCGTGGGAAACGGGATTGTCTTCAGGTAAAATCTAGACAGAAGCATTCTCAGAAACATCTTTGGGATGTTTGCATTCAAGTCACAGAGTAGAACATTCCCTTTGGTAGAGCAGGTTTGAAACACTCTTTTTGTAGTATCTGGAAGTGGACATTTGGAGCGCTTTCAGGCCTATGTTGGAAAGGGAAATATCTTCCCGTAACAACTAGGCAGAAGCATTCTCAGAAACTTATTTGAGATGTGTTTACTCAACGAAGAGAATTGAACCACCGTTTTGAAGGAGCAGTTTTGAAACCCTCTTTTTCTGGAATCTGCAAGAGTATATTTGCCTAGCCTTGAGGATTTCGTTGGAAACGGGATTGTCTTCAGATAAAATCTAGACAGAAGCATTCTCAGAAACTTCTTTGGGATGTTTGCATTCAAGTCACAGAGTAGAACATTCCCTTTGGTAGAGCAGGTTTGAAACACTCTTTTTTAGTATATGGAAGTGGACATTTGGAGCGCTTTCAGGCCTACGTTGGAAAAGGAAATATCTTCCCATAACAACTAGACAGAAGCATTCTCAGAAACTAGTTTCTGATGTGTGTCCTCAACTAACACAGTTGCACATTTCTTTAGACAGAACAGTTTTGAAACACTCTTTTTGTGGAATCTGCAAGTGGCTATTTGGCTAGATTTGAGGATTTCGTTGGAAACGGGATTACATATAAAAAGCAGACAGCAGCATTCTCAGAAAGTTCTTTGTGATGACTGCATTCAAGTCACAGAATTGAACATTCCCTTTCACAGAGCAGGTTTCAAAAACACTCTTTTTGTAGTGTGTGTAAGTGGACATTTGGAGCACTTTCCGGCCTAAGGTGAAAAAGGGAATATCTTCCCATAAAAACTAGACAGAAGCATTCTCAGAAACTTACTCGTGATGTGTGTCCTCAACTAAAGGAGTAGAACCTTTGTTTTCATAGAGAAGTTTTGAAACTCTCTTTTTGTGGAATCTGCAAGTGGATATTTGGCTAGTTTGGAGGATTTCGTTGGAAGCGGGAATTCATACAAATTGCAGACTGCAGCGTTCTGAGAAACATCTTTGTGATGTTTGTATTCAGGACACAGAGTTGAACATTCCCTATCATAGAGCAGGTTGGAATCACTCCTTTTGTAGTATCTGGAAGTGGACATTTGGAGCGCTTTCAGGCCTATGTTGGAAAAGGAAATATCTTCCCATAACAACTAGACAGAAGCATTCTCAGAAACTTATTTGAGATGTGTGTACTCAACTAAGAGAATTGAACCACCGTTTTGAAGGAGCAGTTTTGAAACACTCTTTTTCTGGAATCTGCAAGTGGATATTTGGCTAGCTTTGTGGATTTCGCTGGAAGCGGGAATACATATAAAAAGCACACAGCAGCGTTCTGAGAAACTGCTTTCTGATGTTTGCATTCAAGTCAAAAGTTGAACACTCCCTTTCATAGAGCAGTCCTGAAACACTCCTTTTGTAGTATCTGGAACTGGACTTTTGGAGCGCTTTCAGGGCTAAGGTGAAAAAGGAAATATCTTCCCATAAAAACTGGACAGAAGCATTCTCAGAAACTTGTTTATGCTGTATCTACTCAACTAACAAATTTGAACCTTTCTTTTGATAGAGCAGTTTTGAAATGCTCTTTTTGTGGAATCTGCAAGTGGATATTTGGCTAGTTTTGAGGATTTCGTTGGAAGCGGGAATTCATACAAATTGCAGACTGCAGCGTTCTGAGAAACATCTTTGTGATGTTTGTATTCAGGACAGAGAGTTGAACATTCCCTATCATAGAGCAGGTTGGAATCACTCCTTTTGTAGTATCTGGAAGTGGACATTTGGAGCGCTTTCAGGCCTATGTTGAAAAAGGAAATATCTTCCCATAACAACTAGACACAAGCATTCTCAGAAACTTGTTTGTGATGTGTGCCCTCTAGTGACAGAGTTGAACCTTTCTTTTCATAGAGCAGTTTTGAAACACTCTTTTTGTAGAATCTGCAAGAGGATATTTGCATAGCTTTGAGGATTTCGTGGGAAACGGGATTGTCTTCAGGTAAAATCTAGACAGAAGCATTCTCAGAAACTTCTTTGGGATGTTTGCATTCATGTCACAGAGTAGAACATTCCCTTTGGTAGAGCAGGTTTGAAACACTCTTTTTATAGTATCTGGAAGTGGACATTTGGAGCGCTTTCAAGCCTATGTTGGAAAGGGAAATATCTTCCCGTAACAACTAGGCAGAAGCATTCTCAGAAACTTATTTGAGATGTGTGTACTCAACTAAGAGAATTGAACCACCGTTTTGAAGGAGCAGTTTTGAAACACTCTTTTTCTGGAATCTGCAAGAGGATATTTGCCTAGCTTTGAGGATTTCGTTGGAAACGGGATTGTGTTCAGATCAAATCTAGACAGAAGCATTCTCAGAAACTACTTTGGGATGTTTGCATTCAAGTCACAGAGTAGAACATTCCCTTTGGTAGAGCAGGTGTGAAACACTCTTTTTTTAGTATATGGAAGTGGACATTTGGAGCGCTTTCAGGCCTACGTTGGAAAAGGAAATATCTTCCCATAACAACTAGACAGAAGCATTCTCAGAAACTAGTTTCTGATGTGTGTCCTCAACTAACACAGTTGAACATTTCTTTAGACAGAACAGTTTTGAAACTCTCTTTTTGTGGAATCTGCAAGTGGCTATTTGGCTAGATTTGAGGATTTCGTTGGAAACGGGATTACATATAAAAAGCAGACAGCAGCATTCTCAGAAAGTTCTTTGTGATGATTGCATTCAAGTCACAGAATTGAACATTCCCTTTCACAGAGCAGGTTTGAAACACTCTTTTTGTAGTGTGTGTAAGTGGACATTTGGAGCACTTTCCGGCCTAAGGTGAAAAAGGAAATATCTTCCCATACAAACTAGACAGAAGCATTCTCAGAAACTTACTCGTGATGTGTGTCCTCAACTAAAGGAGTAGAACCTTTCTTTTCATAGAGAAGTTTTGAAACGCTCTTTTTGTGGAATCTGCAAGTGGATATTTGGCTAGTTTTGAGGATTTCGTTGGAAGCGGGAATTCATACAAATTGCAGACTGCAGCGTTCTGAGAAACATCTTTGTGATGTTTGTATTCAGGACACAGAGTTGAACATTCCCTATCATAGAGCAGGTTGGAATCACTCCTTTTGTAGTATCTGGAAGTGGACATTTGGAGCGCTTTCAGGCCTATGTTGGAAAAGGAAATATCTTCCCATAACAACTAGACAGAAGCATTCTCAGAAACTTATTTGAGATGTGTGTACTCAACTAAGAGAATTGAACCACCGTTTTGAAGGAGCAGTTTTGAAACTCTCTTTTTCTGGAATCTGCAAGTGGATATTTGGCTAGCTTTGGGGATTTCGCTGGAAGCGGGAATACATATAAAAAGCACACAGCAGCGTTCTGAGAAACTGCTTTCTGATGTTTGCATTCAAGTCAAAAGTTGAACACTCCCTTTCATAGAGCAGTCTTGAAACACCCCTTTTGTAGTATCTGGAACTGGACTTTTGGAGCGATTTCAGGGCTAAGGTGAAAAAGGAAATATCTTCCCATAAAAACTGGACAGAAGCATTCTCAGAAACTTGTTTATGCTGTATCTACTCAACTAACAAAGTTGAACCTTTCTTTTGATAGAGCAGTTTTGAAATGGTCTTTTTGTGGAATCTGCAAGTGGATATTTGGCTAGTTTTGAGGATTTCGTTGGAAGCGGGAATTCATACAAATTGCAGACTGCAGCGTTCTGAGAAACATCTTTGTGATGTTTGTATTCAGGACACAGAGTTGAACATTCCCTATCATAGAGCAGGTTGGAATCACTCCTTTTGTAGTATCTGGAAGTGGACATTTGGAGCGCTTTCAGGCCTATTTTGGAAAGGGAAATATCTTCCCGTAACAACTATGCAGAAGCATTCTCAGAAACTTGTTTGTGATGTGTGCCCTCTACTGACAGAGTTGAACCTTTCTTTTCATAGAGCAGTTTTGAAACACTCTTTTTGTAGAATCTGCAAGAGGATATTTGCATAGCTTTGAGGATTTCGTGGGAAACGGGATTGTCTTCAGGTAAAATCTAGACAGAAGCATTCTCAGAAACTTCTTTGGGATGTTTGCATTCAAGTCACAGAGTAGAACATTCCCTTTGGTAGAGCAGGTTTGAAACACTCTTTTTGTAGTATCTGGAAGTGGACATTTGGAGCGCTTTCAGGCCCATGTTGGAAAGGGAAATATCTTCCCGTAACAACTAGGCAGAAGCATTCTCAGAAACTTATTTGAGATGTGTGTACTCAACTAAGAGAATTGAACCACCGTTTTGAAGGAGCAGTTTTGAAACACTCTTTTTCTGGAATCTGCAAGAGTATATTTGCCTAGCCTTGAGGATTTCGTTGGAAACGGGATTGTCTTCAGAGAAAATCTAGACAGAAGCATTCTCAGAAACTTCTTTGGGATGTTTGCATTCAAGTCACAGAGTAGAACATTCCCTTTGGTAGAGCAGGTTTGAAACACTCTTTTTTTAGTATATGGAAGTGGACATTTGGAGCGCTTTCAGGCCTACGTTGGAAAAGGAAATATCTTCCCATAACAACTAGACAGAAGCATTCTCAGAAACTAGTTTCTGATGTGTGGCCTCAACTAACACAGTTGTACATTTCTTTACACAGAACAGTTTTGAAACACTCTTTTTGTGGAATCTGCAAGTGGATATTGGGCTAGATTTGAGGATTTCGTTGGAAACGGGATTACATATAAAAAGCAGTCAGCAGCATTCTCAGAAAGTTCTTTGTGATGATTGCATTCAAGTCACAGAATTGAACATTCCCTTTCACAGAGCAGGTTTGAAACACTCTTTTTGTAGTGTGTGTAAGTGGACATTTGGAGCACTTTCCGGCCTAAGGTGAAAAAGGAAATATCTTCCCATAAAAACTAGACAGAAGCATTCTCAGAAACTTACTCGTGATGTGTGTCCTCAACTAAAGGAGTAGAACCTTTCTTTTCATAGAGAAGTTTTGAAACGCTCTTTTTGTGGAATCTGCAAGTGGATATTTGGCTAGTTTTGAGGATTTCGTTGGAAGCGGGAATTCATACAAATTGCAGACTGCAGCGTTCTGAGAAACATCTTTGTGATGTTTGTATTCAGGACACAGAGTTGAACATTCCCTATCATAGAGCAGGTTTGAATCACTCCTTTTGTAGTATCTGGAAGTGGACATTTGGAGCGCTTTCAGGCCTATGTTGGAAAAGGAAATATCTTCCCATAACAACTAGACAGAAGCATTCTCAGAAACTTATTTGAGATGTGTGTACTCAACTAAGAGAATTGAACCACCGTTTTGAAGGAGCAGTTTTGAAACTCTCTTTTTCTGGAATCTGCAAGTGGATATTTGGCTAGCTTTGGGGATTTCGCTGGAAGCGGGAATACATATAAAAAGCACACAGCAGCGTTCTGAGAAACTGCTTTCTGATGTTTGCATTCAAGTCAAAAGTTGAACACTCCCTTTCATAGAGCAGTCCTGAAACACCCCTTTTGTAGTATCTGGAACTGGACTTTTGGAGCGATTTCAGGGCTAAGGTGAAAAAGGAAATATCTTCCCATAAAAACTGGACAGAAGCATTCTCAGAAACTTGTTTATGCTGTATCTACTCAACTAACAAAGTTGAACCTTTCTTTTGATAGAGCAGTTTTGAAATGGTCTTTTTGTGGA
This sequence comes from Homo sapiens, assembly GCF_000001405.40. Classification (NCBI taxonomy): domain Eukaryota; kingdom Metazoa; phylum Chordata; class Mammalia; order Primates; family Hominidae; genus Homo; species Homo sapiens. The sequence continues at coordinate 17,431,735 of NC_000018.10, forward strand.
ATCTGCAAGTGGATATTTGGCTAGTTTTGAGGATTTCGTTGGAAGCGGGAATTCATACAAATTGCAGACTGCAGCGTTCTGAGAAACATCTTTGTGATGTTTGTATTCAGGACACAGAGTTGAACATTCCCTATCATAGAGCAGGTTGGAATCACTCCTTTTGTAGTATCTGGAAGTGGACATTTGGAGCGCTTTCAGGCCTATTTTGGAAAGGGAAATATCTTCCCGTAACAACTATGCAGAAGCATTCTCAGAAACTTGTTTGTGATGTGTGCCCTCTACTGACAGAGTTGAACCTTTCTTTTCATAGAGCAGTTTTGAAACACTCTTTTTGTAGAATCTGCAAGAGGATATTTGCATAGCTTTGAGGATTTCGTGGGAAACGGGATTGTCTTCAGGTAAAATCTAGACAGAAGCATTCTCAGAAACTTCTTTGGGATGTTTGCATTCAAGTCACAGAGTAGAACATTCCCTTTGGTAGAGCAGGTTTGAAACACTCTTTTTGTAGTATCTGGAAGTGGACATTTGGAGCGCTTTCAGGCCCATGTTGGAAAGGGAAATATCTTCCCGTAACAACTAGGCAGAAGCATTCTCAGAAACTTATTTGAGATGTGTGTACTCAACTAAGAGAATTGAACCACCGTTTTGAAGGAGCAGTTTTGAAACACTCTTTTTCTGGAATCTGCAAGAGTATATTTGCCTAGCCTTGAGGATTTCGTTGGAAACGGGATTGTCTTCAGAGAAAATCTAGACAGAAGCATTCTCAGAAACTTCTTTGGGATGCTTGCATTCAAGTCACAGAGTAGAACATTCCCTTTGGTAGAGCAGGTTTGAAACACTCTTTTTGTAGTATCTGGAAGTGGACATTTGGAGCGCTTTCAGGCCTACGTTGGAAAAGGAAATATCTTCCCATAACAACTAGACAGAAGCATTCTCAGAAACTAGTTTCTGATGTGTGTCCTCAACTAACACAGTTGAACATTTCTTTAGACAGAACAGTTTTGAAACACTCTTTTTGTGGAATCTGCAAGTGGCTATTTGGCTAGATTTGAGGATTTCGTTGGAAACGGGATTACATATAAAAAGCAGTCAGCAGCATTCTCAGAAAGTTCTTTGTGATGATTGCATTCAAGTCACAGAATTGAACATTCCCTTTCACAGAGCAGGTTTGAAACACTCTTTTTGTAGTGTGTGTAAGTGGACATTTGGAGCACTTACCGGCCTAAGGTGAAAAAGGAAATATCTTCCCATAAAAACTAGACAGAAGCATTCTCAGAAACTTACTCGTGATGTGTGTCCTCAACTAAAGGAGTAGAACCTTTCTTTTCATAGAGAAGTTTTGAAACGCTCTTTTTGTGGAATCTGCAAGTGGATATTTGGCTAGTTTTGAGGATTTCGTTGGAAGCGGGAATTCATACAAATTGCAGACTGCAGCGTTCTGAGAAACATCTTTGTGATGTTTGTATTCAGGACACAGAGTTGAACATTCCCTATCATAGAGCAGGTTGGAATCACTCCTTTTGTAGTATCTGGAAGTGGACATTTGGAGCGCTTTCAGGCCTATGTTGGAAAAGGAAATATCTTCCCATAACAACTAGACAGAAGCATTCTCAGAAACTTATTTGAGATGTGTGTACTCAACTAAGAGAATTGAACCACCGTTTTGAAGGAGCAGTTTTGAAACTCTCTTTTTCTGGAATCTGCAAGTGGATATTTGGCTAGCTTTGGGGATTTCGCTGGAAGCGGGAATACATATAAAAAGCACACAGCAGCGTTCTGAGAAACTGCTTTCTGATGTTTGCATTCAAGTCAAAAGTTGAACACTCCCTTTCATAGAGCAGTCTTGAAACACCCCTTTTGTAGTATCTGGAACTGGACTTTTGGAGCGATTTCAGGGCTAAGGTGAAAAAGGAAATATCTTCCCATAAAAACTGGACAGAAGCATTCTCAGAAACTTGGTTATGCTGTATCTACTCAACTAACAAAGTTGAACCTTTCTTTTGATAGAGCAGTTTTGAAATGGTCTTTTTGTGGAATCTGCAAGTGGATATTTGGCTAGTTTTGAGGATTTCGTTGGAAGCGGGAATTCATACAAATTGCAGACTGCAGCGTTCTGAGAAACATCTTTGTGATGTTTGTATTCAGGACACAGAGTTGAACATTCCCTATCATAGAGCAGGTTGGAATCACTCCTTTTGTAGTATCTGGAAGTGGACATTTGGAGCGCTTTCAGGCCTATTTTGGAAAGGGAAATATCTTCCCGTAACAACTATGCAGAAGCATTCTCAGAAACTTGTTTGTGATGTGTGCCCTCTACTGACAGAGTTGAACCTTTCTTTTCATAGAGCAGTTTTGAAACACTCTTTTTGTAGAATCTGCAAGAGGATATTTGCATAGCTTTGAGGATTTCGTGGGAAACGGGATTGTCTTCAGGTAAAATCTAGACAGAAGCATTCTCAGAAACTTCTTTGGGATGTTTGCATTCAAGTCACAGAGTAGAACATTCCCTTTGGTAGAGCAGGTTTGAAACACTCTTTTTGTAGTATCTGGAAGTGGACATTTGGAGCGCTTTCAGGCCCATGTTGGAAAGGGAAATATCTTCCCGTAACAACTAGGCAGAAGCATTCTCAGAAACTTATTTGAGATGTGTGTACTCAACTAAGAGAATTGAACCACCGTTTTGAAGGAGCAGTTTTGAAACACTCTTTTTCTGGAATCTGCAAGAGTATATTTGCCTAGCCTTGAGGATTTCGTTGGAAACGGGATTGTCTTCAGATAAAATCTAGACAGAAGCATTCTCAGAAACTTCTTTGGGATGTTTGCATTCAAGTCACAGAGTAGAACATTCCCTTTGGTAGAGCAGGTTTGAAACACTCTTTTTTTAGTATATGGAAGTGGACATTTGGAGCGCTTTCAGGCCTACGTTGGAAAAGGAAATATCTTCCCATAACAACTAGACAGAAGCATTCTCAGAAACTAGTTTCTGATGTGTGTCCTCAACTAACACAGTTGAACTTTTCTTTACACAGAACAGTTTTGAAACACTCTTTTTGTGGAATCTGCAAGTGGATATTTGGCTAGATTTGAGGATTTCGTTGGAAACGGGATTACATATAAAAAGCAGACAGCAGCATTCTCAGAAAGTTCTTTGTGATGATTGCATTCAAGTCACAGAATTGAACATTCCCTTTCACAGAGCAGGTTTGAAACACTCTTTTTGTAGTGTGTGTAAGTGGACATTTGGAGCGCTTTCCGGCCTAAGGTGAAAAAGGAAATATCTTCCCATAAAAACTAGACAGAAGCATTCTCAGAAACTTACTCGTGATGTGTGTCCTCAACTAAAGGAGTAGAACATTTCTATTCATAGAGAAGTTTTGAAACGCTCTTTTTGTGGAATCTCCAAGTGGATATTTGGCTAGTTTTGAGGATTTCGTTGGAAGCGGGAATTCATACAAATTGCAGACTGCAGCGTTCTGAGAATCATCTTTGTGATGTTTGTATTCAGGACACAGAGATGAACATTCCCTATCATAGAGCAGGTTGGAATCACTCCTTTTGTAGTATCTGGAAGTGGACATTTGGAGCGCTTTCAGTCCTATGTTGAAAAAGGAAATATCTTCCCATAACAACTAGACACAAGCATTCTCAGAAACTTGTTTGTGATGTGTGCCCTCTACTGACAGAGTTGAACCTTTCTTTTCATAGAGCAGTTTTGAAACACTCTTTTTGTAGAATCTGCAAGAGGATATTTGCATAGCTTTGAGGATTTCGTGGGAAACGGGATTGTCTTCAGGTAAAATCTAGACAGAAGCATTCTCAGAAACTTCTTTGGGATGTTTGCATTCAAGTCACAGAGTAGAACATTCCCTTTGGTAGAGCAGGTTTGAAACACTCTTTTTGTAGTATCTGGAAGTGGACATTTGCAGCACTTTCAGGCCCATGTTGGAAAGGGAAATATCTTCCCGTAACAACTAGGCAGAAGCATTCTCTGAAACTTTTTTGAGATGTGTGTACTCAACTAAGAGAATTGAACCACCGTTTTGAAGGAGCAGTTTTGAAACACTCTTTTTCTGGAATCTGCTAGACGATATTTGCCTAGCCTTGAGGATTTCGTTGGAAACGGGATTGTCTTCAGATAAAATCTAGACAGAAGCATTCTCAGAAACTTCTTTGGGATGTTTGTATTCAAGTCACAGAGTAGAAAATTCCCTTTGATAGAGCAGGTTTGAAACACTCTTTTTTTAGTATATGGAAATGGACATTTGGAGCGCTTTCAGGCCTACGTTGGAAAAGGAAATATCTTCCCATAACAACTAGACAGAAGCATTCTCAGAAACTAGTTTCTGATGTGTGTCCTCAACTAACACAGTTGAACTTTTCTTTAGACAGAACAGTTTTGAAACACTCTTTTTGTGGAATCTGCAAGTGGATATTTGGCTAGATATGAGGATTTCGTTGGAAACGGGATTACATATAAAAAGCAGACAGCAGCATTCTCAGAAAGTTCTTTGTGATGATTGCATTCAAGTCACAGAATTGAACATTCCCTTTCACAGAGCAGGTTTGAAACACTCTTTTTGTAGTGTGTGTAAGTGGACATTTGGAGCGCTTTCCGGCCTAAGGTGAAAAAGGAAATATCTTCCCATAAAAACTAGACAGAAGCATTCTCAGAAACTTACTCGTGATGTGTGTCCTCAACTAAAGGAGTAGAACCTTTCTATTCATAGAGAAGTTTTGAAATGCTCTTTTTGTGGAATCTCCAAGTGGATATTTGGCTAGTTTTGAGGATTTCGTTGGAAGCGGGAATTCATACAAATTGCAGACTGCAGCGTTCTGAGAAACATCTTTGTGATGTTTGTATTCAGGACACAGAGATGAACATTCCCTATCATAGAGCAGGTTGGAATCACTCCTTTTGTAGTATCTGGAAGTGGACATTTGGAGCGCTTTCAGGCCTATGTTGAAAAAGGAAATATCTTCCCATAACAACTAGACACAAGCATTCTCAGAAACTTGTTTGTGATGTGTGCCCTCTACTGACAGAGTTGAACCTTTCTTTTCATAGAGCAGTTTTGAAACACTCTTTTTGTAGAATCTGCAAGAGGATATTTGCATAGCTTTGAGGATTTCGTGGGAAACGGGATTGTCTTCATGTAAAATCTAGACAGAAGCATTCTCAGAAACTTCTTTGGGATGTTTGCATTCAAGTCACAGAGTAGAACATTCCCTTTGGTAGAGCAGGTTTGAAACCCTCTTTTTGTAGTATCTGGAAGTGGACATTTGGAGCGCTTTCAGGCCCATGTTGGAAAGGGAAATATCTTCCCGTAACAACTAGGCAGAAGCATTCTCAGAAACTTATTTGAGATGTGTGTACTCAACTAAGAGAATTGAACCACCGTTTTGAAGGAGCAGATTTGAAACACTCTTTTTCTGGAATCTGCAAGAGTATATTTGCCTAGCCTTGAAGATTTCGTTGGAAACGGGATTGTCTTCAGATAAAATCTAGACAGAAGCATTCTCAGAAACTTCTTTGGGATGTTTGCATTCAAGTCACAGAGTAGAACATTCCCTTTGGTAGAGCAGGTTTGAAACACTCTTTTTTTAGTATATGGAAGTGGACATTTGGAGCGCTTTCAGGCCTACGTTGGAAAAGGAAATATCTTCCCATAACAACTAGACAGAAGCATTCTCAGAAACTAGTTTCTGATGTGTGTCCTCAACTAACACAGTTGAACTTTTCTTTAGACAGAACAGTTTTGAAACACTCTTTTTGTGGAATCTGCAAGTGGATATTTGGCTAGATTTGAGGATTTCGGTGGAAACGGGATTACATATAAAAAGCAGTCAGCAGCATTCTCAGAAACTTCTTTGTGATGATTGCATTCAAGTCACAGAATTGAACATTCCCTTTCACAGAGCAGGTTTGAAACACTCTTTTTGTAGTGTGTGTAAGTGGACATTTGGAGCACTTTCCGGCCTAAGGTGAAAAAGGAAATATCTTCCCATAAAAACTAGACAGAAGCATTCTCAGAAACTTACTCGTGATGTGTGTCCTCAACTAAAGGAGTAGAACCTTTCTTTCATAGAGAAGTTTTGAAACGCTCTTTTTGTGGAATCTGCAAGTGGATATTTGGCTAGTTTGGAGGATTTCGTTGGAAGCGGGAATTCATACAAATTGCAGACTGCAGCGTTCTGAGAAACATCTTTGTGATGTTTGTATTCAGGACACAGAGTTGAACATTCCCTATCATAGAGCAGGTTGGAATCACTCCTTTTGTAGTATCTGGAAGTGGACATTTGGAGTGCTTTCAGGCCTATGTTGGAAAAGGAAATATCTTCCCATAACAACTAGACAGAAGCATTCTCAGAAACTTATTTGAGATGTGTGTACTCAACTAAGAGAATTGAACCACCGTTTTGAAGGAGCAGTTTTGAAACACTCTTTTTCTGGAATCTGCAAGTGGATATTTGGCTAGCTTTGGGGATTTCGCTGGAAGCGGGAATACATATAAAAAGCACACAGCAGCGTTCTGAGAAACTGCTTTCTGATGTTTGCATTCAAGTCAAAAGTTGAACACTCCCTTTCATAGAGCAGTCCTGAAACACTCCTTTTGTAGTATCTGGAACTGGACTTTTGGAGCGCTTTCAGGGCTAAGGTGAAAAAGGAAATATCTTCCCATAAAAACTGGACAGAAGCATTCTCAGAAACTTGTTTATGCTGTATCTACTCAACTAACAAAGTTGAACCTTTCTTTTGATAGAGCAGTTTTGAAATGCTCTTTTTGTGGAATCTGCAAGTGGATATTTGGCTAGTTTTGAGGATTTCGTTGGAAGCGGGAATTCATACAAATTGCAGACTGCAGCGTTCTGAGAAACATCTTTGTGATGTTTGTATTCAGGACACAGAGTTGAACATTTCCTATCATAGAGCAGGTTTGAATCACTCCTTTTGTAGTATCTGGAAGTGGACATTTGGAGCGCTTTCAGGCCTATGTTGGAAAAGGAAATATCTTCCCATAACAACTAGACAGAAGCATTCTCAGAAACTTGTTTGTGATGTGTGCCCTCTACTGACAGAGTTGAACCTTTCTTTTCATAGAGCAGTTTTGAAACACTCTTGTTGTAGAATCCGCAAGAGGATATTTGCATAGCTTTGAGGATTTCGTGGGAAACGGGATTGTCTTCAGGTAAAATCTAGACAGAAGCATTCTCAGAAACTACTTTGGGATGTTTGCATTCAAGTCACAGAGTAGAACATTCCCTTTGGTAGAGCAGGTTTGAAACACTCTTTTTGTAGTATCTGGAAGTGGACATTTGGAGCGCTTTCAGGCCCATGTTGGAAAGGGAAATATCTTCCCGTAACAACTAGGCAGAAGCATTCTCAGAAACTTATTTGAGATGTGTGTACTCAACTAAGAGAATTGAACCACCGTTTTGAAGGAGCAGTTTTGAAACACTCTTTTTCTGGAATCTGCAAGAGTATATTTGCCTAGCCTTGAGGATTTCGTTGGAAACGGGATTGTCTTCAGAGAAAATCTAGACAGAAGCATTCTCAGAAACTTCTTTGGGATGTTTGCATTCAAGTCACAGAGTAGAACATTCCCTTTGGTAGAGCAGGTTTGAAACACTCTTTTTGTAGTATCTGGAAGTGGACATTTGGAGCGCTTTCAGGCCTACGTTGGAAAAGGAAATATCTTCCCATAACAACTAGACAGAAGCATTCTCAGAAACTAGTTTCTGATGTGTGTCCTCAACTAACACAGTTGAACATTTCTTTAGACAGAACAGTTTTGAAACACTCTTTTTGTGGAATCTGCAAGTGGCTATTTGGCTAGATTTGAGGATTTCGTTGGAAACGGGATTACATATAAAAAGCAGTCAGCAGCATTCTCAGAAAGTTCTTTGTGATGATTGCATTCAAGTCACAGAATTGAACATTCCCTTTCACAGAGCAGGTTTGAAACACTCTTTTTGTAGTGTGTGTAAGTGGACATTTGGAGCACTTACCGGCCTAAGGTGAAAAAGGAAATATCTTCCCATAAAAACTAGACAGATAAGCATTCTCAGCAAACTTACTCGTGATGTGTGTCCTCAACTAAAGGAGTAGAACCTTTCTTTTCATAGAGAAGTTTTGAAACGCTCTTTTTGTGGAATCTGCAAGTGGATATTTGGCTAGTTTTGAGGATTTCGTTGGAAGCGGGAATTCATACAAATTGCAGACTGCAGCGTTCTGAGAAACATCTTTGTGATGTTTGTATTCAGGACACAGAGTTGAACATTCCCTATCATAGAGCAGGTTTGAATCACTCCTTTTGTAGTATCTGGAAGTGGACATTTGGAGCGCTTTCAGGCCTATGTTGGAAAAGGAAATATCTTCCCATAACAACTAGACAGAAGCATTCTCAGAAACTTATTTGAGATGTGTGTACTCAACTAAGAGAATTGAACCACCGTTTTGAAGGAGCAGTTTTGAAACTCTCTTTTTCTGGAATCTGCAAGTGGATATTTGGCTAGCTTTGGGGATTTCGCTGGAAGCGGGAATACATATAAAAAGCACACAGCAGCGTTCTGAGAAACTGCTTTCTGATGTTTGCATTCAAGTCAAAAGTTGAACACTCCCTTTCATAGAGCAGTCTTGAAACACCCCTTTTGTAGTATCTGGAACTGGACTTTTGGAGCGATTTCAGGGCTAAGGTGAAAAAGGAAATATCTTCCCATAAAAACTGGACGGAAGCATTCTCAGAAACTTGTTTATGCTGTATCTACTCAACTAACAAAGTTGAACCTTTCTTTTGATAGAGCAGTTTTGAAATGGTCTTTTTGTGGAATCTGCAAGTGGATATTTGGCTAGTTTTGAGGATTTCGTTGGAAGCGGGAATTCATACAAATTGCAGACTGCAGCGTTCTGAGAAACATCTTTGTGATGTTTGTATTCAGGACACAGAGTTGAACATTCCCTATCATAGAGCAGGTTGGAATCACTCCTTTTGTAGTATCTGGAAGTGGACATTTGGAGCGCTTTCAGGCCTATTTTGGAAAGGGAAATATCTTCCCGTAACAACTATGCAGAAGCATTCTCAGAAACTTGTTTGTGATGTGTGCCCTCTACTGACAGAGTTGAACCTTTCTTTTCATAGAGCAGTTTTGAAACACTCTTTTTGTAGAATCTGCAAGAGGATATTTGCATAGCTTTGAGGATTTCGTGGGAAACGGGATTGTCTTCAGGTAAAATCTAGACAGAAGCATTCTCAGAAACTTCTTTGGGATGTTTGCATTCAAGTCACAGAGTAGAACATTCCCTTTGGTAGAGCAGGTTTGAAACACTCTTTTTGTAGTATCTGGAAGTGGACATTTGGAGCGCTTTCAGGCCCATGTTGGAAAGGGAAATATCTTCCCGTAACAACTAGGCAGAAGCATTCTCAGAAACTTATTTGAGATGTGTGTACTCAACTAAGAGAATTGAACCACCGTTTTGAAGGAGCAGTTTTGAAACACTCTTTTTCTGGAATCTGCAAGAGTATATTTGCCTAGCCTTGAGGATTTCGTTGGAAACGGGATTGTCTTCAGAGAAAATCTAGACAGAAGCATTCTCAGAAACTTCTTTGGGATGCTTGCATTCAAGTCACAGAGTAGAACATTCCCTTTGGTAGAGCAGGTTTGAAACACTCTTTTTTTAGTATCTGGAAGTGGACATTTGGAGCGCTTTCAGGCCTACGTTGGAAAAGGAAATATCTTCCCATAACAACTAGACAGAAGCATTCTCAGAAACTAGTTTCTGATGTGTGTCCTCAACTAACACAGTTGAACATTTCTTTAGACAGAACAGTTTTGAAACACTCTTTTTGTGGAATCTGCAAGTGGCTATTTGGCTAGATTTGAGGATTTCGTTGGAAACGGGATTACATATAAAAAGCAGCCAGCAGCATTCTCAGAAAGTTCTTTGTGATGATTGCATTCAAGTCACAGAATTGAACATTCCCTTTCACAGAGCAGGTTTGAAACACTCTTTTTGTAGTGTGTGTAAGTGGACATTTGGAGCACTTACCGGCCTAAGGTGAAAAAGGAAATAATCTTCCCATAAAAACTAGACAGAAGCATTCTCAGAAACTTACTCGTGATGTGTGTCCTCAACTAAAGGAGTAGAACCTTTCTTTTCATAGAGAAGTTTTGAAACGCTCTTTTTGTGGAATCTGCAAGTGGATATTTGGCTAGTTTTGAGGATTTCGTTGGAAGCGGGAATTCATACAAATTGCAGACTGCAGCGTTCTGAGAAACATCTTTGTGATGTTTGTATTCAGGACACAGAGTTGAACATTCCCTATCATAGAGCAGGTTTGAATCACTCCTTTTGTAGTATCTGGAAGTGGACATTTGGAGCGCTTTCAGGCCTATGTTGGAAAAGGAAATATCTTCCCATAACAACTAGACAGAAGCATTCTCAGAAACTTATTTGAGATGTGTGTACTCAACTAAGAGAATTGAACCACCGTTTTGAAGGAGCAGTTTTGAAACTCTCTTTTTCTGGAATCTGCAAGTGGATATTTGGCTAGCTTTGGGGATTTCGCTGGAAGCGGGAATACATATAAAAAGCACACAGCAGCGTTCTGAGAAACTGCTTTCTGATGTTTGCATTCAAGTCAAAAGTTGAACACTCCCTTTCATAGAGCAGTCTTGAAACACCCCTTTTGTAGTATCTCGACCTGGACTTTTGGAGCGATTTCAGGGCTAAGGTGAAAAAGGAAATATCTTCCCATAAAAACTGGACAGAAGCATTCTCAGAAACTTGTTTATGCTGTATCTACTCAACTAACAAAGTTGAACCTTTCTTTTGATAGAGCAGTTTTGAAATGGTCTTTTTGTGGAATCTGCAAGTGGATATTGGGCTAGATTTGAGGATTTCGTTGGAAACGGGATTACATATAAAAAGCAGACAGCAGCGTTCTGAGAAACATCTTTGTGATGTTTGTATTCAGGACAGAGAGTTGAACATTCCCTATCATAGAGCAGGTTGGAATCACTCCTTTTGTAGTATCTGGAAGTGGACATTTGGAGCGCTTTCAGGCCTATGTTGAAAAAGGAAATATCTTCCCATAACAACTAGACACAAGCATTCTCAGAAACTTGTTTGTGATGTGTGCCCTCTACTGACAGAGTTGAACCTTTCTTTTCATAGAGCAGTTTTGAAACACTCTTTTTGTAGAATCTGCAAGAGGATATTTGTATAGCTTTGAGGATTTCGTGGGAAACGGGATTGTCTTCAGGTAAAATCTAGACAGAAGCATTCTCAGTAAACTTCTTTGGGATGTTTGCATTCAAGTTACAGAGCAGAACATTCCCTTTGGTAGAGCAGGTTTGAAACACTCTTTTTGTAGTATCTGGAAGTGGACATTAGGAGCGCTTTCAGGCCTATGTTGGAAAGGGAAATATCTTCACGTAACAACTAGGCAGAAGCATTCTCAGAAACTTATTTGAGATGTGTGTACTCAACTAAGAGAATTGAACCACCGTTTTGAAGGAGCAGTTTTGAAACACTCTTTTTCTGGAATCTTCAAGAGGATATTTGCCTAGCTTTGAGGATTTCGTTGGAAACGGGATTGTGTTCAGATCAAATCTAGACAGAAGCATTCTCAGAAACTTCTTTGGGATGTTTGCATTCAAGTCACAGAGTAGAACATTCCCTTTGGTAGAGCAGGTGTGAAACACTCTTTTTTTAGTATATGGAAGTGGACATTTGGAGCGCTTTCAGGCCTACGTTGGAAAAGGAAATATCTTCCCATAACAACTAGACAGAAGCATTCTCAGAAACTAGTTTCTGATGTGTGTCCTCAACTAACACAGTTGAACATTTCTTTAGACAGAACAGTTTTGAAACTCTCTTTTTGTGGTATCTGCAAGTGGCTATTTGGCTAGATTTGAGTATTTCGTTGGAAACGGGATTACATATAAAAAGCAGACAGCAGCATTCTCAGAAAGTTCTTTGTGATGATTGCATTCAAGTCACAGAATTGAACATTCCCTTTCACAGAGCAGGTTTGAAACACTCTTTTTGTAGTGTGTGTAAGTGGACATTTGGAGCACTTTCCGGCCTAAGGTGAGAAAGGAAATATCTTCCCATAAAAACTAGACAGAAGCATTCTCAGAAACTTACTCGTGATGTGTGTCCTCAACTAAAGGAGTAGAACCTTTCTTTCATAGAGAAGTTTTGAAACGCTCTTTTTGTGGAATCTGCAAGTGGATATTTGGCTAGTTTGGAGGATTTCGTTGGAAGCGGGAATTCATACAAATTGCAGACTGCAGCGTTCTGAGAAACATCTTTGTGATGTTTGTATTCAGGACACAGAGTTGAACGTTCCCTATCATAGAGCAGGTTTGAATCACTCCTTTTGTAGTATCTGGAAGTGGACATTTGGAGCGCTTTCCGGCCTCAGGTGAAAAAGGAAATATCTTCCCATAAAAACTAGACAGAAGCATTCTCAGAAACTTACTCGTGATGTGTGTCCTCAACTAAAGGGGTAGAACCTTTCTTTTGATAGAGCAGTTTTGAAACACTCTTTTTGTAGAATCTGCAAGTGGATATTTCGATAGCTTTGTGGATTTCGTTGGAAACGGGAATATCCTCATATAAAAATCTAGAGAGAAGCGTTCTGAGAAACATCGTTGTGATGTTTGTATTCAGGACACAGAGATGAACATTCCCTATCATAGAGCAGGTTGGAATCACTCCTTTTGTAGTATCTGGAAGTGGACATTTGGAGCGCTTTCAGGCCTATGTTGAAAAAGGAAATATCTTTCCATAACAACTAGACACAAGCATTCTCAGAAACTTATTTGAGATGTGTGTACTCAACTAAGAGAATTGAACCACCGTTTTGAAGGAGCAGTTTTGAAACACTCTTTTTCTGGAATCTGCAAGTGGATATTTGGCTAGATTTGAGGATTTCGTTGGAAACGGGATTACATATAAAAAGCAGACAGCAGCAGTCTCAGAAAGTTCTTTGTGATGATTGCATTCAAGTCACAGAATTGAACATTCCCTTTCACAGAGCAGGTTTGAAACACTCTTTTTGTAGTGTGTGTAAGTGGACATTTGGAGCACTTTCCAGCCTAAGGTGAAAAAGGAAATATCTTCCCATAAAAACTAGACAGAAGCATTCTCAGAAACTTACTCGTGATGTGTGTCCTCAACTAAAGGTGTAGAACCTTTCTTTTCATAGAGAAGTTTTGAAACGCTCTTTTTGTGGAATCTGCAAGTGGATATTTGGCTAGTTTTGAGGATTTCGTTGGAAGCGGGAATTCATACAAATTGCAGACTGCAGCGTTCTGAGAAATATCTTTGTGATGTTTGTATTCAGGACACAGAGTTGAACATTCCCTATCATAGAGCAGGTTGGAATCACTCCTTTTGTAGTATCTGGAAGTGGACATTTGGAGCGCTTTCAGGCCTATGTTGAAAAAGGAAATATCTTCCCATAACAACTAGACACAAGCATTCTCAGAAACTTATTTGAGATGTGTGTACTCAACTAAGAGAATTGAACCACCGTTTTGAAGGAGCAGTTTTGAAACACTCTTTTTCTGGAATCTGCAAGTGGATATTTGGCTAGCTTTGGGGATTTCGCTGGAAGCGGGAATACATATAAAAAGCACACAGCAGCGTTCTGAGAAACTACTTTCTGATGTTTGCATTCAAGTCAAAAGTTGAACACTCCCTTTCATAGAGCAGTCTTGAAACACACCTTTTGTAGTATCTGGAACTGGAAATTTGGAGCGCTTTCAGGGCTAAGGTGAAAAAGGAAATATCTTCCCATAAAAACTGGACAGAAGCATTCTCAGAAACTTGTTTATGCTGTATCTACTCAACTAACAAAGTTGAACCTTTCTTTTGATAGAGCAGTTTTGAAATGCTCTTTTTGTGGAATCTGCAAGTGGATATTTGGCTAGTTTTGAGGATTTCGTTGGAAGCGGGAATTCATACAAATTGCAGACTGCAGCGTTCTGAGAAACATCTTTGTGATGTTTGTATTCAGGACACAGAGATGAACATTCCCTATCATAGAGCAGGTTGGAATCACTCCTTTTGTAGTATCTGGAAGTGGACATTTGGAGCGCTTTCAGGCCTATGTTGAAAAAGGAAATATCTTCCAATAACAACTAGACACAAGCATTCTCAGAAACTTGTTTGTGATGTGTGCCCTCTACTGACAGAGTTGAACCTTTCTTTTTATAGAGCAGTTTTGAAATACTCTTTTTGTAGAATCTGCAAGAGGATATTTGCATAGCTTTGAGGATTTCGTGGGAAACGGGATTGTCTTCAGGTAAAATCTAGACAGAAGCATTCTCAGAAACTTCTTTGGGATGTTTCCATTCAAGTCACAGAGCAGAACATTCCCTTTGGTAGAGCAGGTTTGAAACACTCTTTTTGTAGTATCTGGAAGTGGACATTTGGAGCGCTTTCAGGCCTATGTTGGAAAGGGAAATATCTTCCCGTAACAACTAGGCAGAAGCATTCTCAGAAACTTATTTGAGATGTGTGTACTCAACTAAGAGAATTGAACCACCGTTTTGAAGGAGCAGTTTTGAAACACTCTTTTTCTGGAATCTGCAAGAGGATATTTGCCTAGCCTTGAGGATTTCGTTGGAAACGGGATTGTCTTCAGATCAAATCTAGACAGAAGCATTCTCAGAAACTTCTTTGGGATGTTTGCATTCATGTCACAGAGTAGAACATTCCCTTTGGTAGAGCAGGTTTGAAACACTCTTTTTTAAGTATATGGAAGTGGACATTTGGAGCGCTTTCAGGCCTACGTTGGAAAAGGAAATATCTTCCCATAACAACTAGACAGAAGCATTCTCAGAAACTAGTTTCTGATGTGTGTCCTCAACTAACACAGTTGAACATTTCTTTAGACAGAACAGTTTTGAAACACTCTTTTTGTGGAATCTGCAAGTGGCTATTTGGCTAGATTTGAGGATTTCGTTGGAAACGGGATTACATATAAAAAGCAGACAGCAGCATTCTCAGAAAGTTCTTTGTGATGATTGCATTCAAGTCACAGAATTGAACATTCCCTTTCACAGAGCAGGTTTGAAACACTCTTTTTGTAGTGTGTGTAAGTGGACATTTGGAGCACTTTCCGGCCTAAGGTGAAAAAGGAAATATCTTCCCATAAAAACTAGACAGAAGCATTCTCAGAAAGTTACTCGTGATGTGTGTCCTCAACTAAAGGAGTAGAACCTTTCTTTTCATAGAGAAGTTTTGAAACGCTCTTTTTGTGGAATCTGCAAGTGGATATTTGGCTAGTTTTGAGGATTTCGTTGGAAGCGGGAATTCATACAAATTGCAGACTGCAGCGTTCTGAGAAACATCTTTGTGATGTTTGTATTCAGGACACAGAGTTGAACATTCCCTATCATAGAGCAGGTTGGGATCACTCCTTTTGTAGTATCTGGAAGTGGACATTTGGAGCGCTTTCAGGCCTATGTTGAAAAAGGAAAAATCTTCCCATAACAACTAGACAGAAGCATTCTCAGAAACTTGTTGGTGATGTGTTTCCTCTACTGACAGAGTTGAACCTTTCTTTTCATAGAGCAGTTTCGAAACACTCTTTTTGTAGAATCTGCAAGAGGATATTTGCATAGCTCTGAGGATTTCGTGGGAAACGGGATTGTCTTCAGGTAAAATCTAGACAGAAGCATTCTCAGAAACTTCATCGGGATGTTCGCATTCAAGTCACAGAGTAGAACATTCCCTTTGGTAGAGCAGGTTTGAAACACTCTTTTTGTAGTATCTGGAAGTGGACATTTGTTGCGCTTTCAGGCCTATGTTGGAAAGGGAAATATCTTCCCGTAACAACTAGGCAGAAGCATTCTCTGAAACTTATTTGAGATGTGTGTACTCAACTAAGAGAATTGAACCACCGTTTTGAAGGAGCAGTTTGGAAACACTCTTTTTCTGGAATCTGCAAGAGGATATTTGCCTAGCTTTGAGGATTTCGTTGGAAAAGGGATTGTCTTCAGATCAAATCTAGACAGAAGCATTCTCAGAAACTTCTTTGGGATGTTTGCATTCAAGTCACAGAGTAGAACATTCCTTTGGTAGAGCAGGTTTGAAACACTCTTTTTTTAGTATATGGAAGTGGACATTTGGAGCGCTTTCAGGCCTACGTTGGAAAAGGAAATATCTTCCCATAACAACTAGACAGAAGCATTCTCAGAAACTAGTTTCTGATGTGTGTCCTCAACTAACACAGTTGAACATTTCTTTAGACAGAACAGTTTTGAAACACTCTTTTTGTGGAATCTGCAAGTGGATATTTGGCTAGATTTGAGGATTTCGTTGGAAACGGGATTACATATAAAAAGCAGACAGCCAGCATTCTCAGAAAGTTCTTTGTGATGACTGCATTCAAGTCACAGAATTGAACATTCCCTTTCACAGAGCAGGTTTGAAACCCTCTTTTTGTAGTGTGTGTAAGTGGACATTTGGAGCGCTTTCCGGCCTAAGGTGAAAAAGGAAATATCTTCCCATAAAAACTAGACAGAGCATTCTCAGAAACATACTCGTGATGTGTGTCCTCAACTAAAGGAGTAGAACCTTTCTTTTCATAGAGAAGTTTTGAAACGCTCTTTTTGTGGAATCTGCAAGTGGATATTTGGCTAGTTTTGAGGATTTCGTTGGAAGCGGGAATTCATACAAGATGCAGACTGCAGCGTTCTGAGAAACATCTTTGTGATGTTTGTATTCAGGACACAGAGTTGAACATTCCCTATCATAGAGCAGGTTTGAATCACTCCTTTTGTAGTATCTGGAAGTGGACATTTGGAGCGCTTTCAGGCCTATGTTGGAAAAGGAAATATCTTCCCATAACAACTAGACAGAAGCATTCCCAGAAACTTATTTGAGATGTGTGTACTCAACTAAGAGAATTGAACCACCGTTTTGAAGGAGCAGTTTGGAAACACTCTTTTTCTGGAATCTGCAAGTGGATATTTGGCTAGCTTTGGGGATTTCGCTGGAAGCGGGAATACATATAAAAAGCACACAGCAGCGTTCTGAGAAACTGCTTTCTGATGTTTGCATTCAAGTCAAAAGTTGAACACTCCCTTTCATAGAGCAGTCTTGAAACACCCCTTTTGTAGTATCTGGAACTGGAAATTTGGAGCGCTTTCAGGGCTAAGGTGAAAAAGGAAATATCTTCCCATAAAAACTGGACAGAAGCATTCTCAGAAACTTGTTTATGCTGTATCTGCTCAACTAACAAAGTTGAACCTTTCTTTTGATAGAGCAGTTTTGAAATGCTCTTTTTGTGGAATCTGCAAGTGGATATTTGGCTAGTTTTGAGGATTTCGTTGGAAGCGGGAATTCATACAAATTGCAGACTGCAGCGTTCTGAGAAACATCTTTGTGATGTTTGTATTCAGGACACAGAGTTGAACATTCCCTATCATAGAGCAGGTTGGGATCACTCCTTTTGTAGTATCTGGAAGTGGACATTTGGAGCGCTTTCAGGCCTATGTTGAAAAAGGAAAAATCTTCCCATAACAACTAGACAGAAGCATTCTCAGAAACTTGTTGGTGATGTGTTTCCTCTACTGACAGAGTTGAACCTTTCTTTTCATAGAGCAGTTTCGAAACACTCTTTTTGTAGAATCTGCAAGAGGATATTTGCATAGCTCTGAGGATTTCGTGGGAAACGGGATTGTCTTCAGGTAAAATCTAGATAGAAGCATTCTCAGAAACTTCTTCGGGATGTTTGCATTCAAGTCACAGAGTAGAACATTCCCTTCGGTAGAGCAGGTTTGAAACACTCTTTTTGTAGTATCTGGAAGTGGACATTTGTTGCGCTTTCAGGCCTATGTTGGAAAGGGAAATATCTTCCCGTAACAACTAGGCAGAAGCATTCTCAGAAACTTATTTGAGATGTGTGTACTCAACTAAGAGAATTGAACCACCGTTTTGAAGGAGCAGTTTGGAAACACTCTTTTTCTGGAATCTGCAAGAGGATATTTGCCTAGCTTTGAGGATTTCGTTGGAAAAGGGATTGTCTTCAGATCAAATCTAGACAGAAGCATTCTCAGAAACTTCTTTGGGATGTTTGCATTCAAGTCACAGAGTAGAACATTCCTTTGGTAGAGCAGGTTTGAAACACTCTTTTTTTAGTATATGGAAGTGGACATTTGGAGCGCTTTCAGGCCTACGTTGGAAAAGGAAATATCTTCCCATAACAACTAGACAGAAGCATTCTCAGAAACTAGTTTCTGATGTGTGTCCTCAACTAACACAGTTGAACATTTCTTTAGACAGAACAGTTTTGAAACACTCTTTTTGTGGAATCTGCAAGTGGATATATGGCTAGATTTGAGGATTTCGTTGGAAACGGGATTACATATAAAAAGCAGACAGCAGCATTCTCAGAAAGTTCTTTGTGATGATTGCATTCAAGTCACAGAATTGAACATTCCCTTTCACAGAGCAGGTTTGAAGCACTCTTTCTGTAGTGTGTGTAAGTGGACATTTGTAGCGCTTTCCGGCCTAAGGTGAAAAAGGACATATCTTCCCATAAAAACTAGACAGAAGCATTCTCAGAAACTTACTCGTGATGTGTGTCCTCAACTAAAGGAGTAGAACCTTTCTATTCATAGAGAAGTTTTGAAAGGCTCTTTTTGTGGAATCTCCAAGTGGATATTTGGCTAGTTTTGAGGATTTCGTTGGAAGCGGGAATTCATACAAATTGCAGACTGCAGCGTTCTGAGAAACATCTTTGTGATGTTTGTATTCAGGACACAGAGTTGAACATTCCCTATCATAGAGCAGGTTTGAATCACTCCTTTTGTAGTATCTGGAAGTGGACATTTGGAGCGCTTTCAGGCCTATGTTGGAAAAGGAAATATCTTCCCATAACAACTAGACAGAAGCATTCTCAGAAACTTATTTGAGATGTGTGTACTCAACTAAGAGAATTGAACCACCGTTTTGAAGGAGCAGTTTTGAAACACTCTTTTTCTGGAATCTGCAAGTGGATATTTGGCTAGCTTTGGGGATTTCGCTGGAAGCGGGAATACATATAAAAAGCACACAGCAGCGTTCTGAGAAACTGCTTTCTGATGTTTGCATTCAAGTCAAAAGTTGAACACTCCCTTTCATAGAGCAGTCTTGAAACACCCCTTTTGTAGTATCTGGAACTGGACTTTTGGAGCGATTTCAGGGCTAAGGTGAAAAAGGAAATATCTTCCCATAAAAACTGGACAGAAGCATTCTCAGAAACTTGTTTATGCTGTATCTACTCAACTAACAAAGTTGAACCTTTCTTTTGATAGAGCAGTTTTGAAATGGTCTTTTTGTGGAATCTGCAAGTGGATATTTGGCTAGTTTTGAGGATTTCGTTGGAAGCGGGAATTCATACAAATTGCAGACTGCAGCGTTCTGAGAAACATCTTTGTGATGTTTGTATTCAGGACACAGAGTTGAACATTCCCTATCATAGAGCAGGTTGGAATCACTCCTTTTGTAGTATCTGGAAGTGGACATTTGGAGCGCTTTCAGGCCTATTTTGGAAAGGGAAATATCTTCCCGTAACAACTATGCAGAAGCATTCTCAGAAACTTGTTTGTGATGTGTGCCCTCTACTGACAGAGTTGAACCTTTCTTTTCATAGAGCAGTTTTGAAACACTCTTTTTGTAGAATCTGCAAGAGGATATTTGCATAGCTTTGAGGATTTCGTGGGAAACGGGATTGTCTTCAGGTAAAATCTAGACAGAAGCATTCTCAGAAACTTCTTTGGGATGTTTGCATTCAAGTCACAGAGTAGAACATTCCCTTTGGTAGAGCAGGTTTGAAACACTCTTTTTGTAGTATCTGGAAGTGGACATTTGGAGCGCTTTCAGGCCCATGTTGGAAAGGGAAATATCTTCCCGTAACAACTAGGCAGAAGCATTCTCAGAAACTTATTTGAGATGTGTGTACTCAACTAAGAGAATTGAACCACCGTTTTGAAGGAGCAGTTTTGAAACACTCTTTTTCTGGAATCTGCAAGAGTATATTTGCCTAGCCTTGAGGATTTCGTTGGAAACGGGATTGTCTTCAGAGAAAATCTAGACAGAAGCATTCTCAGAAACTTCTTTGGGATGTTTGCATTCAAGTCACAGAGTAGAACATTCCCTTTGGTAGAGCAGGTTTGAAACACTCTTTTTGTAGTATCTGGAAGTGGACATTTGGATCGCTTTCAGGCCTACGTTGGAAAAGGAAGTATCTTCCCATAACAACTAGACAGAAGCATTCTCAGAAACTAGTTTCTGATGTGTGTCCTCAACTAACACAGTTGTACATTTCTTTATACAGAACAGTTTTGAAACACTCTTTTTGTGGAATCTGCAAGTGGATATTGGGCTAGATTTGAGGATTTCGTTGGAAACGGGATTACATATAAAAAGCACACAGCAGCATTCTCAGAAAGTTCTTTGTGATGATTGCATTCAAGTCACAGAATTGAACATTCCCTTTCACAGAGCAGGTTTGAAACACTCTTTTTGTAGTGTGTGTAAGTGGACATTTGGAGCGCTTTCCGGCCTAAGGTGAAAAAGGAAATATCTTCCCATAAAAACTAGACAGAAGCATTCTCAGAAACTTACTCGTGATGTGTGTACTCAACTAAAGGAGTAGAAACTTTCTTTTCATAGAGAAGTTTTGAAACGCTCTTTTTGTGGAATCTGCAAGTGGATATTTGGCTAGTTTTGAGGATTTCGTTGGAAGCGGGAATTCATACAAATTGCAGACTGCAGCGTTCTGAGAAACATCTTTGTGATGTTTGTATTCAGGACACAGAGTTGAACATTCCCTATCATAGAGCAGGTTTGAATCACTCCTTTTGTAGTATCTGGAAGTGGACATTTGGAGCGCTTTCAGGCCTATGTTGGAAAAGGAAATATCTTCCCATAACAAATAGACAGAAGCATTCTCAGAAACTTATTTGAGATGTGTGTACTCAACTAAGAGAATTGAACCACCGTTTTGAAGGAGCAGTTTTGAAACACTCTTTTTCTGGAATCTGCAAGTGGATATCTGGCTAGCTTTGGGGATTTCGCTGGAAGCGGGAATACATATAAAAAGCACACAGCAGCGTTCTGAGAAACTTCTTTCTGATGTTCGCATTCAAGTCAAAAGTTGAACACTCCCTTTCATAGAGCAGTCTTGAAACTCCCCTTTTGTGGTATCTGGAAGTGGACATTTGGAGTGCTTTCAGGGCTAAGGTGAAAAAGGAAATATCTTCCCATAAAAACTGGACAGAAGCATTCTCAGAAACTTGTTTATGCTGTATCTACTCAGCTAACAAAGTTGAACCTTTCTTTTGATAGAGAAGTTTTGAAATGCTCTTTTTGTGGAGTCTGCAAGTGGATATTTGGTTAGTTTTGAGGATTTCTTTGGAAGCGGGAATTCATACAAATTGCAGACTGCAAGCATTCTCAGAAACTTCTTTGGGATGTTTGCATTCAAGTCACAGAGCAGAACATTCCCTTTGGTAGAGCAGGTTTGAAACACTCTTTTTGTAGTATCTGGAAGTGGACATTTGGAGCGCTTTCAGGCCTATGTTGGAAAGGGAAATATCTTCCCGTAACAACTAGACACAAGCATTCTCAGAAACTTGTTTGTGATGTGTGCCCTCTACTGACAGAGTTGAACCTTTCTTTTCATAGAGCAGTTTTGAAACACTCTTTTTGTAGAATCTGCAAGAGGATATTTGCATAGCTTTGAGGATTTCGTGGGAAACGGGATTGTCTTCAGGTAAAATCTAGACAGAAGCATTCTCAGAAACTTCTTTGGGATGTTTGCATTCAAGTCACAGAGTAGAACATTCCCTTTGGTAGAGCAGGTTTGAAACACTCTTTTTGTAGTATCTGGAAGTGGACATTTGGAGCGCTTTCAGGCCCATGTTGGAAAGGGAAATATCTTCCCGTAACAACTAGGCAGAAGCATTCTCAGAAACTTATTTGAGATGTGTGTACTCAACTAAGAGAATTGAACCACCGTTTTGAAGGAGCAGTTTTGAAACACTCTTTTTCTGGAATCTGCAAGAGTATATTTGCCTAGCCTTGAGGATTTCGTTGGAAACGGGATTGTCTTCAGATCAAATCTAGACAGAAGCATTCTCAGAAACTTCTTTGGGATGTTTGCATTCAAGTCACAGAGTAGAACATTCCCTTTGGTAGAGCAGGTTTGAAACAATCTTTTTTTAGTATATGGAAGTGGACATTTGGAGCGCTTTCAGGCCTACGTTGGAAAAGGAAATATCTTCCCATAACAACTAGACAGAAGCATTCTCAGAAACTAGTTTCTGATGTGTGTCCTCAACTAACACAGTTGAACTTTTCTTTAGACAGAACAGTTTTGAAACACTCTTTTTGTGGAATCTGCAAGTGGATATTTGGCTAGATTTGAGGATTTCGTTGGAAACGGGATTACATATAAAAAGCAGACAGCAGCATTCTCAGAAAGTTCTTTGTGATGATTGCATTCAAGTCACAGAATTGAACATTCCCTTTCACAGAGCAGGTTTGAAACACTCTTTTTGTAGTGTGTGTAAGTGGACATTTGGAGCGCTTTCCGGCCTAAGGTGAAAAAGGAAATATCTTCCCATAAAAACTAGACAGAAGCATTCTCAGAAACTTACTCGTGATGTGTGTCCTCAACTAAAGGAGTAGAACCTTTCTATTCATAGAGAAGTTTTGAAACGCTCTTTTTGTGGAATCTCCAAGTGGATATTTGGCTAGTTTTGAGGATTTCGTTGGAAGCGGGAATTCATACAAATTGCAGACTGCAGCGTTCTGAGAAACATCTTTGTGATGTTTGTATTCAGGACACAGAGATGAACATTCCCTATCATAGAGCAGGTTGGAATCACTCCTTTTGTAGTATCTGGAAGTGGACATTTGGAGCGCTTTCAGGCCTATGTTGAAAAAGGAAATATCTTCCCATAACAACTAGACACAAGCATTCTCAGAAACTTGTTTGTGATGTGTGCCCTCTACTGACAGAGTTGAACCTTTCTTTTCATAGAGCAGTTTTGAAACACTCTTTTTGTAGAATCTGCAAGAGGATATTTGCATAGCTTTGAGGATTTCGTGGGAAACGGGATTGTCTTCAGGTAAAATCTAGACAGAAGCATTCTCAGAAACTTCTTTGGGATGTTTGCATTCAAGTCACAGAGTAGAACATTCCCTTTGGTAGAGCAGGTTTGAAACACTCTTTTTGTAGTATCTGGAAGTGGACATTTGGAGCGCTTTCAGGCCCATGTTGGAAAGGGAAATATCTTCCCGTAACAACTAGGCAGAAGCATTCTCAGAAACTTATTTGAGATGTGTGTACTCAACTAAGAGAATTGAACCACCGTTTTGAAGGAGCAGTTTTGAAACACTCTTTTTCTGGAATCTGCAAGAGTATATTTGCCTAGCCTTGAGGATTTCGTTGGAAACGGGATTGTCTTCAGAGAAAATCTAGACAGAAGCATTCTCAGAAACTTCTTTGGGATGCTTGCATTCAAGTCACAGAGTAGAACATTCCCTTTGGTAGAGCAGGTTTGAAACACTCTTTTTGTAGTATCTGGAAGTGGACATTTGGAGCGCTTTCAGGCCTACGTTGGAAAAGGAAATATCTTCCCATAACAACTAGACAGAAGCATTCTCAGAAACTAGTTTCTGATGTGTGTCCTCAACTAACACAGTTGAACATTTCTTTAGACAGAACAGTTTTGAAACACTCTTTTTGTGGAATCTGCAAGTGGCTATTTGGCTAGATTTGAGGATTTCGTTGGAAACGGGATTACATATAAAAAGCAGTCAGCAGCATTCTCAGAAAGTTCTTTGTGATGATTGCATTCAAGTCACAGAATTGAACATTCCCTTTCACAGAGCAGGTTTGAAAGACTCTTTTTGTAGTGTGTGTAAGTGGACATTTGGAGCACTTACCGGCCTAAGGTGAAAAAGGAAATATCTTCCCATAAAAACTAGACAGAAGCATTCTCAGAAACTTACTCGTGATGTGTGTCCTCAACTAAAGGAGTAGAACCTTTCTTTTCATAGAGAAGTTTTGAAACGCTCTTTTTGTGGAATCTGCAAGTGGATATTTGGCTAGTTTTGAGGATTTCGTTGGAAGCGGGAATTCATACAAATTGCAGACTGCAGCGTTCTGAGAAACATCTTTGTGATGTTTGTATTCAGGACACAGAGTTGAACATTCCCTATCATAGAGCAGGTTTGAATCACTCCTTTTGTAGTATCTGGAAGTGGACATTTGGAGCGCTTTCAGGCCTATGTTGGAAAAGGAAATATCTTCCCATAACAACTAGACAGAAGCATTCTCAGAAACTTATTTGAGATGTGTGTACTCAACTAAGAGAATTGAACCACCGTTTTGAAGGAGCAGTTTTGAAACTCTCTTTTTCTGGAATCTGCAAGTGGATATTTGGCTAGCTTTGGGGATTTCGCTGGAAGCGGGAATACATATAAAAAGCACACAGCAGCGTTCTGAGAAACTGCTTTCTGATGTTTGCATTCAAGTCAAAAGTTGAACACTCCCTTTCATAGAGCAGTCCTGAAACACCCCTTTGGTAGTATCTGGAACTGGACTTTTGGAGCGATTTCAGGGCTAAGGTGAAAAAGGAAATATCTTCCCATAAAAACTGGACAGAAGCATTCTCAGAAACTTGTTTATGCTGTATCTACTCAACTAACAAAGTTGAACCTTTCTTTTGATAGAGCAGTTTTGAAATGGTCTTTTTGTGGAATCTGCAAGTGGATATTTGGCTAGTTTTGAGGATTTCGTTGGAAGCGGGAATTCATACAAATTGCAGACTGCAGCGTTCTGAGAAACATCTTTGTGATGTTTGTATTCAGGACACAGAGTTGAACATTCCCTATCATAGAGCAGGTTGGAATCACTCCTTTTGTAGTATCTGGAAGTGGACATTTGGAGCGCTTTCAGGCCTATTTTGGAAAGGGAAATATCTTCCCGTAACAACTATGCAGAAGCATTCTCAGAAACTTGTTTGTGATGTGTGCCCTCTACTGACAGAGTTGAACCTTTCTTTTCATAGAGCAGTTTTGAAACACTCTTTTTGTAGAATCTGCAAGAGGATATTTGCATAGCTTTGAGGATTTCGTGGGAAACGGGATTGTCTTCAGGTAAAATCTAGACAGAAGCATTCTCAGAAACTTCTTTGGGATGTTTGCATTCAAGTCACAGAGTAGAACATTCCCTTTGGTAGAGCAGGTTTGAAACACTCTTTTTGTAGTATCTGGAAGTGGACATTTGGAGCGCTTTCAGGCCCATGTTGGAAAGGGAAATATCTTCCCGTAACAACTAGGCAGAAGCATTCTCAGAAACTTATTTGAGATGTGTGTACTCAACTAAGAGAATTGAACCACCGTTTTGAAGGAGCAGTTTTGAAACACTCTTTTTCTGGAATCTGCAAGAGTATATTTGCCTAGCCTTGAGGATTTCGTTGGAAACGGGATTGTCTTCAGAGAAAATCTAGACAGAAGCATTCTCAGAAACTTCTTTGGGATGTTTGCATTCAAGTCACAGAGTAGAACATTCCCTTTGGTAGAGCAGGTTTGAAACACTCTTTTTGTAGTATCTGGAAGTGGACATTTGGAGCGCTTTCAGGCCTACGTTGGAAAAGGAAATATCTTCCCATAACAACTAGACAGAAGCATTCTCAGAAACTAGTTTCTGATGTGTGTCCTCAACTAACACAGTTGAACATTTCTTTAGACAGAACAGTTTTGAAACACTCTTTTTGTGGAATCTGCAAGTGGCTATTTGGCTAGATTTGAGGATTTCGTTGGAAACGGGATTACATATAAAAAGCAGTCAGCAGCATTCTCAGAAAGTTCTTTGTGATGATTGCATTCAAGTCACAGAATTGAACATTCCCTTTCACAGAGCAGGTTTGAAACACTCTTTTTATAGTGTGTGTAAGTGGACATTTGGAGCACTTACCGGCCTAAGGTGAAAAAGGAAATATCTTCCCATAAAAACTAGACAGAAGCATTCTCAGAAACTTACTCGTGATGTGTGTCCTCAACTAAAGGAGTAGAACCTTTCTTTTCATAGAGAAGTTTTGAAACGCTCTTTTTGTGGAATCTGCAAGTGGATATTTGGCTAGTTTTGAGGATTTCGTTGGAAGCGGGAATTCATACAAATTGCAGACTGCAGCGTTCTGAGAAACATCTTTGTGATGTTTGTATTCAGGACACAGAGTTGAACATTCCCTATCATAGAGCAGGTTGGAATCACTCCTTTTGTAGTATCTGGAAGTGGACATTTGGAGCGCTTTCAGGCCTATGTTGGAAAAGGAAATATCTTCCCATAACAACTAGACAGAAGCATTCTCAGAAACTTATTTGAGATGTGTGTACTCAACTAAGAGAATTGAACCACCGTTTTGAAGGAGCAGTTTTGAAACTCTCTTTTTCTGGAATCTGCAAGTGGATATTTGGCTAGCTTTGGGGATTTCGCTGGAAGCGGGAATACATATAAAAAGCACACAGCAGCGTTCTGAGAAACTGCTTTCTGATGTTTGCATTCAAGTCAAAAGTTGAACACTCCCTTTCATAGAGCAGTCTTGAAACACCCCTTTTGTAGTATCTGGAACTGGACTTTTGGAGCGATTTCAGGGCTAAGGTGAAAAAGGAAATATCTTCCCATAAAAACTGGACAGAAGCATTCTCAGAAACTTGGTTATGCTGTATCTACTCAACTAACAAAGTTGAACCTTTCTTTTGATAGAGCAGTTTTGAAATGGTCTTTTTGTGGAATCTGCAAGTGGATATTTGGCTAGTTTTGAGGATTTCGTTGGAAGCGGGAATTCATACAAATTGCAGACTGCAGCGTTCTGAGAAACATCTTTGTGATGTTTGTATTCAGGACACAGAGTTGAACATTCCCTATCATAGAGCAGGTTGGAATCACTCCTTTTGTAGTATCTGGAAGTGGACATTTGGAGCGCTTTCAGGCCTATTTTGGAAAGGGAAATATCTTCCCGTAACAACTATGCAGAAGCATTCTCAGAAACTTGTTTGTGATGTGTGCCCTCTACTGACAGAGTTGAACCTTTCTTTTCATAGAGCAGTTTTGAAACACTCTTTTTGTAGAATCTGCAAGAGGATATTTGCATAGCTTTGAGGATTTCGTGGGAAACGGGATTGTCTTCAGGTAAAATCTAGACAGAAGCATTCTCAGAAACATCTTTGGGATGTTTGCATTCAAGTCACAGAGTAGAACATTCCCTTTGGTAGAGCAGGTTTGAAACACTCTTTTTGTAGTATCTGGAAGTGGACATTTGGAGCGCTTTCAGGCCTATGATGGAAAGGGAAATATCTTCCCGTAACAACTAGGCAGAAGCATTCTCAGAAACTTATTTGAGATGTGTGTACTCAACTAAGAGAATTGAACCACCGTTTTGAAGGAGCAGTTTTGAAACACTCTTTTTCTGGAATCTGCAAGAGGATATTTGCCTAGCCTTGAGGATTTCGTTGGAAACGGGATTGTCTTCAGATCAAATCTAGACAGAAGCATTCTCAGAAACTTCTTTGGGATGTTTGCATTCAAGTCACAGAGTAGAACATTCCCTTTGGTAGAGCAGGTTTGAAACACTCTTTTTTTAGTATATGGAAGTGGACATTTGGAGCGCTTTCAGGCCTACGTTGGAAAAGGAAATATCTTCCCATAACAACTAGACAGAAGCATTCTCAGAAACTAGTTTCTGATGTGTGTCCTCAACTAACACAGTTGAATATTTCTTTAGACAGAACAGTTTTGAAACTCTCTTTTTGTGGAATCTGCAAGTGGCTATTTGGCTAGATTTGAGGATTTCGTTGGAAACGGGATTACATATAAAAAGCAGACAGCAGCATTCTCAGAATGTTCTTTGTGATGATTGCATTCAAGTCACAGAATTGAACATTCCCTTTCACAGAGCAGGTTTGAAACATTCTTTTTGTAGTGTGTGTAAGTGGACATTTGGAGCGCTTTCCGGCCTAAGGTGAAAAAGGAAATATCTTCCCATAAAAACTAGACAGAAGCATTCTCAGAAACTTACTCGTGATGTGTGTCCTCAACTAAAAGAGTAGAACCTTTCTATTCATAGAGAAGTTTTGAAACGCTCTTTTTGTGGAATCTCCAAGTGGATATTTGGCTAGTTTTGAGGATTTCGTTGGAAGCGGGAATTCATACAAATTGCAGACTGCAGCGTTCTGAGAAACATCTTTGTGATGTTTGTATTCAGGACACAGAGATGAACATTCCCTATCATAGAGCAGGTTGGAATCACTCCTTTTGTAGTATCTGGAAGTGGACATTTGGAGCGCTTTCAGGCCTATGTTGAAAAAGGAAATATCTTCCCATAACAACTAGACACAAGCATTCTCAGAAACTTGTTTGTGATGTGTGCCCTCTACTGACAGAGTTGAACCTTTCTTTTCATAGAGCAGTTTTGAAACACTCTTTTTGTAGAATCTGCAAGAGGATATTTGCATAGCTTTGAGGATTTCGTGGGAAACGGGATTGTCTTCAGGTAAAATCTAGACAGAAGCATTCTCAGAAACTTCTTTGGGATGTTTGCATTCAAGTCACAGAGTAGAACATTCCCTTTGGTAGAGCAGGTTTGAAACACTCTTTTTGTAGTATCTGGAAGTGGACATTTGGAGCGCTTTCAGGCCCATGTTGGAAAGGGAAATATCTTCCCGTAACAACTAGGCAGAAGCATTCTCAGAAACTTATTTGAGATGTGTGTACTCAACTAAGAGAATTGAACCACCGTTTTGAAGGAGCAGTTTTGAAACACTCTTTTTCTGGAATCTGCAAGAGTATATTTGCCTAGCCTTGAGGATTTCGTTGGAAACGGGATTGTCTTCAGATAAAATCTAGACAGAAGCATTCTCAGAAACTTCTTTGGGATGTTTGCATTCAAGTCACAGAGTAGAACATTCCCTTTGGTAGAGCAGGTTTTAAACACTCTTTTTTTAGTATATGGAAGTGGACATTTGGAGCGCTTTCAGGCCTACGTTGGAAAAGGAAATATCTTCCCATAACAACTAGACAGAAGCATTCTCAGAAACTAGTTTCTGATGTGTGTCGTCAACGAACACAAGTGAACATTTCTTTAGACAGAACAGTTTTGAAACACTCTCTTTGTGGAATCTGCAAGTGGATATTTGGCTAGATTTGAGGATTTCGTTGGAAACGGGATTACGTATAAAAAGCAGACAGCAGCATTCTCAGAAACTTCTTTGTGATGATTGCATTCAAGTCACAGAATTGAACATTCCCTTTCACAGAGCAGGTTTGAAACACTCTTTTTGTAGTGTGTGTAAGTGGACATTTGGAGCGCTTTCCGGCCTAAGGTGAACAAGGAAATATCTTCCCATAAAAACTAGACAGAAACATTCTCAGAAACTTACTCGTGATGTGTGTCCTCAACTAAAGGAGTAGAACCTTTCTTTTCATAGAGAAGTTTTGAAACGCTCTTTTTGTGGAATCTGCAAGTGGATATTTGGCTAGTTTTGAGGATTTCGTTGGAAGCGGGAATTCATACAAATTGCAGACTGCAGCGTTCTGAGAAACAGCTTTGTGATGTTTGTATTCAGGACACAGAGTTGAACGTTCCCTCTCATATAGCAGGTTTGAATACCTCCTTTTGTAGTATCTGGAAGTGGACATTTGGAGCGCTTTCAGGCCTATGTTGGAAAAGGAAATATCTTCCCATAAAAACTAGACAGAAGCATTCTCAGAAACTTATTTGAGATGTGTGTACTCAACTAAGAGAATTGAACCACCGTTTTGAAGGAGCAGTTTTGAAACTCTCTTTTTCTGGAATCTGCAAGTGGATATTTGGCTAGCTTTGGGGATTTCGCTGGAAGCGGGAATACATATAAAAAGCACACAGCAGCGTTCTGAGAAACTGCTTTCTGATGTTTGCATTCAAGTCAAAAGTTGAACACTCCCTTTCATAGAGCAGTCTTGAAACACCCCTTTTGTAGTATCTGGAACTGGACTTTTGGAGCGATTTCAGGGCTAAGGTGAAAAAGGAAATATCTTCCCATAAAAACTGGACAGAAGCATTCTCAGAAACTTGTTTATGCTGTATCTACTCAACTAACAAAGTTGAACCTTTCTTTTGATAGAGCAGTTTTGAAATGGTCTTTTTGTGGAATCTGCAAGTGGATATTTGGCTAGTTTTGAGGATTTCGTTGGAAGCGGGAATTCATACAAATTGCAGACTGCAGCGTTCTGAGAAACATCTTTGTGATGTTTGTATTCAGGACACAGAGTTGAACATTCCCTATCATAGAGCAGGTTGGAATCACTCCTTTTGTAGTATCTGGAAGTGGACATTTGGAGCGCTTTCAGGCCTATTTTGGAAAGGGAAATATCTTCCCGTAACAACTATGCAGAAGCATTCTCAGAAACTTGTTTGTGATGTGTGCCCTCTACTGACAGAGTTGAACCTTTCTTTTCATAGAGCAGTTTTGAAACACTCTTTTTGTAGAATCTGCAAGAGGATATTTGCATAGCTTTGAGGATTTCGTGGGAAACGGGATTGTCTTCAGGTAAAATCTAGACAGAAGCATTCTCAGAAACTTCTTTGGGATGTTTGCATTCAAGTCACAGAGTAGAACATTCCCTTTGGTAGAGCAGGTTTGAAACACTCTTTTTGTAGTATCTGGAAGTGGACATTTGGAGCGCTTTCAGGCCTATGTTGGAAAGGGAAATATCTTCCCGTAACAACTAGGCAGAAGCATTCTCAGAAACTTATTTGAGATATGTGTACTCAACTAAGAGAATTGAACCACCGTTTTGAAGGAGCAGTTTTGAAACACTCTTTTTCTGGAATCTGCAAGAGGATATTTGCCTAGCCTTGAGGATTTCGTTGGAAACGGGATTGTCTTCAGATCAAATCTAGACAGAAGCATTCTCACAAACTTCGTTGGGATGTTTGCATTCAAGTCACAGAGTAGAACATTCCCTTTGGTAGAGCAGGTTTGAAACACTCTTTTTTTAGTATATGGAAGTGGACATTTGGAGCGCTTTCAGGCCTACGTTGGAAAAGGAAATATCTTCCCATAACAACTAGACAGAAGCATTCTCAGAAACTAGTTTCTGATGTGTGTCCTCAACTAACACAGTTGAACATTTCTTTAGACAGAACAGTTTTGAAACACTCTTTTTGTGGAATCTGCAAGTGGCTATTTGGCTAGATTTGAGGATTTCGTTGGAAACGGGATTACATATAAAAAGCAGTCAGCAGCATTCTCAGAAAGTTCTTTGTGATGATTGCATTCAAGTCACAGAATTGAACATTCCCTTTCACAGAGCAGGTTTGAAACACTCTTTTTGTAGTGTGTGTAAGTGGACATTTGGAGCACTTACCGGCCTAAGGTGAAAAAGGAAATATCTTCCCATAAAAACTAGACAGAAGCATTCTCAGAAACTTACTCGTGATGTGTGTCCTCAACTAAAGTAGTAGAACCTTTCTTTTCATAGAGAAGTTTTGAAACGCTCTTTTTGTGGAATCTGCAAGTGGATATTTGGCTAGTTTTGAGGATTTCGTTGGAAGCGGGAATTCATACAAATTGCAGACTGCAGCGTTCTGAGAAACATCTTTGTGATGTTTGTATTCAGGACACAGAGTTGAACATTCCCTATCATAGAGCAGGTTTGAATCACTCCTTTTGTAGTATCTGGAAGTGGACATTTGGAGCGCTTTCAGGCCTATGTTGGAAAAGGAAATATCTTCCCATAACAACTAGACAGAAGCATTCTCAGAAACTTATTTGAGATGTGTCTACTCAACTAAGAGAATTGAACCACCGTTTTGAAGGAGCAGTTTTGAAACACTCTTTTTCTGGAATCTGCAAGTGGATATTTGGCTAGCTTTGGGGATTTCGCTGGAAGCGGGAATACATATAAAAAGCACACAGCAGCGTTCTGAGAAACTGCTTTCTGATGTTTGCGTTCAAGTCAAAAGTTGAACACTCCCTTTCATAGAGCAGTCTTGAAACACCCCTTTTGTAGTATCTGGAACTGGACTTTTGGAGCGATTTTAGGGCTAAGGTGAAAAAGGAAATATCTTCCCATAAAAACTGGACAGAAGCATTCTCAGAAACTTGTTTATGCTGTATCTACTCAACTAACAAAGTTGAACCTTTCTTTTGATAGAGCAGTTTTGAAATGGTCTTTTTGTGGAATCTGCAAGTGGATATTTGGCTAGTTTTGAGGATTTCGTTGGAAGCGGGAATTCATACAAATTGCAGACTGCAGCGTTATGAGAAACATCTTTGTGATGTTTGTATTCAGGACACAGAGTTGAACATTCCCTATCATAGAGCAGGTTGGAATCACTCCTTTTGTAGTATCTGGAAGTGGACATTTGGAGCGCTTTCAGGCCTATTTTGGACAGGGAAATATCTTCCCATAACAACTATGCAGAAGCATTCTCAGAAACTTGTTTGTGATGTGTGCCCTCTACTGACAGAGTTGAACCTTTCTTTTCTTAGAGCAGTTTTGAAACACTCTTTTTGTAGAATCTGCAAGAGGATATTTGCATAGCTTTGAGGATTTCGTGGGAAACGGGATTGTCTTCAGGTAAAATCTAGACAGAAGCATTCTCAGAAACTTCTTTGGGATGTTTGCATTCAAGACACAGAGTAGAACATTCCCTTTGGTAGAGCAGGTTTGAAACACTCTTTTTGTAGTATCTGGAAGTGGACATTTGGAGCGCTTTCAGGCCCATGTTGGAAAGGGAAATATCTTCCCGTAACAACTAGGCAGAAGCATTCTCAGAAACTTATTTGAGATGTGTGTACTCAACTAAGAGAATTGAACCACCGTTTTGAAGGAGCAGTTTTGAAACACTCTTTTTCTGGATTCTGCAAGAATATATTTGCCTAGCCTTGAGGATTTCGTTGGAAACGGGATTGTCTTCAGATAAAATCTAGACAGAAGCATTCTCAGAAACTTCTTTGGGATGTTTGCATTCAAGTCACAGAGTAGAACATTCCCTTTGGTAGAGCAGGTTTGAAACACTCTTTTTTTAGTATATGGAAGTGGACATTTTGATCGCTTTCAGGGCCTACGTTGGAAAAGGAAATATCTTCCCATAACAACTAGACAGAAGCATTCTCAGAAACTAGTTTCTGATGTGTGTCCTCAACTAACACAGTTGAACATTTCTTTAGACAGAACAGTTTTGAAACACTCTTTTTGTGGAATCTGCAAGTGGCTATTTGGCTAGATTTGAGGATTTCGTTGGAAACGGGATTACATATAAAAAGCAGTCAGCAGCATTCTCAGAAAGTTCTTTGTGATGATTGCATTCAAGTCACAGAATTGAACATTCCCTTTCACAGAGCAGGTTTGAAACACTCTTTTTGTAGTGTGTGTAAGTGGACATTTGGAGCACTTTCCGGCCTAAGGTGAAAAAGGAAATATATTCCCATAAAAACTAGACAGAAGCATTCTCAGAAACTTACTCGTGATGTGTGTCCTCAACTAAAGGAGTAGAACCTTTCTTTTCATAGAGAAGTTTTGAAACGCTCTTTTTGTGGAATCTGCAAGTGGATATTTGGCTAGTTTGGAGGATTTCGTTGGAAGCGGGAATTCATACAAATTGCAGACTGCAGCGTTCTGAGAAACATCTTTGTGATGTTTGTATTCAGGACACAGAGTTGAACATTCCCTATCATAGAGCAGGTTGGAATCACTCCTTTTGTAGTATCTGGAAGTGGACATTTGGAGCGCTTTCAGGCCTATGTTGGAAAAGGAAATATCTTCCCATAACAACTAGACAGAAGCATTCTCAGAAACTTATTTGAGATGTGTGTACTCAACTAAGAGAATTGAACCACCGTTTTGAAGGAGCAGTTTTGAAACACTCTTTTTCTGGAATCTGCAAGTGGATATTTGGCTAGCTTTGGGGATTTCGCTGGAGGCGGGAATACATATAAAAAGCACACAGCAGCGTTCTGAGAAACTGCTTTCTGATGTTTGCATTCAAGTCAAAAGTTGAACACTCCCTTTCATAGAGCAGTCCTGAAACACTCCTTTTGTAGTATCTGGAACTGGACTTTTGGAGCGCTTTCAGGGCTAAGGTGAAAAAGGAAATATCTTCCCATAAAAACTGGACAGAAGCATTCTCAGAAACTTGTTTATGCTGTATCTACTCAACTAACAAAGTTGAACTTTTCTTTTGATAGAGCAGTTTTGAAATGCTCTTTTTGTGGAATCTGCAAGTGGATATTTGGCTAGTTTTGAGGATTTCGTTGGAAGCGGGAATTCATACAAATTGCAGACTGCAGCGTTCTGAGAAACATCTTTGTGATGTTTGTATTCAGGACAGAGAGTTGAACATTCCGTATCATAGAGCAGGTTGGAATCACTCCTTTTGTAGTATCTGGAAGTGGACATTTGGAGCGCTTTCAGGCCTATGTTGAAAAAGGAAATATCTTCCCATAACAACTAGACACAAGCATTCTCAGAAACTTGTTTGTGATGTGTGCCCTCTACTGACAGAGTTGAACCTTTCTTTTCATAGAGCAGTTTTGAAACACTCTTTTTGTAGAATCCGCAAGAGGATATTTGCATAGCTTTGAGGATTTCGTGGGAAACGGGATTGTCTTCAGGTAAAATCTAGACAGAAGCATTCTCAGGAACTTCTTTGGGATGTTTGCATTCAAGTCACAGAGTAGAACATTCCCTTTGGTAGAGCAGGTTTGAAACACTCTTTTTGTAGTATCTGGAAGTGGACATTTGGAGCGCTTTCAGGCCTATGTTGGAAAGGGAAATATCTTCCCGTAACAACTAGGCAGAAGCATTCTCAGAAACTTATTTGAGATGTGTGTACTCAACTAAGAGAATTGAACCACCGTTTTGAAGGAGCAGTTTTGAAACCCTCTTTTTCTGGAATCTGCAAGAGTATATTTGCCTAGCCTTGAGGATTTCGTTGGAAACGGGATTGTCTTCAGATAAAATCTAGACAGAAGCATTCTCAGAAACTTCTTTGGGATGTTTGCATTCAAGTCACAGAGTAGAACATTCCCTTTGGTAGAGCAGGTTTGAAACACTTTTTTTTTAGTATATGGAAGTGGACATTTGGAGCGCTTTCAGGCCTACGTTGGAAAAGGAAATATCTTCCCATAACAACTAGACAGAAGCATTCTCAGAAACTAGTTTCTGATGTGTGTCCTCAACTAACACAGTTGAACTTTTCTTTAGACAGAACAGTTTTGAAACACTCTTTTTGTGGAATCTGCAAGTGGATATTTGGCTAGATTTGAGGATTTCGTTGGAAACGGGATTACATATAAAAAGCAGACAGCAGCATTCTCAGAAAGTTCTTTGTGATGATTGCATTCAAGTCACAGAATTGAACATTCCCTTTCACAGAGCAGGTTTGAAACACTCTTTTTGTAGTGTGTGTAAGTGGACATTTGGAGCGCTTTCCGGCCTAAGGTGAAAAAGGACATATCTTCCCATAAAAACTAGACAGAAGCATTCTCAGAAACTTACTCGTGATGTGTGTCCTCAACTAAAGGAGTAGAACCTTTCTTTTCATAGAGAAGTTTTGAAACGCTCTTTTTGTGGAATCTGCAAGTGGATATTTGGCTAGTTTTGAGGATTTCGTTGGAAGCGGGAATTCATACAAATTGCAGACTGCAGCGTTCTGAGAAACATCTTTGTGATGTTTGTATTCAGGACACAGAGTTGAACATTCCCTATCATAGAGCAGGTTGGAATCACTCCTTTTGTAGTATCTGGAAGTGGACATTTGGAGCGCTTTCAGGCCTATGTTGAAAAAGGAAATATCTTCCCATAACAACTAGACACAAGCATTCTCAGAAACTTATTTGAGATGTGTGTACTCAACTAAGAGAATTGAACCACCGTTTTGAAGGAGCAGTTTTGAAACACTCTTTTTCTGGAATCTGCAAGTGGATATTTGGCTAGCTTTGGGGATTT
This sequence comes from Homo sapiens, assembly GCF_000001405.40. Classification (NCBI taxonomy): domain Eukaryota; kingdom Metazoa; phylum Chordata; class Mammalia; order Primates; family Hominidae; genus Homo; species Homo sapiens. The sequence goes on from NC_000018.10 coordinate 17,467,746, forward strand.
CGCTGGAAGCGGGAATACATATAAAAAGCACACAGCAGCGTTCTGAGAAACTGCTTTCTGATGTTTGCATTCAAGTCAAAAGTTGAACACTCCCTTTCATAGAGCAGTCCTGAAACACTCCTTTTGTAGTATCTGGAACTGGACTTTTGGAGCGCTTTCAGGGCTAAGGTGAAAAAGGAAATATCTTCCCATAAAAACTGGACAGAAGCATTCTCAGAAACTTTTTTATGCTGTATCTACTCAACTAACAAAGTTGAACCTTTCTTTTGATAGAGCAGTTTTGAAATGCTCTTTTTGTGGAATCTGCAAGTGGATATTTGGCTAGTTTTGAGGATTTCGTTGGAAGCGGGAATTCATACAAATTGCAGACTGCAGCGTTCTGAGAAACATCTTTGTGATGTTTGTATTCAGGACAGAGAGTTGAACATTCCCTATCATAGAGCAGGTTGGAATCACTCCTTTTGTAGTATCTGGAAGTGGACATTTGGAGCGCTTTCTGGCCTATGTTGAAAAAGGAAATATCTTCCCATAACAACTAGACACAAGCATTCTCAGAAACTTGTTTGTGATGTGTGCCCTCTACTGACAGAGTTGAACCTTTCTTTTCATAGAGCAGTTTTGAAACACTCTTTTTGTAGAATCTGCAAGAGGATATTTGCATAGCTTTGAGGATTTCGTGGGAAACGGGATTGTCTCAGGAAAAATCTAGACAGAAGCATTCTCAGAAACTTCTTTGGGATGTTTGCATTCAAGTCACAGAGTAGAACATTCCCTTTGGTAGAGCAGGTTTCAAACACTCTTTTTGTAGTATCTGGAAGTGGACATTTGGAGCGCTTTCAGGCCTATGTTGGAAAGGGAAATATCTTCCCGTAACAACAAGGCAGAAGCATTCTCAGAAACTTATTTGAGATGTGTGTACTCAACTAAGAGAATTGAACCACCGTTTTGAAGGAGCAGTTTTGAAACACTCTTTTTCTGGAATCTGCAAGAGGATATTTGCCTAGCCTTGAGGATTTCGTTGGAAACGGGATTGTCTTCAGATAAAATCTAGACAGAAGCATTCTCAGAAACTTCTTTGGGATGTTTGCATTCAAGTCACAGAGTAGAACATTCCCTTTGGTAGAGCAGGTTTGAAACACTCTTTTTTTAGTATATGGAAGTGGACATTTGGAGCGCTTTCAGGCCTACGTTGGAAAAGGAAATATCTTCCCATAACAACTAGACAGAAGCATTCTCAGAAACTAGTTTCTGATGTGTGTCCTCAACTAACACAGTTGAACATTTCTTTAGACAGAACAGTTTTGAAACATTCTTTTTGTGGAATCTGCAAGTGGATATTTGGCTAGATTTGAGGATTTCGTTGGAAACGGGATTACATATAAAAAGCAGACAGCAGCATTCTCAGAAACTTGTTTGTGATGATTGCATTCAAGTCACAGAATTGAACATTCCCTTTCACAGAGCAGGTTTGAAACACTCTTTTTGTAGTGTGTGTAAGTGGACATTTGGAGCGCTTTCCGGCCTAAGGTGAACAAGGAAATATCTTCCCATAAAAACTATACAGAAGCATTCTCAGAAACTTACTCGTGATGTGTGTCCTCAACTAAAGGAGTAGAACCTTTCTTTTCATAGAGAAGTTTTGAAACGCTCTTTTTGTGGAATCTGCAAGTGGATATTTGGCTAGTTTGGAGGATTTCGTTGGAAGCGGGAATTCATACAAATTGCAGACTGCAGCGTTCTGAGAAACATCTTTGTGATGTTTGTATTCAGGACACAGAGTTGAACGTTCCCTATCATAGAGCAGGTTTGAATCACTCCTTTTGTAGTATCTGGAAGTGGACATTTGGAGCGCTTTCCGGCCTCAGGTGAAAAAGGAAATATCTTCCCATAAAAACTAGACAGAAGCATTCTCAGAAACTTATTTGAGATGTGTGTACTCAACTAAGAGAATTGAACCACCGTTTTGAAGGAGCAGTTTTGAAACACTCTTTTTCTGGAATCTGCAAGTGGATATTTGGCTAGCTTTGGGGATTTCGCTGGAAGCGGGAATACATATAAAAAGCACACAGCAGCGTTCTGAGAAACTGCTTTCTGATGTTTGCATTCAAGTCAAAAGTTGAACACTCCCTTTCATAGAGCAGTCTTGAAACACCCCTTTTGTAGTATCTGGAACTGGACTTTTGGAGCGATTTCAGGGCTAAGGTGAAAAAGGAAATATCTTCCCATAAAAACTGGACAGAAGCATTCTCAGAAACTTGGTTATGCTGTATCTACTCAACTAACAAAGTTGAACCTTTCTTTTGATAGAGCAGTTTTGAAATGGTCTTTTTGTGGAATCTGCAAGTGGATATTTGGCTAGTTTTGAGGATTTCGTTGGAAGCGGGAATTCATACAAATTGCAGACTGCAGCGTTCTGAGAAACATCTTTGTGATGTTTGTATTCAGGACACAGAGTTGAACATTCCCTATCATAGAGCAGGTTGGAATCACTCCTTTTGTAGTATCTGGAAGTGGACATTTGGAGCGCTTTCAGGCCTATTTTGGAAAGGGAAATATCTTCCCGTAACAACTATGCAGAAGCATTCTCAGAAACTTGTTTGTGATGTGTGCCCTCTACTGACAGAGTTGAACCTTTCTTTTCATAGAGCAGTTTTGAAACACTCTTTTTGTAGAATCTGCAAGAGGATATTTGCATAGCTTTGAGGATTTCGTGGGAAACGGGATTGTCTTCAGGTAAAATCTAGACAGAAGCATTCTCAGAAACTTCTTTGGGATGTTTGCATTCAAGTCACAGAGTAGAACATTCCCTTTGGTAGAGCAGGTTTGAAACACTCTTTTTGTAGTGTCTGGAAGTGGACATTTGGAGCGCTTTCAGGCCCATGTTGGAAAGGGAAATATCTTCCCGTAACAACTAGGCAGAAGCATTCTCAGAAACTTATTTGAGATGTGTGTACTCAACTAAGAGAATGGAACCACCGTTTTGAAGGAGCAGTTTTGAAACACTCTTTTTCTGGAAACTGCAAGAGTATATTTGCCTAGCCTTGAAGATTTCGTTGGAAACGGGATTGTCTTCAGATAAAATCTAGACAGAAAGCATTCTCAGAAAACTTCTTTGGGATGTTTGCATTCAAGTCACAGAGTAGAACATTCCCTTTGGTAGAGCAGGTGTGAAACACTCTTTTTTTAGTATATGGAAGTGGACATTTGGAGCGCTTTCAGGCCTACGTTGGAAAAGGAAATATCTTCCCATAACAACTAGACAGAAGCATTCTCAGAAACTAGTTTCTGATGTGTGTCCTCAACTAACACAGTTGAACTTTTCTTTAGACAGAACAGTTTTGAAACACTCTTTTTGTGGAATCTGCAAGTGGATATTTGGCTAGATTTGAGGATTTCGTTGGAAACGGGATTACATATAAAAAGCAGACAGCAGCATTCTCAGAAAACTTCTTTGTGATGATTGCATTCAAGTCACAGTATTGAACATTCCCTTTCACAGAGCAGGTTTGAAACACTCTTTTTGTAGTGTGTGTAAGTGGACATTTGGAGCGCTTTCCGGCCTAAGGTGAACAAGGAAATATCTTCCCATAAAAACTAGACAGAAGCATTCTCAGAAACTTACTCGTGATGTGTGTCCTCAACTAAAGGAGTAGAACCTTTCTTTTCATAGAGAAGTTTTGAAACGCTCTTTTTGTGGAATCTGCAAGTGGATATTTGGCTAGTTTGGAGGATTTCGTTGGAAGCGGGAATTCATACAAGATGCAGACTGCAGCGTTCTGAGAAACATCTTTGTGATGTTTGTATTCAGGACACAGAGTTGAACATTCCCTATCATAGAGCAGGTTTGAATCACTCCTTTTGTAGTATCTGGAAGTGGACATTTGGAGCGCTTTCAGGCCTATGTTGGAAAAGGAAATATCTTCCCATAACAACTAGACAGAAGCATTCCCAGAAACTTATTTGAGATGTGTGTACTCAACTAAGAGAATTGAACCACCGTTTTGAAGGAGCAGTTTGGAAACACTCTTTTTCTGGAATCTGCAAGTGGATATTTGGCTAGCTTTGGGGATTTCGCTGGAAGCGGGAATACATATAAAAAGCACACAGCAGCGTTCTGAGAAACTGCTTTCTGATGTTTGCATTCAAGTCAAAAGTTGAACACTCCCTTTCATAGAGCAGTCTTGAAACACCCCTTTTGTAGTATCTGGAACTGGAAATTTGGAGCGCTTTCAGGGCTAAGGTGAAAAAGGAAATATCTTCCCATAAAAACTGGACAGAAGCATTCTCAGAAACTTGTTTATGCTGTATCTACTCAACTAACAAAGTTGAACCTTTCTTTTGATAGAGCAGTTTTGAAATGCTCTTTTTGTGGAATCTGCAAGTGGATATTTGGCTAGTTTTGAGGATTTCGTTGGAAGCGGGAATTCATACAAATTGCAGACTGCAGCGTTCTGAGAAACATCTTTGTGATGTTTGTATTCAGGACAGAGAGTTGAACATTCCCTATCATAGAGCAGGTTGGAATCACTCCTTTTGTAGTATCTGGAAGTGGACATTTGGAGCGCTTTCAGGCCTATGTTGAAAAAGGAAATATCTTCCCATAACAACTAGACACAAGCATTCTCAGAAACTTGTTTGTGATGTGTGCCCTCTACTGACAGAGTTGAACCTTTCTTTTCATAGAGCAGTTTTGAAACACTCTTTTTGTAGAATCTGCAAGAGGATATTTGCATAGCTTTGAGGATTTCGTGGGAAACGGGATTGTCTTCAGGTAAAATCTAGACAGAAGCATTCTCAGAAACTTCTTTGGGATGTTTGCATTCAAGTCACAGAGTAGAACATTCCCTTTGGTAGAGCAGGTTTGAAACACTCTTTTTGTAGTATCTGGAAGTGGACATTTGGAGCGCTTTCAGGCCTATGTTGGAAAGGGAAATATCTTCCCGTAACAACTAGGCAGAAGCATTCTCAGAAAATTATTTGAGATGTGTGTACTCAACTAAGAGTATTGAACCACCGTTTTGAAGGAGCAGTTTTGAAACCCTCTTTTTCTGGAATCTGCAAGAGTATATTTGCCTAGCCTTGAGGATTTCGTTGGAAACGGGATTGTCTTCAGATAAAATCTAGACAGAAGCATTCTCAGAAACTTCTTTGGGATGTTTGCATTCAAGTCACAGAGTAGAACATTCCCTTTGGTAGAGCAGGTTTGAAACACTCTTTTTTTAGTATATGGAAGTGGACATTTGGAGCGCTTTCAGGCCTACGTTGGAAAAGGAAATATCTTCCCATAACAACTAGACAGAAGCATTCTCAGAAACTAGTTTCTGATGTGTGTCCTCAACAAACACAGTTGAACATTTCTTTAGACAGAACAGTTTTGAAACACTCTTTTTGTGGAATCTGCAAGTGGCTATTTGGCTAGATTTGAGGATTTCGTTGGAAACGGGATTACATATAAAAAGCAGACAGCAGCATTCTCAGAAACTTCTTTGTGATGATTGCATTCAAGTCACAGAATTGAACATTCCCTTTCACAGAGCAGGTTTGAAACACTCTTTTTGTAGTGTGTGTAAGTGGACATTTGGAGCACTTTCCGGCCTAAGGTGAAAAAGGAAATATCTTCCCATATAAACTAGACAGAAGCATTCTCAGAAACTTACTCGTGATGTGTGTCCTCAACTAAAGGAGTAGAACCTTTCTTTTCATAGAGAAGTTTTGAAACGCTCTTTTTGTGGAATCTGCAAGTGGATATTTGGCTAGTTGTGAGGATTTCGTTGGAAGCGGGAATTCATACAAATTGCAGACTGCAGCGTTCTGAGAAACATCTTTGTGATGTTTGTATTCAGGACACAGAGTTGAACATTCCCTATCATAGAGCAGGTTTGAATCACTCCTTTTGTAGTATCTGGAAGTGGACATTTGGAGCGCTTTCAGGCCTATGTTGGAAAAGGAAATATCTTCCCATAACAACTAGACAGAAGCATTCTCAGAAACTTATTTGAGATGTGTGTACTCAACTAAGAGAATTGAACCACCGTTTTGAAGGAGCAGTTTTGAAACACTCTTTTTCTGGAATCTGCAAGTGGATATTTGGCTAGCTTTGGGGATTTCGCTGGAAGCGGGAATACATATAAAAAGCACACAGCAGCGTTCTGAGAATCTGCTTTCTGATGTTTGCATTCAAGTCAAAAGTTGAACACTCCCTTTCATAGAGCAGTCTTGAAACACCCCTTTTGTAGTATCTGGAACTGGACATTTGGGGCGCTTTCAGGGCTAAGGTGAAAAAGGAAATATCTTCCCATAAAAACTGGACAGAAGCATTCTCAGAAACTTGTTTATGCTGTATCTACTCAACTAACAAAGTTGAACCTTTCTTTTGATAGAGCAGTTTTGAAATGGTCTTTTTGTGGAATCTGCAAGTGGATATTTGGCTAGTTTTGAGGATTTCGTTGGAAGCGGGAATTCATACAAATTGCAGACTGCAGCGTTCTGAGAAACATCTTTGTGATGTTTGTATTCAGGACACAGAGTTGAACATTCCCTATCATAGAGCAGGTTGGAATCACTCCTTTTGTAGTATCTGGAAGTGGACATTTGGAGCGCTTTCAGGCCTATTTTGGAAAGGGAAATATCTTCCCGTAACAACTATGCAGAAGCATTCTCAGAAACTTGTTTGTGATGTTGTGCCCTCTACTGACAGAGTTGAACCTTTCTTTTCATAGAGCAGTTTTGAAACACACTTTTTGTAGAATCTGCAAGAGGATATTTGCATAGCTTTGAGGATTTCGTGGGAAACGGGATTGTCTTCAGGTAAAATCTAGACAGAAGCATTCTCAGAAACTTCTTTGGGATGTTTGCATTCAAGTCACAGAGTAGAACATTCCCTTTGGTAGAGCAGGTTTGAAACACTCTTTTTGTAGTATCTGGAAGTGGACATTTGGAGCGCTTTCAGGCCCATGTTGGAAAGGGAAATATCTTCCCGTAACAACTAGGCAGAAGCATTCTCAGAAACTTATTTGAGATGTGTGTACTCAACTAAGAGAATTGAACCACCGTTTTGAAGGAGCAGTTTTGAAACACTCTTTTTCTGGAATCTGCAAGAGTATATTTGCCTAGCCTTGAGGATTTCGTTGGAAACGGGATTGTCTTGAGATAAAATCTAGACAGAAGCATTCTCAGAAACTTCTTTGGGATGTTTGCATTCAAGTCACAGAGTAGAACATTCCCTTTGGTAGAGCAGGTTTGAAACACTCTTTTTTTAGTATATGGAAGTGGACATTTGGAGCGCTTTCAGGCCTACGTTGGAAAAGGAAATATCTTCCCATAACAACTAGACAGAAGCATTCTCAGAAACTAGTTTCTGATGTGTGTCCTCAACTAACACAGTTGAACTTTTCTTTAGACAGAACAGTTTTGAAACACTCTTTTTGTGGAATCTGCAAGTGGATATTGGGCTAGATTTGAGGATTTCGTTGGAAACGGGATTACATATAAAAAGCAGACAGCAGCATTCTCAGAAAGTTCTTTGTGATGATTGCATTCAAGTCACAGAATTGAACATTCCCTTTCACAGAGCAGGTTTGAAACACTCTTTTTGTAGTGTGTGTAAGTGGACATTTGGAGCGCTTTCCGGCCTAAGGTGAAAAAGGACATATCTTCCCATAAAAACTAGACAGAAGCATTCTCAGAAACTTACTCGTGATGTGTGTCCTCAACTAAAGGAGTAGAACCTTTCTATTCATAGAGAAGTTTTGAAACGCTCTTTTTGTGGAATCTCCAAGTGGATATTTGGCTAGTTTTGAGGATTTCGTTGGAAGCGGGAATTCATCCAAATTGCAGACTGCAGCGTTCTGAGAAACATCTTTGTGATGTTTGTATTCAGGACACAGAGATGAACATTCCCTATCATAGAGCAGGTTGGAATCACTCCTTTTGTAGTATCTGGAAGTGGACATTTGGAGCGCTTTCAGGCCTATGTTGAAAAAGGAAATATCTTCCCATAACAACTAGACACAAGCATTCTCAGAAACTTGTTTGTGATGTGTGCCCTCTACTGACAGAGTTGAACCTTTCTTTTCATAGAGCAGTTTTGAAACACTCTTTTTGTAGAATCTGCAAGAGGATATTTGCATAGATTTGAGGATTTCGTGGGAAACGGGATTGTCTTCAGGTAAAATCTAGACAGAAGCATTCTCAGAAACTTCTTTGGGATGTTTGCATTCAAGTCACAGAGTAGAACATTCCCTTTGGTAGAGCAGGTTTGAAACACTCTTTTTGTAGTATCTGGAAGTGGACATTTGGAGCGCTTTCAGGCCCATGTTGGAAAGGGAAATATCTTCCCGTAACAACTAGGCAGAAGCATTCTCAGAAACTTATTTGAGATGTGTGTACTCAACTAAGAGAATTGAACCACCGTTTTGAAGGAGCAGTTTTGAAACCCTCTTTTTCTGGAATCTGCAAGAGTATATTTGCCTAGCCTTGAGGATTTCGTTGGAAACGGGATTGTCTTCAGATAAAATCTAGACAGAAGCATTCTCAGAAACTTCTTTGGGATGTTTGCATTCAAGTCACAGAGTAGAACATTCCCTTTGGTAGAGCAGGTTTGAAACACTCTTTTTTTAGTATATGGAAGTGGACATTTGGAGCGCTTTCAGGCCTACGTTGGAAAAGGAAATATCTTCCCATAACAACTAGACAGAAGCATTCTCAGAAACTAGTTTCTGATGTGTGTCCTCAACTAACACAGTTGTACATTTCTTTATACAGAACAGTTTTGAAACACTCTTTTTGTGGAATCTGCAAGTGGATATTGGGCTAGATTTGAGGATTTCGTTGGAAACGGGATTACATATAAAAAGCAGACAGCAGCATTCTCAGAAAGTTCTTTGTGATGATTGCATTCAAGTCACAGAATTGAACATTCCCTTTCACAGAGCAGGTTTGAAACACTCTTTTTGTAGTGTGTGTAAGTGGACATTTGGAGCGCTTTCCGGCCTAAGGTGAAAAAGGAAATATCTTCCCATAAAAACTAGACAGAAGCATTCTCAGAAACTTACTCGTGATGTGTGTCCTCAACTAAAGGAGTAGAACCTTTCTATTCATAGAGAAGTTTTGAAACGCTCTTTTTGTGGAATCTCCAAGTGGATATTTGGCTAGTTTTGAGGATTTCGTTGGAAGCGGGAATTCATCCAAATTGCAGACTGCAGCGTTCTGAGAAACATCTTTGTGATGTTTGTATTCAGGACACAGAGATGAACATTCCCTATCATAGAGCAGGTTGGAATCACTCCTTTTGTAGTATCTGGAAGTGGACATTTGGAGCGCTTTCAGGCCTATGTTGAAAAAGGAAATATCTTCCCATAACAACTAGACACAAGCATTCTCAGAAACTTGTTTGTGATGTGTGCCCTCTACTGACAGAGTTGAACCTTTCTTTTCATAGAGCAGTTTTGAAACACTTTTTGTAGAATCCGCAAGAGGATATTTGCATAGCTTTGAGGATTTCGTGGGAAACGGGATTGTCTTCAGGTAAAATCTAGACAGAAGCATTCTCAGAAACTTCTTTGGGATGTTTGCATTCAAGTCACAGAGTAGAACATTCCCTTTGGTAGAGCAGGTTTGAAACACTCTTTTTGTAGTATCTGGAAGTGGACATTTGGAGCGCTTTCAGGCCCATGTTGGAAAGGGAAATATCTTCCCGTAACAACTAGGCAGAAGCATTCTCAGAAACTTATTTGAGATGTGTGTACTCAACTAAGAGAATTGAACCACCGTTTTGAAGGAGCAGTTTTGAAACACTCTTTTTCTGGAATCTGCAAGAGTATATTTGCCTAGCCTTGAGGATTTCGTTGGAAACGGGATTGTCTTCAGAGAAAATCTAGACAGAAGTATTCTCAGAAACTTCTTTGGGATGTTTGCATTCAAGTCACAGAGTAGAACATTCCCTTTGGTAGAGCAGGTTTGAAACACTCTTTTTGTAGTATCTGGAAGTGGACATTTGGAGCGCTTTCAGGCCTACGTTGGAAAAGGAAATATCTTCCCATAACAACTAGACAGAAGCATTCTCAGAAACTAGTTTCTGATGTGTGTCCTCAACTAACACAGTTGAACATTTCTTTAGACAGAACAGTTTTGAAACACTCTTTTTGTGGAATCTGCAAGTGGCTATTTGGCTAGATTTGAGGATTTCGTTGGAAACGGGATTACATATAAAAAGCAGTCAGCAGCATTCTCAGAAAGTTCTTTGTGATGATTGCATTCAAGTCACAGAATTGAACATTCCCTTTCACAGAGCAGGTTTGAAACACTCTTTTTGTAGTGTGTGTAAGTGGACATTTGGAGCGCTTTCCGGCCTAAGGTGAAAAAGGACATATCTTCCCATAAAAACTAGACAGAAGCATTCTCAGAAACTTACTCGTGATGTGTGTCCTCAACTAAAGGAGTAGAACCTTTCTTTTCATAGAGAAGTTTTGAAACGCTCTTTTTGTGGAATCTGCAAGTGGATATTTGGCTAGTTTGGAGGATTTCGTTGGAAGCGGGAATTCATACAAATTGCAGACTGCAGCGTTCTGAGAAACATCTTTGTGATGTTTGTATTCAGGACACAGAGTTGAACATTCCCTATCATAGAGCAGGTTGGAATCACTCCTTTTGTAGTATCTGGAAGTGGACATTTGGAGCGCTTTCAGGCCTATGTTGGAAAAGGAAATATCTTCCCATAACCACTAGACAGAAGCATTCTCAGAAACTTATTTGAGATGTGTGTACTCAACTAAGAGAATTGAACCACCGTTTTGAAGGAGCAGTTTTGAAACACTCTTTTTCTGGAATCTGCAAGTGGATATTTGGCTAGCTTTGGGGATTTCGCTGGAAGCGGGAATACATATAAAAAGCACACAGCAGCGTTCTGAGAAACTGCTTTCTGATGTTTGCATTCAAGTCAAAAGTTGAACACTCCCTTTCATAGAGCAGTCTTGAAACACCCCTTTTGTAGTATCTGGAACTGGACATTTGGAGCGCTTTCAGGGCTAAGGTGAAAAAGGAAATATCTTCCCATAAAAACTGGACAGAAGCATTCTCAGAAACTTGTTTATGCTGTATCTACTCTACTAACAAAGTTGAACCTTTCTTTTGATAGAGCAGTTTTGAAATGCTCTTTTTGTGGAATCTGCAAGTGGATATTTGGCTAGTTTTGAGGATTTCGTTGGAAGCTGGAATTCATAAAAATTGCAGACTGCAGCGTTCTGAGAAACATCTTTGTGATGTTTGTATTCAGGACACAGAGTTGAACATTCCCTATCATAGAGCAGGTTGGAATCACTCCTTTTGCAGTATCTGGAAGTGGACATTTGGAGCGCTTTCAGGCCTATTTTGGAAAGGGAAATATCTTCCCGTAACAACTAGGCAGAAGCATTCTCTGAAACTTATTTGAGATGTGTGTACTCAACTAAGAGAATTGAACCACCGTTTTGAAGGAGCAGTTTTGAAACACTCTTTATCTGGAATCTGCTAGAGGATATTTGCCTAGCTTTGAGGATTTCGTTGGAAACGGGATTGTCTTCAGATCAAATCTAGACAGAAGCATTCTCAGAAACTTCTTTGGGATGTTTGCATTCAAGTCACAGAGTAGAACATTCCCTTTGGTAGAGCAGGTTTGAAACACTCTTTTTTTAGTATATGGAAGTGGACATTTGGAGCGCTTTCAGGCCTACGTTGGAAAAGGAAATATCTTCCCATAACAACTAGACAGAAGCATTCTCAGAAACTAGTTTGTGATGTGTGTCCTCAACTAACACAGTTGTACATTTCTTTAGACAGAACAGTTTTGAAACACTCTTTTTGTGGAATCTGCAAGTGGATATTGGGCTAGATTTGAGTATTTCGTTGGAAACGGGATTACATATAAAAAGCAGTCAGCAGCATTCTCAGAAAGTTCTTTGTGATGATTGCATTCAAGTCACAGAATTGAACATTCCCTTTCACAGAGCAGGTTTGAAACACTCTTTTTGTAGTGTGTGTAAGTGGACATTTGGAGCGCTTTCCGGCCTAAGGTGAAAAAGGACATATCTTCCCATAAAAACTAGACAGAAGCATTCTCAGAAACTTACTCGTGATGTGTGTCCTCAACTAAAGGAGTAGAACCTTTCTATTCATAGAGAAGTTTTGAAACGCTCTTTTTGTGGAATCTCCAAGTGGATATTTGGCTAGTTTTGAGGATTTCGTTGGAAGCGGGAATTCATACAAATTGCAGACTGCAGCGTTCTGAGAAACATCTTTGTGATGTTTGTATTCAGGACACAGAGATGAACATTCCCTATCATAGAGCAGGTTGGAATCACTCCTTTTGTAGTATCTGGAAGTGGACATTTGGAGCGCTTTCAGGCCTATGTTGAAAAAGGAAATATCTTCCCATAACAACTAGACACAAGCATTCTCAGAAACTTGTTTGTGATGTGTGCCCTCTACTGACAGAGTTGAACCTTTCTTTTCATAGAGCAGTTTTGAAACACTCTTTTTGTAGAATCCGCAAGAGGATATTTGCATAGCTTTGAGGATTTCGTGGGAAACGGGATTGTCTTCAGGTAAAATGTAGACAGAAGCATTCTCAGAAACTTCTTTGGGATGTTTGCATTCAAGTCACAGAGTAGAACATTCCCTTTGGTAGAGCAGGTTTGAAACACTCTTTTTGTAGTATCTGGAAGTGGACATTAGGAGCGCTTTCAGGCCCATGTTGGAAAGGGAAATATCTTCCCGTAACAACTAGGCAGAAGCATTCTCAGAAACTTATTTGAGATGTGTGTACTCAACTAAGAGAATTGAACCACCGTTTTGAAGGAGCAGTTTTGAAACACTCTTTTTCTGGAATCTGCAAGAGTATATTTGCCTAGCCTTGAGGATTTCGTTGGAAACGGGATTGTCTTCAGATAAAATCTAGACAGAAGCATTCTCAGAAACTTCTTTGGCATGTTTGCATTCAAGTCACAGAGTAGAACATTCCCTTTGGTAGAGGAGGTTTGAAACACTCTTTTTTTCGTATATGGAAGTGGACATTTGGAGCGCTTTCAGGCCTACGTTGGAAAAGGAAATATCTTCCCATAACAACTAGACAGAAGCATTCTCAGAAACTAGTTTCTGATGTGTGTCCTCAACTAACACAGTTGAACTTTTCTTTAGACAGAACAGTTTTGAAACACTCTTTTTGTGGAATCTGCAAGTGGATATTTGGCTAGATTTGAGGATTTCGTTGGAAACGGGATTACATATAAAAAGCAGACAGCAGCATTCTCAGAAAGTTCTTTGTGATGATTGCATTCAAGTCACAGAATTGAACATTCCCTTTCACAGAGCAGGTTTGAAACACTCTTTTTGTAGTGTGTGTAAGTGGACATTTGGAGCGCTTTCCGGCCTAAGGTGAAAAAGGAAATATCTTCCCATAAAAACTAGACAGAAGCATTCTCAGAAACTTACTCGTGATGTGTGTCCTCAACTAAAGGAGTAGAACCTTTCTATTCATAGAGAAGTTTTCAAACGCTCTTTTTGTGGAATCTCCAAGTGGATATTTGGCTAGTTTTGAGGATTTCGTTGGAAGCGGGAATTCATACAAATTGCAGACTGCAGCGTTATGAGAAACATCTTTGTGATGTTTGTATTCAGGACACAGAGATGAACATTCCCTATCATAGAGCAGGTTGGAATCACTCCTTTTGTAGTATCTGGAAGTGGACATTTGGAGCGCTTTCAGGCCTATGTTGAAAAAGGAAATATCTTCCCATAACAACTAGACACAAGCATTCTCAGAAACTTGTTTGTGATGTGTGACCTCTACTGACAGAGTTGAACCTTTCTTTTCATAGAGCAGTTTTGAAACACTCTTTTTGTAGAATCTGCAAGAGGATATTTGCATAGCTTTGAGGATTTCGTGGGAAACGGGATTGTCTTCAGGTAAAATCTAGACAGAAGCATTCTCAGAAACTTCTTTGGGATGTTTGCATTCAAGTCACAGAGTAGAACATTCCCTTTGGTAGAGCAGGTTTGAAACCCTCTTTTTGTAGTATCTGGAAGTGGACATTTGGAGCGCTTTCAGGCCCATGTTGGAAAGGGAAATATCTTCCCGTAACAACTAGGCAGAAGCATTCTCAGAAACTTATTTGAGATGTGTGTACTCAACTAAGAGAATTGAACCACCGTTTTCAAGGAGCAGTTTTGAAACACTCTTTTTCTGGAATCTGCAAGAGTATATTTGCCTAGCCTTGAGGATTTCGTTGGAAACGGGATTGTCTTCAGATAAAATCTAGACAGAAGCATTCTCAGAAACTTCTTTGGGATGTTTGCATTCAAGTCACAGAGTAGAACATTCCCTTTGGTAGAGCAGGTTTGAAACACTCTTTTTTTAGTATATGGAAGTGGACATTTGGAGCGCTTTCAGGCCTACGTTGGAAAAGGAAATATCTTCCCATAACAACTAGACAGAAGCATTCTCAGAAACTAGTTTCTGATGTGTGTCCTCAACTAACACAGTTGTACATTTCTTTAGACAGAACAGATTTGAAACACTCTTTTGGTGGAATCTGCAAGTGGCTATTTGGCTAGATTTGAGGATTTCGTTGGAAACGGGATTACATATAAAAAGCAGTCAGCAGCATTCTCAGAAAGTTCTTTGTGATGATTGCATTCAAGTCACAGAATTGAACATTCCCTTTCACAGAGTAGGTTTGAAACACTCTTTTTGTAGTGTGTGTAAGTGGACATTTGGAGCGCTATCCGGCCTAAGGTGAAAAAGGAAATATCTTCCCATAAAAACTAGACAGAAGCATTCTCAGAAACTTACTCGTGATGTGTGTCCTCAACTAAAGGAGTAGAACCTTTCTCTTCATAGAGAAGTTTTGAAACGCTCTTTTTGTGGAATCTCCAAGTGGATATTTGGCTAGTTTTGAGGATTTCGTTGGAAGCGGGAATTCATACAAATTGCAGACTGCAGCGTTCTGAGAAACATCTTTGTGATGTTTGTATTCAGGACACAGAGATGAACATTCCCTATCATAGAGCATGTTGGAATCACTCCTTTTGTAGTATCTGGAAGTGGACATTTGGAGCGCTTTCAGGCCTATGTTGAAAAAGGAAATATCTTCCCATAACAACTAGACACAAGCATTCCCAGAAACTTATTTGAGATGTGTGTACTCAACTAAGAGAATTGAACCACCGTTTTGAAGGAGCAGTTTGGAAACACTCTTTTTCTGGAATCTGCAAGTGGATATTTGGCTAGCTTTGGGGATTTCGCTGGAAGCGGGAATACATATAAAAAGCACACAGCAGCGTTCTGAGAAACTGCTTTCTGATGTTTGCATTCAAGTCAAAAGTTGAACACTCCCTTTCATAGAGCAGTCTTGAAACACCCCTTTTGTAGTATCTGGAACTGGACATTTGGAGCGCTTTCAGGGCTAAGGTGAAAAAGGAAATATCTTCCCATAAAAACTGGACAGAAGCATTCTCAGAAACTTGTTTATGCTGTATCTACTCAACTAACTAAGTTGAACCTTTCTTTTGATAGAGCAGTTTTGAAATGCTCTTTTTGTGGAATCTGCAAGTGGATATTTGGCTAGTTTTGAGGATTTCGTTGGAAGCGGGAATTCATACAAATTGCAGACTGCAGCGTTCTGAGAAACATCTTTGTGATGTTTGTATTCAGGACACAGAGTTGAACATTCCCTATCATAGAGCAGGTTGGGATCACTCCTTTTGTAGTATCTGGAAGTGGACATTTGGAGCGCTTTCAGGCCTATGTTGAAAAAGGAAAAATCTTCCCATAACAACTAGACAGAAGCATTCTCAGAAACTTGTTGGTGATGTGTTTCCTCTACTGACAGAGTTGAACCTTTCTTTTCATAGAGCAGTTTCGAAACACTCTTTTTGTAGAATCTGCAAGAGGATATTTGCATAGCTCTGAGGATTTCGTGGGAAACGGGATTGTCTTCAGGTAAAATCTAGACAGAAGCATTCTCAGAAACTTCTTCGGGATGTTTGCATTCAAGTCACAGAGTAGAACATTCCCTTTGGTAGAGCAGGTTTGAAACACTCTTTTTGTAGTATCTGGAAGTGGACATTTGTTGCGCTTTCAGGCCTATGTTGGAAACGGAAATATCTTCCCGTAACAACTAGGCAGGAGCATTCTCAGAAACTTATTTGAGATGTGTGTACTCAACTAAGAGAATTGAACCACCGTTTTGAAGGAGCAGTTTGGAAACACTCTTTTTCTGGAATCTGCAAGAGGATATTTGCCTAGCTTTGAGGATTTCGTTGGAAAAGGGATTGTCTTCAGATCAAATCTAGACAGAAGCATTCTCAGAAACTTCTTTGGGATGTTTGCATTCAAGTCACAGAGTAGAACATTCCTTTGGTAGAGCAGGTTTGAAACACTCTTTTTTTAGTATATGGAAGTGGACATTTGGAGCGCTTTCAGGCCTACGTTGGAAAAGGAAATATCTTCCCATAACAACTAGACAGAAGCATTCTCAGAAACTAGTTTCTGATGTGTGTCCTCAACTAACACAGTTGAACATTTCTTTAGACAGAACAGTTTTGAAACACTCTTTTTGTGGAATCTGCAAGTGGATATTTGGCTAGATTTGAGGATTTCGTTGGAAACGGGATTACATATAAAAAGCAGACAGCAGCATTCTCAGAAACTTCTTTGTGATGATTGCATTCAAGTCACAGAATTGAACATTCCCTTTCACAGAGCAGGTTTGAAACACTCTTTTTGTAGTGTGTGTAAGTGGACATTTGGAGCGCTTTCCGGCCTAAGGTGAACAAGGAAATATCTTCCCATAAAAACTAGACAGAAGCATTCTCAGAAACTTACTCGTGATGTGTGTCCTCAACTAAAGGAGTAGAACCTTTCTTTTCATAGAGAAGTTTTGAAACGCTCTTTTTGTGGAATCTGCAAGTGGATATTTGGCTAGTTTGGAGGATTTCGTTGGAAGCGGGAATTCATACAAATTGCAGACTGCAGCGTTCTGAGAAACATCTTTGTGATGTTTGTATTCAGGACACAGAGTTGAACATTCCCTATCATAGAGCAGGTTGGAATCACTCCTTTTGTAGTATCTGGAAGTGGACATTTGGAGCGCTTTCAGGCCTATGTTGGAAAAGGAAATATCTTCCCATAACAACTAGACAGAAGCATTCTCAGAAACTTATTTGAGATGTGTGTACTCAACTAAGAGAATTGAACCACCGTTTTGAAGGAGCAGTTTTGAAACTCTCTTTTTCTGGAATCTGCAAGTGGATATTTGGCTAGCTTTGGGGATTTCGCTGGAAGCGGGAATACATATAAAAAGCACACAGCAGCGTTCTGAGAAACTGCTTTCTGATGTTTGCATTCAAGTCAAAAGTTGAACACTCCCTTTCATAGAGCAGTCCTGAAACACCCCTTTGGTAGTATCTGGAACTGGACTTTTGGAGCGATTTCAGGGCTAAGGTGAAAAAGGAAATATCTTCCCATAAAAACTGGACAGAAGCATTCTCAGAAACTTGTTTATGCTGTATCTACTCAACTAACAAAGTTGAACCTTTCTTTTGATAGAGCAGTTTTGAAATGGTCTTTTTGTGGAATCTGCAAGTGGATATTTGGCTAGTTTTGAGGATTTCGTTGGAAGCGGGAATTCATACAAATTGCAGACTGCAGCGTTCTGAGAAACATCTTTGTGATGTTTGTATTCAGGACACAGAGTTGAACATTCCCTATCATAGAGCAGGTTGGAATCACTCCTTTTGTAGTATCTGGAAGTGGACATTTGGAGCGCTTTCAGGCCTATTTTGGAAAGGGAAATATCTTCCCGTAACAACTATGCAGAAGCATTCTCAGAAACTTGTTTGTGATGTGTGCCCTCTACTGACAGAGTTGAACCTTTCTTTTCATAGAGCAGTTTTGAAACACTCTTTTTGTAGAATCTGCAAGAGGATATTTGCATAGCTTTGAGGATTTCGTGGGAAACGGGATTGTCTTCAGGTAAAATCTAGACAGAAGCATTCTCAGAAACTTCTTTGGGATGTTTGCATTCAAGTCACAGAGTAGAACATTCCCTTTGGTAGAGCAGGTTTGAAACACTCTTTTTGTAGTATCTGGAAGTGGACATTTGGAGCGCTTTCAGGCCCATGTTGGAAAGGGAAATATCTTCCCGTAACAACTAGGCAGAAGCATTCTCAGAAACTTATTTGAGATGTGTGTACTCAACTAAGAGAATTGAACCACCGTTTTGAAGGAGCAGTTTTGAAACTCTCTTTTTCTGGAATCTGCAAGAGTATATTTGCCTAGCCTTGAGGATTTCGTTGGAAACGGGATTGTCTTCAGAGAAAATCTAGACAGAAGCATTCTCAGAAACTTCTTTGGGATGTTTGCATTCAAGTCACAGAGTAGAACATTCCCTTTGGTAGAGCAGGTTTGAAACACTCTTTTTTTAGTATATGGAAGTGGACATTTGGAGCGCTTTCAGGCCTACGTTGGAAAAGGAAATATCTTCCCATAACAACTAGACAGAAGCATTCTCAGAAACTAGTTTCTGATGTGTGTCCTCAACTAACACAGTTGAACATTTCTTTAGACAGAACAGTTTTGAAACACTCTTTTTGTGGAATCTGCAAGTGGCTATTTGGCTAGATTTGAGGATTTCGTTGGAAACGGGATTACATATAAAAAGCAGACAGCAGCATTCTCAGAAAGTTCTTTGTGATGATTGCATTCAAGTCACAGAATTGAACATTCCCTTTCACAGAGCAGGTTTGAAACACTCTTTTTGCAGTGTGTGTAAGTGGACATTTGGAGCACTTTCCGGCCTAAGGTGAAAAAGGAAATATCTTCCCATAAAAACTAGACAGAAGCACTCTCAGAAACTTACTCGTGATGTGTGTCCTCAACTAAAGGAGTAGAACCTTTCTTTTCATAGAGAAGTTTTGAAACGCTCTTTTTGTGGAATCTGCAAGTGGATATTTGGCTAGTTTGCAGGATTTCGTTGGAAGCGGGAATTCATACAAATTGCAGACTGCAGCGTTCTGAGAAACATCTTTGTGATGTTTGTATTCAGGACACAGAGTTGAACATTCCCTATCATAGAGCAGGTTGGAATCACTCCTTTTGTAGTATCTGGAAGTGGACATTTGGAGCGCTTTCAGGCCTATGTTGGAAAAGGAAATATCTTCCCATAACAACTAGACAGAAGCATTCTCAGAAACTTATTTGAGATGTGTGTACTCAACTAAGAGAATTGAACCACCGTTTTGAAGGAGCAGTTTTGAAACTCTCTTTTTCTGGAATCTGCAAGTGGATATTTGGCTAGCTTTGGGGATTTCGCTGGAAGCGGGAATACATATAAAAAGCACACAGCAGCGTTCTGAGAAACTGCTTTCTGATGTTTGCATTCAAGTCAAAAGTTGAACACTCCCTTTCATAGAGCAGTCTTGAAACACCCCTTTTGTAGTATCTGGAACTGGACTTTTGGAGCGATTTCAGGGCTAAGGTGAAAAAGGAAATATCTTCCCATAAAAACTGGACAGAAGCATTCTCAGAAACTTGTTTATGCTGTATCTACTCAACTAACAAAGTTGAACCTTTCTTTTGATAGAGCAGTTTTGAAATGGTCTTTTTGTGGAATCTGCAAGTGGATATTTGGCTAGTTTTGAGGATTTCGTTGGAAGCGGGAATTCATACAAATTGCAGACTGCAGCGTTCTGAGAAACATCTTTGTGATGTTTGTATTCAGGACACAGAGTTGAACATTCCCTATCATAGAGCAGGTTGGAATCACTCCTTTTGTAGTATCTGGAAGTGGACATTTGGAGCGCTTTCAGGCCTATTTTGGAAAGGGAAATATCTTCCCGTAACAACTATGCAGAAGCATTCTCAGAAACTTGTTTGTGATGTGTGCCCTCTACTGACAGAGTTGAACCTTTCTTTTCATAGAGCAGTTTTGAAACACTCTTTTTGTAGAATCTGCAAGAGGATATTTGCATAGCTTTGAGGATTTCGTGGGAAACGGGATTGTCTTCAGGTAAAATCTAGACAGAAGCATTCTCAGAAACTTCTTTGGGATGTTTGCATTCAAGTCACAGAGTAGAACATTCCCTTTGGTAGAGCAGGTTTGAAACACTCTTTTTGTAGTATCTGGAAGTGGACATTTGGAGCGCTTTCAGGCCCATGTTGGAAAGGGAAATATCTTCCCGTAACAACTAGGCAGAAGCATTCTCAGAAACTTATTTGAGATGTGTGTACTCAACTAAGAGAATTGAACCACCGTTTTGAAGGAGCAGTTTTGAAACACTCTTTTTCTGGAATCTGCAAGAGTATATTTGCCTAGCCTTGAGGATTTCGTTGGAAACGGGATTGTCTTCAGAGAAAATCTAGACAGAAGTATTCTCAGAAACTTCTTTGGGATGTTTGCATTCAAGTCACAGAGTAGAACATTCCCTTTGGTAGAGCAGGTTTGAAACACTCTTTTTTTAGTATCTGGAAGTGGACATTTGGAGCGCTTTCAGGCCTACGTTGGAAAAGGAAATATCTTCCCATAACAACTAGACAGAAGCATTCTCAGAAACTAGTTTCTGATGTGTGTCCTCAACTAACACAGTTGAACATTTCTTTAGACAGAACAGTTTTGAAACACTCTTTTTGTGGAATCTGCAAGTGGCTATTTGGCTAGATTTGAGGATTTCGTTGGAAACGGGATTACATATAAAAAGCAGTCAGCAGCATTCTCAGAAAGTTCTTTGTGATGATTGCATTCAAGTCACAGAATTGAACATTCCCTTTCACAGAGCAGGTTTGAAAGACTCTTTTTGTAGTGTGTGTAAGTGGACATTTGGAGCACTTACCGGCCTAAGGTGAAAAAGGAAATATCTTCCCATAAAAACTAGACAGAAGCATTCTCAGAAACTTACTCGTGATGTGTGTCCTCAACTAAAGGAGTAGAACCTTTCTTTTCATAGAGAAGTTTTGAAACGCTCTTTTTGTGGAATCTGCAAGTGGATATTTGGCTAGTTTGGAGGATTTCGTTGGAAGCGGGAATTCATACAAATTGCAGACTGCAGCGTTCTGAGAAACATCTTTGTGATGTTTGTATTCAGGACACAGAGTTGAACATTCCCTATCATAGAGCAGGTTTGAATCACTCCTTTTGTAGTATCTGGAAGTGGACATTTGGAGCGCTTTCAGGCCTATGTTGGGAAAGGAAATATCTTCCCATAACAACTAGACAGAAGCATTCTCAGAAACTTATTTGAGATGTGTGTACTCAACTAAGAGAATTGAACCACCGTTTTGAAGGAGCAGTTTTGAAACTCTCTTTTTCTGGAATCTGCAAGTGGATATTTGGCTAGCTTTGGGGATTTCGCTGGAAGCGGGAATACATATAAAAAGCACACAGCAGCGTTCTGAGAAACTGCTTTCTGATGTTTGCATTCAAGTCAAAAGTTGAACACTCCCTTTCATAGAGCAGTCTTGAAACACCCGTTTTGTAGTATCTGGAACTGGACTGTTGGAGCGATTTCAGGGCTAAGGTGAAAAAGGAAATATCTTCCCATAAAAACTGGACAGAAGCATTCTCAGAAACTTGTTTATGCTGTAACTACTCAACTAACAAAGTTGAACCTTTCTTTTGATAGAGCAGTTTTGAAATGGTCTTTTTGTGGAATCTGCAAGTGGATATTTGGCTAGTTTTGAGGATTTCGTTGGAAGCGGGAATTCATACAAATTGCAGACTGCAGCGTTCTGAGAAACATCTTTGTGATGTTTGTATTCAAGACACAGAGATGAACATTCCCTATCATAGAGCATGTTGGAATCACTCCTTTTGTAGTATCTGGAAGTGGACATTTGGAGCGCTTTCAGGCCTATGTTGAAAAAGGAAATATCTTCCCATAACAACTAGACACAAGCATTCTCAGAAACTTGTTTGTGATGTGTGCCCTCTACTGACAGAGTTGAACCTTTCTTTTCATAGAGCAGTTTTGAAACACTCTTTTTGTAGAATCCGCAAGAGGATATTTGCATAGCTTTGAGGATTTCGTGGGAAACGGGATTGTCTTCAGGTAAAATCTAGACAGAAGCATTCTCAGAAACTTCTTTGGGATGTTTGCATTCAAGTCACAGAGTAGAACATTCCCTTTGGTAGAGCAGGTTTGAAACACTCTTTTTGTAGTATCTGGAAGTGGACATTTGGAGCGCTTTCAGGCCCATGTTGGAAAGGGAAATATCTTCCCGTAACAACTAGGCAGAAACATTCTCAGTAAACTTATTTGAGATGTGTGTACTCAACTAAGAGAATTGAACCACCGTTTTGAAGGAGCAGTTTTGAAACACTCTTTTTCTGGAATCTGCAAGAGTATATTTGCCTAGCCTTGAGGATTTCGTTGGAAACGGGACTGTCTTCAGATAAAATCTAGACAGAAGCATTCTCAGAAACTTCTTTGGGATGTTTGCATTCAAGTCACAGAGTAGAACATTCCCTTCGGTAGAGCAGGTTTGAAACACTCTTTTTTTAGTATATGGAAGTGGACATTTGGAGCGCTTTCAGGCCTACGTTGGAAAAGGAAATATCTTCCCATAACAACTAGACAGAAGGATTCTCAGAAACTAGTTTCTGATGTGTGTCCTCAACTAACACAGTTGTACATTTCTTTATACAGAACAGTTTTGAAACACTCTTTTTGTGGAATCTGCAAGTGGATATTGGGCTAGATTTGAGGATTTCGTTGGAAACGGGATTACATATAAAAAGCAGACAGCAGCATTCTCAGAAAGTTCTTTGTGATGATTGCATTCAAGTCACAGAATTGAACATTCCCTTTCACAGAGCAGGTTTGAAACACTCTTTTTGTAGTGTGTGTAATTGGACATTTGGAGCGCTTTCCGGCCTAAGGTGAAAAAGGAAATATCTTCCCATAAAAACTAGACAGAAGCATTCTCAGAAACTTACTCGTGATGTGTGTCCTCAACTAAAGGAGTAGAACCTTTCTATTCATAGAGAAGTTTTGAAACGCTCTTTTTGTGGAATCTCCAAGTGGATATTTGGCTAGTTTTGAGGATTTCGTTGGAAGCGGGAATTCATACAAATTGCAGACTGCAGCGTTCTGAGAAACATCTTTGTGATGTTTGTATTCAAGACACAGAGATGAACATTCCCTCTCATAGAGCATGTTGGAATCACTCCTTTTGTAGTATCTGGAAGTGGACATTTGGAGCGCTTTCAGGCCTATGTTGAAAAAGGAAATATCTTCCCATAACAACTAGACACAAGCATTCTCAGAAACTTGTTTGTGATGTGTGCCCTCTACTGACAGAGTTGAACCTTTCTTTTCATAGAGCAGTTTTGAAACACTCTTTTTGTAGAATCTGCAAGAGGATATTTGCA
This sequence comes from Homo sapiens, assembly GCF_000001405.40. Lineage (NCBI taxonomy): Eukaryota > Metazoa > Chordata > Mammalia > Primates > Hominidae > Homo > Homo sapiens. The sequence goes on from NC_000018.10 coordinate 17,491,145, forward strand.
TAGCTTTGAGGATTTCGTGGGAAACGGGATTGTCTTCAGGTAAAATCTAGACAGAAGCATTCTCAGAAACTTCTTTGGGATGTTTGCATTCAAGTCACAGAGTAGAACATTCCCTTTGGTAGAGCAGGTTTGAAACACTCTTTTTGTAGTATCTGGAAGTGGACATTTGGAGCGCTTTCAGGCCCATGTTGGAAAGGGAAATATCTTCCCGTAACAACTAGGCAGAAGCATTCTCAGAAACTTATTTGAGATGTGTGTACTCAACTAAGAGAATTGAACCACCGTTTTGAAGGAGCAGTTTTGAAACACTCTTTTTCTGGAATCTGCAAGAGTATATTTGCCTAGCCTTGAGGATTTCGTTGGAAACGGGATTGTCTTCAGAGAAAATCTAGACAGAAGCATTCTCAGAAACTTCTTTGGGATGCTTGCATTCAAGTCACAGAGTAGAACATTCCCTTTGGTAGAGCAGGTTTGAAACACTCTTTTTGTAGTATCTGGAAGTGGACATTTGGAGCGCTTTCAGGCCTACGTTGGAAAAGGAAATATCTTCCCATAACAACTAGACAGAAGCATTCTCAGAAACTAGTTTCTGATGTGTGTCCTCAACTAACACAGTTGAACATTTCTTTAGACAGAACAGTTTTGAAACACTCTTTTTGTGGAATCTGCAAGTGGCTATCTGGCTAGATTTGAGGATTTCGTTGGAAACGGGATTACATATAAAAAGCAGTCAGCAGAATTCTCAGAAAGTTCTTTTTGATGATTGCATTCAAGTCACAGAATTGAACATTCCCTTTCACAGAGCAGGTTTGAAACACTCTTTTTGTAGTGTGTGTAAGTGGACATTTGGAGCGCTTTCCGGCCTAAGGTGAAAAAGGAAATATCTTCCCATAAAAACTAGACAGAAGCATTCTCAGAAACTTACTCGTGATGTGTGTCCTCAACTAAAGGAGTAGAACCTTTCTATTCATAGAGAAGTTTTGAAACGCTCTTTTTGTGGAATCTCCAAGTGGATATTTGGCTAGTTTTGAGGATTTCGTTGGAAGCGGGAATTCATACAAATTGCAGACTGCAGCGTTCTGAGAAACATCTTTGTGATGTTTGTATTCAGGACACAGAGATGAACATTCCCTATCATAGAGCAGGTTGGAATCACTCCTTTTGTAGTATCTGGAAGTGGACATTTGGAGCGCTTTCAGGCCTATGTTGAAAAAGGAAATATCTTCCCATAACAACTAGACACAAGCATTCTCAGAAACTTGTTTGTGATGTGTGCCCTCTACTGACAGAGTTGAACCTTTCTTTTCATAGAGCAGTTTTGAAACACTCTTTTTGTAGAATCCGCAAGAGGATATTTGCATAGCTTTGAGGATTTCGTGGGAAACGGGATTGTCTTCAGGTAAAATCTAGAAAGAAGCATTCTCAGAAACTTCTTTGGGATGTTTGCATTCAAGTCACAGAGTAGAACATTCCCTTTGGTAGAGCAGGTTTGAAACACTCTTTTTGTAGTATCTGGAAGTGGACATTTGGAGCGCTTTCAGGCCCATGTTGGAAAGGGAAATATCTTCCCGTAACAACTACGCAGAAGCATTCTCAGAAACTTATTTGAGATGTGTGTACTCAACTAAGAGAATTGAACCACCGTTTTGAAGGAGCAGTTTTGAAACACTCTTTTTCTGGAATCTGCAAGAGTATATTTGCCTAGCCTTGAGGATTTCGTTGGAAACGGGATTGTCTTCAGAGAAAATCTAGACAGAAGTATTCTCAGAAACTTCTTTGGGATGTTTGCATTCAAGTCACAGAGTAGAACATTCCCTTTGGTAGAGCAGGTTTGAAACACTCTTTTTGTAGTATCTGGAAGTGGACATTTGGAGCGCTTTCAGGCCTACGTTGGAAAAGGAAATATCTTCCCATAACAACTAGACAGAAGCATTCTCAGAAACTAGTTTCTGATGTGTGTCCTCAACTAACACAGTTGAACATTTCTTTAGACAGAACAGTTTTGAAACACTCTTTTTGTGGAATCTGCAAGTGGCTATTTGGCTAGATTTGAGGATTTCGTTGGAAACGGGATTACATATAAAAAGCAGTCAGCAGCATTCTCAGAAAGTTCTTTGTGATGATTGCATTCAAGTCACAGAATTGAACATTCCCTTTCACAGAGCAGGTTTGAAACACTCTTTTTGTAGTGTGTGTAAGTGGACATTTGGAGCACTTACCGGCCTAAGGTGAAAAAGGAAATATCTTCCCATAAAAACTAGACAGAAGCATTCTCAGAAACTTACTCGTGATGTGTGTCCTCAACTAAAGGAGTAGAACCTTTCTTTTCATAGAGAAGTTTTGAAACGCTCTTTTTGTGGAATCTGCAAGTGGATATTTGGCTAGTTTGGAGGATTTCGTTGGAAGCGGGAATTCATACAAATTGCAGACTGCAGCGTTCTGAGAAACATCTTTGTGATGTTTGTATTCAGGACACAGAGTTGAACATTCCCTATCATAGAGCAGGTTTGAATCACTCCTTTTGTAGTATCTGGAAGTGGACATTTGGAGCGCTTTCAGGCCTATGTTGGAAAAGGAAATATCTTCCCATAACAACTAGACAGAAGCATTCTCAGAAACTTATTTGAAGATGTGTGTACTCAACTAAGAGAATTGAACCACCGTTTTGAAGGAGCAGTTTTGAAACACTCTTTTTCTGGAATCTGCAAGTGGATATTTGGCTAGCTTTGGGGATTTCGCTGGAAGCGGGAATACATATAAAAAGCACACAGCAGCATTCTCAGAAACTTATTTGAGATGTGTGTACTCAACTAAGAGAATTGAACCACCGTTTTGAAGGAGCAGTTTTGAAACTCTCTTTTTCTGGAATCTGCAAGTGGATATTTGGCTAGCTTTGGGGATTTCGCTGGAAGCGGGAATACATATAAAAAGCACACAGCAGCGTTCTGAGAAACTGCTTTCTGATGTTTGCATTCAAGTCAAAAGTTGAACACTCCCTTTCATAGAGCAGTCTTGAAACACCCCTTTTGTAGTATCTGGAACTGGACTTTTGGAGCGATTTCAGGGCTAAGTTGAAAAAGGAAATATCTTCCCATAAAAACTGGACAGAAGCATTCTCAGAAACTTGGTTATGCTGTATCTACTCAACTAACAAAGTTGAACCTTTCTTTTGATAGAGCAGTTTTGAAATGGTCTTTTTGTGGAATCTGCAAGTGGATATTTGGCTAGTTTTGAGGATTTCGTTGGAAGCGGGAATTCATACAAATTGCAGACTGCAGCGTTCTGAGAAACATCTTTGTGATGTTTGTATTCAGGACACAGAGTTGAACATTCCCTATCATAGAGCAGGTTGGAATCACTCCTTTTGTAGTATCTGGAAGTGGACATTTGGAGCGCTTTCAGGCCTATTTTGGAAAGGGAAATATCTTCCCGTAACAACTATGCAGAAAGCATTCTCAGAAACTTGTTTGTGATGTGTGCCCTCTACTGACAGAGTTGAACCTTTCTTTTCATAGAGCAGTTTTGAAACACTCTTTTTGTAGAATCCGCAAGAGGATATTTGCATAGCTTTGAGGATTTCGGGGGAAACGGGATTGTCTTCAGGTAAAATCTAGACAGAGCATTCTCAGAAACTTCTTTGGGATGTTTGCATTCAAGTCACAGAGTAGAACATTCCCTTTGGTAGAGCAGGTTTGAAACACTCTTTTTGTAGTATCTGGAAGTGGACATTTGGAGCGCTTTCAGGCCCATGTTGGAAAGGGAAATATCTTCCCGTAACAACTAGGCAGAAGCATTCTCAGAAACTTATTTGAGATGTGTGTACTCAACTAAGAGAATTGAACCACCGTTTTGAAGGAGCAGTTTTGAAACACTCTTTTTCTGGAATCTGCAAGAGTATATTTGCCTAGCCTTGAGGATTTCGTTGGAAACGGGATTGTCTTCAGAGAAAATCTAGACAGAAGCATTCTCAGAAACTTCTTTGGGATGTTTGCATTCAAGTCACAGAGTAGAACATTCCCTTTGGTAGAGCAGGTTTGAAACACTCTTTTTTTAGTATATGGAAGTGGACATTTGGAGCGCTTTCAGGCCTACGTTGGAAAAGGAAATATCTTCCCATAACAACTAGACAGAAGCATTCTCAGAAACTAGTTTCTGATGTGTGTCCTCAACTAACACAGTTGAACATTTCTTTAGACAGAACAGTTTTGAAACACTCTTTTTGTGGAATCTGCAAGTGGCTATTTGGCTAGATTTGAGGATTTCGTTAGAAACGGGATTACATATAAAAAGCAGTCAGCAGCATTCTCAGAAAGTTCTTTGTGATGATTGCATTCAAGTCACAGAATTGAACATTCCCTTTCACAGAGCAGGTTTGAAACACTCTTTTTGTAGTGTGTGTAAGTGGACATTTGGAGCACTTACCGGCCTAAGGTGAAAAAGGAAATATCTTCCCATAAAAACTAGACAGAAGCATTCTCAGAAACTTACTCGTGATGTGTGTCCTCAACTAAAGGAGTAGAACCTTTCTTTTCATAGAGAAGTTTTGAAACGCTCTTTTTGTGGAATCTGCAAGTGGATATTTGGCTAGTTTGGAGGATTTCGTTGGAAGCGGGAATTCATACAAATTGCAGACTGCAGCGTTCTGAGAAACATCTTTGTGATGTTTGTATTCAGGACACAGAGTTGAACATTCCCTATCATAGAGCAGGTTTGAATCACTCCTTTTGTAGTATCTGGAAGTGGACATTTGGATTGCTTTCAGGCCTATGTTGGAAAAGGAAATATCTTCCCATAACAACTAGACAGAAGCATTCTCAGAAACTTATTTGAGATGTGTGTACTCAACTAAGAGAATTGAACCACCGTTTTGAAGGAGCAGTTTTGAAACACTCTTTTTCTGGAATCTGCAAGTGGATATTTGGCTAGCTTTGGGGATTTCGCTGGAAGCGGGAATACATATAAAAAGCACACAGCAGCGTTCTGAGAAACTGCTTTCTGATGTTTGCATTCAAGTCAAAAGTTGAACACTCCCTTTCATAGAGCAGTCTTGAAACACCCCTTTTGTAGTATCTGGAACTGGACATTTGGAGCGCTTTCAGGGCTAAGGTGAAAAAGGAAATATCTTCCCATAAAAACTGGACAGAAGCATTCTCAGAAACTTGTTTATGCTGTATCTACTCTACTAACAAAGTTGAACCTTTCTTTTGATAGAGCAGTTTTGAAATGCTCTTTTTGTGGAATCTGCAAGTGGATATTTGGCTAGTTTTGAGGATTTCGTTGGAAGCTGGAATTCATGCAAATTGCAGACTGCAGCGTTCTGAGAAACATCTTTGTGATGTTTGTATTCAGGACACAGAGTTGAACTTTCCCTATCGTAGAGCAGGTTGGAATCACTCCTTTTGCAGTATCTGGAAGTGGACATTTGGAGCGCGTTCAGGCCTATTTTGGAAAGGGAAATATCTTCCCGTAACAACTAGGCAGAAGCATTCTCAGAAACTTATTTGAGATGTGTGTACTCAACTAAGAGAATTGAACCACCGTTTTGAAGGAGCAGTTTTGAAACACTCTTTTTCTGGAATCTGCAAGAGTATATTTGCCTAGCCTTGAGGATTTCGTTGGAAACGGGATTGTCTTCAGAAAAAATCTAGACAGAAGCATTCTCAGAAACTTCTTTGGGATGTTTGCATTCAAGTCACAGAGTAGAACATTCCCTTTGGTAGAGCAGGTTTGAAACACTCTTTTTTTAGTATATGGAAGTGGACATTTTGATCGCTTTCAGGCTTACGTTGGAAAAGGAAATATCTTCCCATAACAACTAGACAGAAGCATTCTCAGAAACTAGTTTCTGATGTGTGTCCTCAACTAACACAGTTGAACATTTCTTTAGACAGAACAGTTTTGAAACACTCTTTTTGTGGAATCTGCAAGTGGCTATTTGGCTAGATTTGAGGATTTCGTTGGAAACGGGATTACATATAAAAAGCAGTCAGCAGCATTCTCAGAAAGTTCTTTGTGATGATTGCATTCAAGTCACAGAATTGAACATTCCCTTTCACAGAGCAGGTTTGAAACACTCTTTTTGTAGTGTGTGTAAGTGGACATTTGGAGCACTTACCGGCCTAAGGTGAAAAAGGAAATATCTTCCCATAAAAACTAGACAGAAGCATTCTCAGAAACTTACTCGTGATGTGTGTCCTCAACTAAAGGAGTAGAACCTTTCTTTTCATAGAGAAGTTTTGAAACGCTCTTTTTGTGGAATCTGCAAGTGGATATTTGGCTAGTTTTGAGGATTTCGTTGGAAGCGGGAATTCATACAAATTGCAGACTGCAGCGTTCTGAGAAACATCTTTGTGATGTTTGTATTCAGGACACAGAGTTGAACATTCCCTATCATAGAGCAGGTTGGAATCACTCCTTTTGTAGTATCTGGAAGTGGACATTTGGAGCGCTTTCAGGCCTATGTTGGAAAAGGAAATATCTTCCCATAACAACTAGACAGAAGCATTCTCAGAAACTTATTTGAGATGTGTGTACTCAACTAAGAGAATTGAACCACCGTTTTGAAGGAGCAGTTTTGAAACACTCTTTTTCTGGAATCTGCAAGTGGATATTTGGCTAGCTTTGGGGATTTCGCTGGAAGCGGGAATACATATAAAAAGCACACAGCAGCGTTCTGAGAAACTGCTTTCTGATGTTTGCATTCAAGTCAAAAGTTGAACACTCCCTTTCATAGAGCAGTCTTGAAACACCCCTTTTGTAGTATCGGGAACTGGACATTTGGAGCGCTTTCAGGGCTAAGGTGAAAAAGGAACTATCTTCCCATAAAAACTGGACAGAAGCATTCTCAGAAACTTGTTTATGCTGTATCTACTCAACTAACAAAGTTGAACCTTTCTTTTGATAGAGCAGTTTTGAAATGCTCTTTTTGTGGAATCTGCAAGTGGATATTTGGCTAGTTTTGAGGATTTCGTTGGAAGCGGGAATTCATACAAATTGCAGACTGCAGCGTTCTGAGAAACATCTTTGTGATGTTTGTATTCAGGACAGAGAGTTGAACATTCCCTATCATAGAGCAGGTTGGAATCACTCCTTTTGTAGTATCTGGAAGTGGACATTTGGAGCGCATTCAGGCCTATGTTGAAAAAGGAAATATCTTCCCATAACAACTAGACACAAGCATTCTCAGAAACTTGTTTGTGATGTGTGCCCTCTACTGACAGAGTTGAACCTTTCTTTTCATAGAGCAGTTTTGAAACACTCTTTTTGTAGAATCCGCAAGAGGATATTTGCATAGCTTTGAGGATTTCGTGGGAAACGGGATTGTCTTCAGGTAAAATCTAGACAGAAGCATTCTCAGAAACTTCTTTGGGATGTTTGCATTCAAGTCACAGAGTAGAACATTCCCTTTGGTAGAGCAGGTTTGAAACACTCTTTTTGTAGTATCTGGAAGTGGACATTTGGAGCGCTTTCAGGCCTATGTTGGAAAGGGAAATATCTTCCCGTAACAACTAGGCAGAAGCATTCTCAGAAACTTATTTGAGATGTGTGTACTCACCTAAGAGAATTGAACCACCGTTTTGAAGGAGCAGTTTTGAAACACTCTTTTTCTGGAATCTGCAAGAGGATATTTGCCTAGCCTTGAGGATTTCGTTGGAAACGGGATTGTCTTCAGATCAAATCTAGACAGAAGCATTCTCAGAAACTTCTTTGGGATGTTTGCATTCAAGTCACAGAGTAGAACATTCCCTTTGGTAGAGCAGGTTTGAAACACTCTTTTTTTAGTATATGGAAGTGGACATTTGGAGCGCTTTCAGGCCTACGTTGGAAAAGGAAATATCTTCCCATAACAACTAGACAGAAGCATTCTCAGAAACTAGTTTCTGATGTGTGTCCTCAACTAACACAGTTGAACATTTCTTTAGACAGAACAGTTTTGAAACACTCTTTTTGTGGAATCTGCAAGTGGCTATTTGGCTAGATTTGAGGATTTCGTTGGAAACGGGATTACATATAAAAAGCAGTCAGCAGCATTCTCAGAAAGTTCTTTGTGATGATTGCATTCAAGTCACAGAATTGAACATTCCCTTTCACAGAGCAGGTTTGAAACACTCTTTTTGTAGTGTGTGTAAGTGGACATTTGGAGCACTTACCGGCCTAAGGTGAAAAAGGAAATATCTTCCCATAAAAACTAGACAGAAGCATTCTCAGAAACTTACTCGTGATGTGTGTCCTCAACTAAAGGAGTAGAACCTTTCTTTTCATAGAGAAGTTTTGAAACGCTCTTTTTGTGGAATCTGCAAGTGGATATTTGGCTAGTTTTGAGGATTTCGTTGGAAGCGGGAATTCATACAAATTGCAGACTGCAGCGTTCTGAGAAACATCTTTGTGATGTTTGTATTCAGGACACAGAGTTGAACATTCCCTATCATAGAGCAGGTTGGAATCACTCCTTTTGTAGTATCTGGAAGTGGACATTTGGAGCGCTTTCAGGCCTATGTTGGAAAAGGAAATATCTTCCCATAACAACTAGACAGAAGCATTCTCAGAAACTTATTTGAGATGTGTGTACTCAACTAAGAGAATTGAACCACCGTTTTGAAGGAGCAGTTTTGAAACACTCTTTTTCTGGAGTCTGCAAGTGGATATTTGGCTAGCTTTGGGGATTTCGCTGGAAGCGGGAATACATATAAAAAGCACACAGCAGCGTTCTGAGAAACTGCTTTCTGATGTTTGCATTCAAGTCAAAAGTTGAACACTCCCTTTCATAGAGCAGTCCTGAAACACCCCTTTTGTAGTATCTGGAACTGGACTTTTGGAGCGATTTCAGGGCTAAGGTGAAAAAGGAAATATCTTCCCATAAAAACTGGACAGAAGCATTCTCAGAAACTTGGTTATGCTGTATCTACTCAACTAACAAAGTTGAACCTTTCTTTTGATAGAGCAGTTTTGAAATGGTCTTTTTGTGGAATCTGCAAGTGGATATTTGGCTAGTTTTGAGGATTTCGTTGGAAGCGGGAATTCATACAAATTGCAGACTGCAGCGTTCTGAGAAACATCTTTGTGATGTTTGTATTCAGGACAGAGAGTTGAACATTCCCTATCATAGAGCAGGTTGGAATCACTCCTTTTGTAGTATCTGGAAGTGGACATTTGGAGCGCTTTCAGGCCTATTTTGGAAAGGGAAATATCTTCCCGTAACAACTATGCAGAAGCATTCTCAGAAACTTGTTTGTGATGTGTGCCCTCTACTGACAGAGTTGAACCTTTCTTTTCATAGAGCAGTTTTGAAACACTCTTTTTGTAGAATCTGCAAGAGGATATTTGCATAGCTTTGAGGATTTCGTGGGAAACGGGATTGTCTTCAGGTAAAATCTAGACAGAAGAATTCTCAGAAACTTCTTTGGGATGTTTGCATTCAAGTCACAGAGTAGAACATTCCCTTTGGTAGAGCAGGTTTGAAACACTCTTTTTGTAGTATCTGGAAGTGGACATTTGGAGCGCTTTCAGGCCCATGTTGGAAAGGGAAATATCTTCCCGTAACAACTAGGCAGAAGCATTCTCAGAAACTTATTTGAGATGTGTGTACTCAACTAAGAGAATTGAACCACCGTTTTGAAGGAGCAGTTTTGAAACACTCTTTTTCTGGAATCTGCAAGAGTATATTTGCCTAGCCTTGAGGATTTCGTTGGAAACGGGATTGTCTTCAGAGAAAATCTAGACAGAAGCATTCTCAGAAACTTCTTTGGGATGTTTGCATTCAAGTCACAGAGTAGAACATTCCCTTTGGTAGAGCAGGTTTGAAACACTCTTTTTTTAGTATATGGAAGTGGACATTTGGAGCGCTTTCAGGCCTACGTTGGAAAAGGAAATATCTTCCCATAACAACTAGACAGAAGCATTCTCAGAAACTAGTTTCTGATGTGTGTCCTCAACTAACACAGTTGAACATTTCTTTAGACAGAACAGTTTTGAAACACTCTTTTTGTGGAATCTGCAAGAGGCTATTTGGCTAGATTTGAGGATTTCGTTGGAAACGGGATTACATATAAAAAGCAGTCAGCAGCATTCTCAGAAAGTTCTTTGTGATGATTGCATTCAAGTCACAGAATTGAACATTCCCTTTCACAGAGCAGGTTTGAAACACTCTTTTTGTAGTGTGTGTAAGTGGACATTTGGAGCACTTACCGGCCTAAGGTGAAAAAGGAAATATCTTCCCATAAAAACTAGACAGAAGCATTCTCAGAAACTTACTCGTGATGTGTGTCCTCAATTAAAGGAGTACAACCTTTCTTTTCATAGAGAAGTTTTGAAACGCTCTTTTTGTGGAATCTGCAAGTGGATATTTGGCTAGTTTTGAGGATTTCGTTGGAAGCGGGAATTCATACAAATTGCAGACTGCAGCGTTCTGAGAAACATCTTTGTGATGTTTGTATTCAGGACACAGAGTTGAACATTCCCTATCATAGAGCAGGTTGGAATCACTCCTTTTGTAGTATCTGGAAGTGGACATTTGGAGCGCTTTCAGGCCTATGTTGGAAAAGGAAATATCTTCCCATAACAACTAGACAGAAGCATTCTCAGAAACTTATTTGAGATGTGTGTACTCAACTAAGAGAATTGAACCACCGTTTTGAAGGAGCAGTTTTGAAACACTCTTTTTCTGGAATCTGCAAGTGGATATTTGGCTAGCTTTGGGGATTTCGCTGGAAGCGGGAATACATATAAAAAGCACACAGCAGCGTTCTGAGAAACTGCTTTCTGATGTTTGCATTCAAGTCAAAAGTTGAACACTCCCTTTCATAGAGCAGTCTTGAAACACCCCTTTTGTAGTATCTGGAACTGGACTTTTGGAGCGATTTCAGGGCTAAGGTGAAAAAGGAAATATCTTCCCATAAAAACTGGACAGAAGCATTCTCAGAAACTTGTTTATGCTGTATCTACTCAACTAACAAAGTTGAACCTTTCTTTTGATAGAGCAGTTTTGAAATGGTCTTTTTGTGGAATCTGCAAGTGGATATTTGGCTAGTTTTGAGGATTTCGTTGGAAGCGGGAATTCATACAAATTGCAGACTGCAGCGTTCTGAGAAACATCTTTGTGATGTTTGTATTCAGGACACAGAGTTGAACATTCCCTATCATAGAGCAGGTTGGAATCACTCCTTTTGTAGTATCTGGAAGTGGACATTTGGAGCGCTTTCAGGCCTATGTTGGAAAAGGAAATATCTTCCCATAAACAACTAGACAGAAGCATTCTCAGAAACTTATTTGAGATGTGTGTACTCAACTAAGAGAATTGAACCACCGTTTTGAAGGAGCAGTTTTGAAACTCTCTTTTTCTGGAATCTGCAAGTGGATATTTGGCTAGCTTTGGGGATTTCGCTGGAAGCGGGAATACATATAAAAAGCACACAGCAGCGTTCTGAGAAACTGCTTTCTGATGTTTGCATTCAAGTCAAAAGTTGAACACTCCCTTTCATAGGGCAGTCCTGAAACACCCCTTTTGTAGTATCTGGAACTGGACTTTTGGAGCGATTTCAGGGCTAAGGTGAAAAAGGAAATATCTTCCCATAAAAACTGGACAGAAGCATTCTCAGAAACTTGTTTATGCTGTATCTACTCAACTAACAAAGTTGAACCTTTCTTTTGATAGAGCAGTTTTGAAATGGTCTTTTTGTGGAATCTGCAAGTGGATATTTGGCTAGTTTTGAGGATTTCGTTGGAAGCGGGAATTCATACAAATTGCAGACTGCAGCGTTCTGAGAAACATCTTTGTGATGTTTGTATTCAGGACACAGAGTTGAACATTCCCTATCATAGAGCAGGTTGGAATCACTCCTTTTGTAGTATCTGGAAGTGGACATTTGGAGCGCTTTCAGGCCTATTTTGGAAAGGGAAATATCTTCCCGTAACAACTATGCAGAAGCATTCTCAGAAACTTGTTTGTGATGTGTGCCCTCTACTGACAGAGTTGAACCTTTCTTTTCATAGAGCAGTTTTGAAACACTCTTTTTGTAGAATCTGCAAGAGGATATTTGCATAGCTTTGAGGATTTCGTGGGAAACGGGATTGTCTTCAGGTAAAATCTAGACAGAAGCATTCTCAGAAACTTCTTTGGGATGTTTGCATTCAAGTCACAGAGTAGAACATTCCCTTTGGTAGAGCAGGTTTGAAACACTCTTTTTGTAGTATCTGGAAGTGGACATTTGGAGCGCTTTCAGGCCCATGTTGGAAAGGGAAATATCTTCCCGTAACAACTAGGCAGAAGCATTCTCAGAAACTTATTTGAGATGTGTGTACTCAACTAAGAGAATTGAACCACCGTTTTGAAGGAGCAGTTTTGAAACACTCTTTTTCTGGAATCTGCAAGAGGATATTTGCCTAGCCTTGAGGATTTCGTTGGAAACGGGATTGTCTTCAGAGAAAATCTAGACAGAAGCATTCTCAGAAACTTCTTTGGGATGCTTGCATTCAAGTCACAGAGTAGAACATTCCCTTTGGTAGAGCAGGTTTGAAACACTCTTTTTTTAGTATCTGGAAGTGGACATTTGGAGCGCTTTCAGGCCTACGTTGGAAAAGGAAATATCTTCCCATAACAACTAGACAGAAGCATTCTCAGAAACTAGTTTCTGATGTGTGTCCTCAACTAACACAGTTGAACATTTCTTTAGACAGAACAGTTTTGAAACACTCTTTTTGTGGAATCTGCAAGTGGCTATTTGGCTAGATTTGAGGATTTCGTTGGAAACGGGATTACATATAAAAAGCAGTCAGCAGCATTCTCAGAAAGTTCTTTGTGATGATTGCATTCAAGTCACAGAATTGAACATTCCCTTTCACAGAGCAGGTTTGAAACACTCTTTTTGTAGTGTGTGTAAGTGGACATTTGGAGCACTTACCGGCCTAAGGTGAAAAAGGAAATATCTTCCCATAAAAACTAGACAGAAGCATTCTCAGAAACTTACTCGTGATGTGTGTCCTCAACTAAAGGAGTAGAACCTTTCTTTTCATAGAGAAGTTTTGAAACGCTCTTTTTGTGGAATCTGCAAGTGGATATTTGGCTAGTTTTGAGGATTTCGTTGGAAGCGGGAATTCATACAAATTGCAGACTGCAGCGTTCTGAGAAACATCTTTGTGATGTTTGTATTCAGGACACAGAGTTGAACATTCCCTATCATAGAGCAGGTTTGAATCACTCCTTTTGTAGTATCTGGAAGTGGACATTTGGAGCGCTTTCAGGCCTATGTTGGACAAGGAAATATCTTCCCATAACAACTAGACAGAAGCATTCTCAGAAACTTATTTGAGATGTGTGTACTCAACTAAGAGAATTGAACCACCGTTTTGAAGGAGCAGTTTTGAAACTCTCTTTTTCTGGAATCTGCAAGTGGATATTTGGCTAGCTTTGGGGATTTCGCTGGAAGCGGGAATACATATAAAAAGCACACAGCAGCGTTCTGAGAAACTGCTTTCTGATGTTTGCATTCAAGTCAAAAGTTGAACACTCCCTTTCATAGAGCAGTCTTGAAACACCCCTTTTGTAGTATCTGGAACTGGACTTTTGGAGCGATTTCAGGGCTAAGGTGAAAAAGGAAATATCTTCCCATAAAAACTGGACAGAAGCATTCTCAGAAACTTGGTTATGCTGTATCTACTCAACTAACAAAGTTGAACCTTTCTTTTGATAGAGCAGTTTTGAAATGGTCTTTTTGTGGAATCTGCAAGTGGATATTTGGCTAGTTTTGAGGATTTCGTTGGAAGCGGGAATTCATACAAATTGCAGACTGCAGCGTTCTGAGAAACATCTTTGTGATGTTTGTATTCAGGACACAGAGTTGAACATTCCCTATCATAGAGCAGGTTGGAATCACTCCTTTTGTAGTATCTGGAAGTGGACATTTGGAGCGCTTTCAGGCCTATTTTGGAAAGGGAAATATCTTCCCGTAACAACTATGCAGAAGCATTCTCAGAAACTTGTTTGTGATGTGTGCCCTCTACTGACAGAGTTGAACCTTTCTTTTCATAGAGCAGTTTTGAAACACTCTTTTTGTAGAATCTGCAAGAGGATATTTGCATAGCTTTGAGGATTTCGTGGGAAACGGGATTGTCTTCAGGTAAAATCTAGACAGAAGCATTCTCAGAAACTTCTTTGGGATGTTTGCATTCAAGTCACAGAGTAGAACATTCCCTTTGGTAGAGCAGGTTTGAAACACTCTTTTTGTAGTATCTGGAAGTGGACATTTGGAGCGCTTTCAGGCCCATGTTGGAAAGGGAAATATCTTCCCGTAACAACTAGGCAGAAGCATTCTCAGAAACTTATTTGAGATGTGTGTACTCAACTAAGAGAATTGAACCACCGTTTTGAAGGAGCAGTTTTGAAACACTCTTTTTCTGGAATCTGCAAGAGTATATTTGCCTAGCCTTCAGGATTTCGTTGGAAACGGGATTGTCTTCAGAGAAAATCTAGACAGAAGCATTCTCAGAAACTTCTTTGGGATGCTTGCATTCAAGTCACAGAGTAGAACATTCCCTTTGGTAGAGCAGGTTTGAAACACTCTTTTTTTAGTATCTGGAAGTGGACATTTGGAGCGCTTTCAGGCCTACGTTGGAAAAGGAAATATCTTCCCATAACAACTAGACAGAAGCATTCTCAGAAACTAGTTTCTGATGTGTGTCCTCAACTAACACAGTTGAACATTTCTTTAGACAGAACAGTTTTGAAACACTCTTTTTGTGGAATCTGCAAGTGGATATTTGGCTAGATTTGAGCATTTCGTTGGAAACGGGATTACATACAAAAAGCAGACAGCGGCATTCTCAGAAAGTTCTTTGTGATGATTGCATTCAAGTCACAGAATTGAACATTCCCTTTCACAGAGCAGGTTTGAAACACTCTTTTTGTAGTGTGTGTAAGTGGACATTTGGAGCACTTACCGGCCTAAGGTGAAAAAGGAAATATCTTCCCATAAAAACTAGACAGAAGCATTCTCAGAAACTTACTCGTGATGTGTGTCCTCAACTAAAGGAGTAGAACCTTTCTTTTCATAGAGAAGTTTTGAAACGCTCTTTTTGTGGAATCTGCAAGTGGATATTTGGCTAGTTTTGAGGATTTCGTTGGAAGCGGGAATTCATACAAATTGCAGACTGCAGCGTTCTGAGAAACATCTTTGTGATGTTTGTATTCAGGACACAGAGTTGAACATTCCCTATCATAGAGCAGGTTTGAATCACTCCTTTTGTAGTATCTGGAAGTGGACATTTGGAGCGCTTTCAGGCCTATGTTGGAAAAGGAAATATCTTCCCATAACAACTAGACAGAAGCATTCTCAGAAACTTATTTGAGATGTGTGTACTCAACTAAGAGAATTGAACCACCGTTTTGAAGGAGCAGTTTTGAAACTCTCTTTTTCTGGAATCTGCAAGTGGATATTTGGCTAGCTTTGGGGATTTCGCTGGAAGCGGGAATACATATAAAAAGCACACAGCAGCGTTCTGAGAAACTGCTTTCTGATGTTTGCATTCAAGTCAAAAGTTGAACACTCCCTTTCATAGAGCAGTCTTGAAACACCCCTTTTGTAGTATCTGGAACTGGACTTTTGGAGCGATTTCAGGGCTAAGGTGAAAAAGGAAATATCTTCCCATAAAAACTGGACAGAAGCATTCTCAGAAACTTGTTTATGCTGTATCTACTCAACTAACAAAGTTGAACCTTTCTTTTGATAGAGCAGTTTTGAAATGGTCTTTTTGTGGAATCTGCAAGTGGATATTTGGCTAGTTTTGAGGATTTCGTTGGAAGCGGGAATTCATACAAATTGCAGACTGCAGCGTTCTGAGAAACATCTTTGTGATGTTTGTATTCAGGACACAGAGTTGAACATTCCCTATCATAGAGCAGGTTGGAATCACTCCTTTTGTAGTATCTGGAAGTGGACATTTGGAGCGCTTTCAGGCCTATTTTGGAAAGGGAAATATCTTCCCGTAACAACTATGCAGAAGCATTCTCAGAAACTTGTTTGTGATGTGTGCCCTCTACTGACAGAGTTGAACCTTTCTTTTCATAGAGCACTTTTGAAACACTCTTTTTGTAGAATCTGCAAGAGGATATTTGCATAGCTTTGAGGATTTCGTGGGAAACGGGATTGTCTTCAGGTAAAATCTAGACAGAAGCATTCTCAGAAACTTCTTTGGGATGTTTGCATTCAAGTCACAGAGTAGAACATTCCCTTTGGTAGAGCAGGTTTGAAACACTCTTTTTGTAGTATCTGGAAGTGGACATTTGGAGCGCTTTCAGGCCCATGTTGGAAAGGGAAATATCTTCCCGTAACAACTAGGCAGAAGCATTCTCAGAAACTTATTTGAGATGTGTGTACTCAACTAAGAGAATTGAACCACCGTTTTGAAGGAGCAGTTTTGAAACACTCTTTTTCTGGAATCTGCAAGAGTATATTTGCCTAGCCTTGAGGATTTCGTTGGAAACGGGATTGTCTTCAGAGAAAATCTAGACAGAAGCATTCTCAGAAACTTCTTTGGGATGTTTGCATTCAAGTCACAGAGTAGAACATTCCCTTTGGTAGAGCAGGTTTGAAACACTCTTTTTTTAGTATATGGAAGTGGACATTTGGAGCGCTTTCAGGCCTACGTTGGAAAAGGAAATATCTTCCCATAACAACTAGACAGAAGCATTCTCAGAAACTAGTTTCTGATGTGTGTCCTCAACTAACACAGTTGAACATTTCTTTAGACAGAACAGTTTTGAAACACTCTTTTTGTGGAATCTGCAAGTGGCTATTTGGCTAGATTTGAGGATTTCGTTGGAAACGGGATTACATATAAAAAGCAGTCAGCAGCATTCTCAGAAAGTTCTTTGTGATGATTGCATTCAAGTCACAGAATTGAACATTCCCTTTCACAGAGCAGGTTTGAAACACTCTTTTTGTAGTGTGTGTAAGTGGACATTTGGAGCACTTACCGGCCTAAGGTGAAAAAGGAAATATCTTCCCATAAAAACTAGACAGAAGCATTCTCAGAAACTTACTCGTGATGTGTGTCCTCAACTAAAGGAGTAGAACCTTTCTTTTCATAGAGAAGTTTTGAAACGCTCTTTTTGTGGAATCTGCAAGTGGATATTTGGCTAGTTTTGAGGATTTCGTTGGAAGCGGGAATTCATACAAATTGCAGACTGCAGCGTTCTGAGAAACATCTTTGTGATGTTTGTATTCAGGACACAGAGTTGAACATTCCCTATCATAGAGCAGGTTGGAATCACTCCTTTTGTAGTATCTGGAAGTGGACATTTGGAGCGCTTTCAGGCCTATGTTGGAAAAGGAAATATCTTCCCATAACAACTAGACAGAAGCATTCTCAGAAACTTATTTGAGATGTGTGTACTCAACTAAGAGAATTGAACCACCGTTTTGAAGGAGCAGTTTTGAAACACTCTTTTTCTGGAATCTGCAAGTGGATATTTGGCTAGCTTTGGGGATTTCGCTGGAAGCGGGAATACATATAAAAAGCACACAGCAGCGTTCTGAGAAACTGCTTTCTGATGTTTGCATTCAAGTCAAAAGTTGAACACTCCCTTTCATAGTGCAGTCCTGAAACACTCCTTTTGTAGTATCTGGAACTGGACTTTTGGAGCGCTTTCAGGGCTAAGGTGAAAAAGGAAATATCTTCCCATAAAAACTGGACAGAAGCATTCTCAGAAACTTGTTTATGCTGTATCTACTCAACTAACAAAGTTGAACCTTTCTTTTGATAGAGCAGTTTTGAAATGCTCTTTTTGTGGAATCTGCAAGTGGATATTTGGCTAGTTTTGAGGATTTCGCTGGAAGCGGGAATTCATACAAATTGCAGACTGCAGCGTTCTGAGAAACATCTTTGTGATGTTTGTATTCAGGACACAGAGTTGAACATTCCCTATCATAGAGCAGGTTGGAATCACTCCTTTTGTAGTATCTGGAAGTGGACATTTGGAGCGCTTTCAGGCCTATGTTGAAAAAGGAAATATCTTCCCATAACAACTAGACACAAGCATTCTCAGAAACTTATTTGAGATGTGTGTACTCAACTAAGAGAATTGAACCACCGTTTTGAAGGAGCAGTTTTGAAACTCTCTTTTTCTGGAATCTGCAAGTGGATATTTGGCTAGCTTTGGGGATTTCGCTGGAAGCGGGAATACATATAAAAAGCACACAGCAGCGTTCTGAGAAACTGCTTTCTGATGTTTGCATTCAAGTCAAAAGTTGAACACTCCCTTTCATAGAGCAGTCTTGAAACACCCCTTTTGTAGTATCTGGAACTGGACTTTTGGAGCGATTTCAGGGCTAAGGTGAAAAAGGAAATATCTTCCCATAAAAACTGGACAGAAGCATTCTCAGAAACTTGTTTATGCTGTATCTACTCAACTAACAAAGTTGAACCTTTCTTTTGATAGAGCAGTTTTGAAATGGTCTTTTTGTGGAATCTGCAAGTGGATATTTGGCTAGTTTTGAGGATTTCGTTGGAAGCGGGAATTCATACAAATTGCAGACTGCAGCGTTCTGAGAAACATCTTTGTGATGTTTGTATTCAGGACACAGAGTTGAACATTCCCTATCATAGAGCAGGTTTGAATCACTCCTTTTGTAGTATCTGGAAGTGGACATTTGGAGCGCTTTCAGGCCTATGTTGGAAAAGGAAATATCTTCCCATAACAACTAGGACAGGAGCATTCTCAGAAACTTATTTGAGATGTGTGTACTCAACTAAGAGAATTGAACCACCGTTTTGAAGGAGCAGTTTTGAAACTCTCTTTTTCTGGAATCTGCAAGTGGATATTTGGCTAGCTTTGGGGATTTCGCTGGAAGCGGGAATACATATAAAAAGCACACAGCAGCGTTCTGAGAAACTGCTTTCTGATGTTTGCATTCAAGTCAAAAGTTGAACACTCCCTTTCATAGAGCAGTCCTGAAACACCCCTTTTGTAGTATCTGGAACTGGACTTTTGGAGCGATTTCAGGGCTAAGGTGAAAAAGGAAATATCTTCCCATAAAAACTGGACAGAAGCATTCTCAGAAACTTGTTTATGCTGTATCTGCTCAACTAACAAAGTTGAACCTTTCTTTTGATAGAGCAGTTTTGAAATGCTCTTTTTGTGGAATCTGCAAGTGGATATTTGGCTAGTTTTGAGGATTTCGTTGGAAGCGGGAATTCATACAAGATGCAGACTGCAGCGTTCTGAGAAACTGCTTTCTGATGTTTGCATTCAAGTCAAAAGTTGAACACTCCCTTTCATAGAGCAGTCTTCAAACACCCCTTTTGTAGTATCTGGAACTGGACATTTGGAGCGCTTTCAGGGCTAAGGTGAAAAAGGAAATACCTTCCCATAAAAACTGGACAGAAGCATTCTCAGAAACTTATTTGAGATGTGTGTACTCAACTAAGAGAATTGAACCACCGTTTTGAAGGAGCAGTTTTGAAACTCTCTTTTTCTGGAATCTGCAAGTGGATATTTGGCTAGCTTTGGGGATTTCGCTGGAAGCGGGAATACATATAAAAAGCACACAGCAGCGTTCTGAGAAACTGCTTTCTGATGTTTGCATTCAAGTCAAAAGTTGAACACTCCCTTTCATAGAGCAGTCTTGAAACACCCCTTTTGTAGTATCTGGAACTGGACTTTTGGAGCGATTTCAGGGCTAAGGTGAAAAAGGAAATATCTTCCCATAAAAACTGGACAGAAGCATTCTCAGAAACTTGGTTATGCTGTATCTACTCAACTAACAAAGTTGAACCTTTCTTTTGATAGAGCAGTTTTGAAATGGTCTTTTTGTGGAATCTGCAAGTGGATATTTGGCTAGTTTTGAGGATTTCGTTGGAAGCGGGAATTCATACAAATTGCAGACTGCAGCGTTCTGAGAAACATCTTTGTGATGTTTGTATTCAGGACACAGAGTTGAACATTCCCTATCATAGAGCAGGTTGGAATCACTCCTTTTGTAGTATCTGGAAGTGGACATTTGGAGCGCTTTCAGGCCTATTTTGGAAAGGGAAATATCTTCCCGTAACAACTATGCAGAAGCATTCTCAGAAACTTGTTTGTGATGTGTGCCCTCTACTGACAGAGTTGAACCTTTCTTTTCATAGAGCAGTTTTGAAACACTCTTTTTGTAGAATCTGCAAGAGGATATTTGCATAGCTTTGAGGATTTCGTGGGAAACGGGATTGTCTTCAGGTAAAATCTAGACAGAAGCATTCTCAGAAACTTCTTTGGGATGTTTGCATTCAAGTCACAGAGTAGAACATTCCCTTTGGTAGAGCAGGTTTGAAACACTCTTTTTGTAGTATCTGGAAGTGGACATTTGGAGCGCTTTCAGGCCCATGTTGGAAAGGGAAATATCTTCCCGTAACAACTAGGCAGAAGCATTCTCAGAAACTTATTTGAGATGTGTGTACTCAACTAAGAGAATTGAACCACCGTTTTGAAGGAGCAGTTTTGAAACACTCTTTTTCTGGAATCTGCAAGAGTATATTTGCCTAGCCTTGAGGATTTCGTTGGAAACGGGATTGTCTTCAGAGAAAATCTAGACAGAAGCATTCTCAGAAACTTCTTTGGGATGTTTGCATTCAAGTCACAGAGTAGAACATTCCCTTTGGTAGAGCAGGTTTGAAACACTCTTTTTTTAGTATATGGAAGTGGATATTTTGATCGTTTTCAGGCCTACGTTGGAAAAGGAAATATCTTCCCATAACAACTAGACAGAAGCATTCTCAGAAACTAGTTTCTGATGTGTGTCCTCAACTAACACAGTTGAACATTTCTTTAGACAGAACAGTTTTGAAACACTCTTTTTGTGGAATCTGCAAGTGGCTATTTGGCTAGATTTGAGGATTTCGTTGGAAACGGGATTACATATAAAAAGCAGTCAGCGGCATTCTCAGAAAGTTCTTTGTGATGATTGCATTCAAGTCACAGAATTGAACATTCCCTTTCACAGAGCAGGTTTGAAACACTCTTTTTGTAGTGTGTGTAAGTGGACATTTGGAGCACTTACCGGCCTAAGGTGAAAAAGGAAATATCTTCCCATAAAAACTAGACAGAAGCATTCTCAGAAACTTACTCGTGATGTGTGTCCTCAACTAAAGGAGTAGAACCTTTCTTTTCATAGAGAAGTTTTGAAACGCTCTTTTTGTGGAATCTGCAAGTGGATATTTGGCTAGTTTTGAGGATTTCGTTGGAAGCGGGAATTCATACAAATTGCAGACTGCAGCGTTCTGAGAAACATCTTTGTGATGTTTGTATTCAGGACACAGAGTTGAACATTCCCTATCATAGAGCAGGTTTGAATCACTCCTTTTGTAGTATCTGGAAGTGGACATTTGGAGCCCTTTCAGGCCTATGTTGGAAAAGGAAATATCTTCCCATAACAACTAGACAGAAGCATTCTCAGAAACTTATTTGAGATGTGTGTACTCAACTAAGAGAATTGAACCACCGTTTTGAAGGAGCAGTTTTGAAACACTCTTTTTCTGGAATCTGCAAGTGGATATTTGGCTAGCTTTGGGGATTTCGCTGGAAGCGGGAATACATATAAAAAGCACACAGCAGCGTTCTGAGAAACTGCTTTCTGATGTTTGCATTCAAGTCAAAAGTTGAACACTCCCTTTCACAGTGCAGTCCTGAAACACTCCTTTTGTAGTATCTGGAACTGGACTTTTGGAGCGCTTTCAGGGCTAAGGTGAAAAAGGAAATATCTTCCCATAAAAACTGGACAGAAGCATTCTCAGAAACTTGTTTATGCTGTATCTACTCAACTAACAAAGTTGAACCTTTCTTTTGATAGAGCAGTTTTGAAATGCTCTTTTTGTGGAATCTGCAAGTGGATATTTGGCTAGTTTTGAGGATTTCGTTGGAAGCGGGAATTCATACAAATTGCAGACTGCAGCGTTCTCAGAAAAATCTTTGTGATGTCTGTATTCAGGACACAGAGTTGAACATTCCCTATCATAGAGCAGGTTGGAATCACTCCTTTTGTAGTATCTGGAAGTGGACATTTGGAGCGCTTTCAGGCCTATGTTGAAAAAGGAAATATCTTCCCATAACAACTAGGCAGAAGCATTCTCAGAAACTTGTTAGTGATGTGTGCCCTCTACTGACAGAGTTGAACCTTTCTTTTCATAGAGCAGTTTTGAAACACTCTTTTTGTAGAATCCGCAAGAGGATATTTGCATAGCTTTGAGGATTTCGTGGGAAACGGGATTGTCTTCAGGTAAAATCTAGACAGAAGCATTCTCAGAAACTTCTTTGGGATGTTTGCATTCAAGTCACAGAGTAGAACATTCCCTTTGGTAGAGCAGGTTTGAAACACTCTTTTTGTAGTATCTGGAAGTGGACATTTGGAGCGCTTTCAGGCCCATGTTGGAAAGGGAAATATCTTCCCGTAACAACTAGGCAGAAGCATTCTCAGAAACTTATTTGAGATGTGTGTACTCAACTAAGAGAATTGAACCACCGTTTTGAAGGAGCAGTTTTGAAACACTCTTTTTCTGGAATCTGCAAGAGTATATTTGCCTAGCCTTGAGGATTTCGTTGGAAACGGGATTGTCTTCAGAGAAAATCTAGACAGAAGCATTCTCAGAAACTTCTTTGGGATGTTTGCATTCAAGTCACAGAGTAGAACATTCCCTTTGGTAGAGCAGGTTTGAAACACTCTTTTTTTAGTATATGGAAGTGGACATTTGGATCGCTTTCAGGCCTACGTTGGAAAAGGAAATATCTTCCCATAACAACTAGACAGAAGCATTCTCAGAAACTAGTTTCTGATGTGTGTCCTCAACTAACACAGTTGAACATTTCTTTAGACAGAACAGTTTTGAAACACTCTTTTTGTGGAATCTGCAAGTGGCTATTTGGCTAGATTTGAGGATTTCGTTAGAAACGGGATTACATATAAAAAGCAGTCAGCAGCATTCTCAGAAAGTTCTTTGTGATGATTGCATTCAAGTCACAGAATTGAACATTCCCTTTCACAGAGCAGGTTTGAAAGACTCTTTTTGTAGTGTGTGTAAGTGGACATTTGGAGCACTTACCGGCCTAAGGTGAAAAAGGAAATATCTTCCCATAAAAACTAGACAGAAGCATTCTCAGAAACTTACTCGTGATGTGTGTCCTCAACTAAAGGAGTAGAACCTTTCTTTTCATAGAGAAGTTTTGAAACGCTCTTTTTGTGGAATCTGCAAGTGGATATTTGGCTAGTTTTGAGGATTTCGTTGGAAGCGGGAATTCATACAAATTGCAGACTGCAGCGTTCTGAGAAACATCTTTGTGACGTTTGTATTCAGGACACAGAGTTGAACATTCCCTATCATAGAGCAGGTTTGAATCACTCCTTTTGTAGTATCTGGAAGTGGACATTTGGAGCGCTTTCAGGCCTATGTTGGAAAAGGAAATATCTTCCCATAACAACTAGACAGAAGCATTCTCAGAAACTTATTTGAGATGTGTGTACTCAACTAAGAGAATTGAACCACCGTTTTGAAGGAGCAGTTTTGAAACTCTCTTTTTCTGGAATCTGCAAGTGGATATTTGGCTAGCTTTGGGGATTTCGCTGGAAGCGGGAATACATATAAAAAGCACACAGCAGCGTTCTGAGAAACTGCTTTCTGATGTTTGCATTCAAGTCAAAAGTTGAACACTCCCTTTCATAGAGCAGTCTTGAAACACCCGTTTTGTAGTATCTGGAACTGGACTTTTGGAGCGATTTCAGGGCTAAGGTGAAAAAGGAAATATCTTCCCATAAAAACTGGACAGAAGCATTCTCAGAAACTTGTTTATGCTGTAACTACTCAACTAACAAAGTTGAACCTTTCTTTTGATAGAGCAGTTTTGAAATGGTCTTTTTGTGGAATCTGCAAGTGGATATTTGGCTAGTTTTGAGGATTTCGTTGGAAGCGGGAATTCATACAAATTGCAGACTGCAGCGTTCTGAGAAACATCTTTGTGATGTTTGTATTCAGGACAGAGAGTTGAACATTCCCTATCATAGAGCAGGTTGGAATCACTCCTTTTGTAGTATCTGGAAGTGGACATTTGGAGCGCTTTCAGGCCTATGTTGAAAAAGGAAATATCTTCCCATAACAACTAGACACAAGCATTCTCAGAAACTTGTTTGTGATGTGTGCCCTCTACTGACAGAGTTGAACCTTTCTTTTCATAGAGCAGTTTTGAAACACTCTTTTTGTAGAATCTGCAAGAGGATATTTACATAGCTTTGAGGATTTCGTGGGAAACGGGATTGTCTTCAGGTAAAATCTAGACAGAAGCATTCTCAGAAACTTCTTTGGGATGTTTGCATTCAAGTCACAGAGTAGAACATTCCCTTTGGTAGAGCAGGTTTGAAACACTCTTTTTATAGTATCTGGAAGTGGACATTTGGAGCGCTTTCAGGCCTATGTTGGAAAGGGAAATATCTTCCCGTAACAACTAGGCAGAAGCATTCTCAGAAACTTATTGGAGATGTGTGTACTCAACTAAGAGAATTGAACCACCGTTTTGAAGGAGCAGTTTTGAAACACTCTTTTTCTGGAATCTGCAAGAGGATATTTGCCTAGCTTTGAGGATTTCGTTGGAAACGGGATTGTCTTCAGATCAAATCTAGACAGAAGCATTCTCAGAAACTTCTTTGGGATGTTTGCATTCAAGTCACAGAGTAGAACATTCCCTTTGGTAGAGCAGGTTTGAAACACTCTTTTTGTAGTATCTGGAAGTGGACATTTGGAGCGCTTTCAGGCCTACGTTGGAAAAGGAAATATCTTCCCATAACAATTAGACAGAAGCATTCTCAGAAACTAGTTTCTGATGTGTGTCCTCAACTAACACAGTTGAACATTTCTTTAGACAGAACAGTTTTGAAACTCTCTTTTTGTGGAATCTGCAAGTGGCTATTTGGCTAGATTTGAGGATTTCGTTGGAAACGGGATTACATATAAAAAGCAGACAGCAGCATTCTCAGAAAGTTCTTTGTGATGATTGCATTCAAGTCACAGAATTGAACATTCCCTTTCACAGAGCAGGTTTGAAACACTCTTTTTATAGTGTGTGTAAGTGGACATTTGGAGCACTTTCCGGCCTAAGGTGAAAAAGGAAATAACTTCCCATAAAAACTAGACAGAAGCATTCTCAGAAACTTACTCGTGATGTGTGTCCTCAACTAAAGGAGTAGAAACTTTCTTTTCATAGAGAAGTTTTGAAACGCTCTTTTTGTGGAATCTGCAAGTGGATATTTGGCTAGTTTGGAGGATTTCGTTGGAAGCGGGAATTCATACAAATTGCAGACTGCAGCTTTCTGAGAAACATCTTTGTGATGTTTGTATTCAGGACACAGAGTTGAACATTCCCTATCATAGAGCAGGTTTGAATCACTCCTTTTGTAGTATCTGGAAGTGGACATTTGGAGCGCTTTCAAGCCTATGTTGGAAAAGGAAATATCTTCCCATAACAACTAGACAGAAGCATTCTCAGAAACTTATTTGAGATGTGTGTACTCAACTAAGAGAATTGAACCACCGTTTTGAAGGAGCAGTTTTGAAACACTCTTTTTCTGGAATCTGCAAGTGGATATTTGGCTAGCTTTGGGGATTTCGCTGGAAGCGGGAATACATATAAAAAGCACACAGCAGCGTTCTGAGAAACTGCTTTCTGATGTTTGCATTCAAGTCAAAAGTTGAACACTCCCTTTCATAGTGCAGTCCTGAAACACTCCTTTTGTAGTATCTGGAACTGGACTTTTGGAGCGCTTTCAGGGCTAAGGTGAAAAAGGAAATATCTTCCCATAAAAACTGGACAGAAGCATTCTCAGAAACTTGTTTATGCTGTATCTACTCAACTAACAAAGTTGAACCTTTCTTTTGATAGAGCAGTTTTGAAATGCTCTTTTTGTGGAATCTGCAAGTGGATATTTGGCTAGTTTTGAGGATTTCGTTGGAAGCGGGAATTCATACAAATTGCAGACTGCAGCGTTCTGAGAAACATCTTTGTGATGTTTGTATTCACGACAGAGAGTTGAACATTCCCTATCATAGAGCAGGTTGGAATCACTCCTTTTGTAGTATCTGGAAGTGGACATTTGGAGCGCTTTCTGGCCTATGTTGAAAAAGGAAATATCTTCCCATAACAACTAGACACAAGCATTCTCAGAAACTTGTTTGTGATGTGTGCCCTCTACTGACAGAGTTGAACCTTTCTTTTCATAGAGCAGTTTTGAAACACTCTTTTTGTAGAATCTGCAAGAGGATATTTGCATAGCTTTGAGGATTTCGTGGGAAACGGGATTGTCTTCAGGTAAAATCTAGACAGAAGCATTCTCAGAAACTTCTTTGGGATGTTTGCATTCAAGTCACAGAGTAGAACATTCCCTTTGGTAGAGCAGGTTTGAAACACTCTTTTTTTAGTATATGGAAGTGGACATTTGGAGCGCTTTCAGGCCTACGTTGGAAAAGGAAATATCTTCCCATAACAACTAGACAGAAGCATTCTCAGAAACTAGTTTCTGATGTGTGTCCTCAACTAACACAGTTGTACATTTCTTTAGACAGAACAGTTTTGAAACACTCTTTTTGTGGAATCTGCAAGTGGATATTTGGCTAGATTTGAGGATTTCGTTGGAAACGGGATTACATATAAAAAGCAGACAGCAGCATTCTCAGAAAGTTCTTTGTGATGATTGCATTCAAGTCACAGAATTGAACATTCCCTTTCACAGAGCAGGTTTGAAACACTCTTTTTGTAGTGTGTGTAAGTGGACATTTGGAGCGCTTTCCGGCCTAAGGTGAAAAAGGAAATATCTTCCCATAAAAACTAGACAGAAGCATTCTCAGAAACTTACTCGTGATGTGTGTCCTCAACTAAAGGAGTAGAACCTTTCTATTCATAGAGAAGTTTTGAAAGGCTCTTTTTGTGGAATCTCCAAGTGGATATTTGGCTAGTTTTGAGGATTTTGTTGGAAGCGGGAATTCATACAAATTGCAGAGTGCAGCGTTCTGAGAAACATCTTTGTGATGTTTGTATTCAGGACACAGAGATGAACATTCCCTATCATAGAGCAGGTTGGAATCACTCCTTTTGTAGTATCTGGAAGTGGACATTTGGAGCGCTTTCAGGCCTATGTTGAAAAAGGAAATATCTTCCCATAACAACTAGACACAAGCATTCTCAGAAACTTGTTTGTGATGTGTGCCCTCTACTGACAGAGTTGAACCTTTCTTTTCATAGAGCAGTTTTGAAACACTCTTTTTGTAGAATCTGCAAGAGGATATTTGCATAGCTTTGAGGATTTCGTGGGAAACGGGATTGTCTTCAGGTAAAATCTAGACAGAAGCATTCTCAGAAACTTCTTTGGGATGTTTGCATTCAAGTCACAGAGTAGAACATTCCCTTTGGTAGAGCAGGTTTGAAACACTCTTTTTGTAGTATCTGGAAGTGGACATTTGGAGCGCTTTCAGGAACATGTTGGAAAGGGAAATATCTTCCCGTAACAACTAGGCAGAAGCATTCTCAGAAACATATTTGAGATGTGTGTACTCAACTAAGAGAATTGAACCACCGTTTTGAAGGAGCAGTTTTGAAACACTCTTTTTCTGGAATCTGCAAGAGTATATTTGCCTAGCCTTGAGAATTTCGTTGGAAACGGGATTGTCTTCAGATAAAATCTAGACAGAAGCATTCTCAGAAACTTCTTTGGGATGTTTGCATTCAAGTCACAGAGTAGAACATTCCCTTTGGTAGAGCAGGTTTGAAACACTCTTTTTTTAGTATATGGAAGTGGACATTTGGAGCGCTTTCAGGCCTACGTTGGAAAAGGAAATATCTTCCCATAACAACTAGACAGAAGCATTCTCAGAAACTAGTTTCTGCTGTGTGTCCTCAACTAACACAGTTGAACATTTCTATAGACAGAACAGTTTTGAAACACTCTTTTTGTGGAATCTGCAAGTGGCTATTTGGCTAGATTTGAGGATTTCGTTGGAAACGGGATTACATATAAAAAGCAGTCAGCAGCATTCTCAGAAAGTTCTTTGTGATGATTGCATTCAAGTCACAGAATTGAACATTCCCTTTCACAGAGCAGGTTTGAAACACTCTTTTTGTAGTGTGTGTAAGTGGACATTTGGAACCCTTACCGGCCTAAGGTGAAAAAGGAAATATCTTCCCATAAAAACTAGACAGAAGCATTCTCAGAAACTTACTCGTGATGTGTGCCCTCAACTAAAGGAGTAGAACCTTTCTTTTCATAGAGAAGTTTTGAAACGCTCTTTTTGTGGAATCTGCAAGTGGATATTTGGCTAGTTTTGAGGATTTCGTTGGAAGCGGGAATTCATACAAATTGCAGACTGCAGCGTTCTGAGAAACATCTTTGTGATGTTTGTATTCAGGACACAGATTTGAACATTCCCTATCATAGAGCAGGTTTGAATCACTCCTTTTGTAGTATCTGGAAGTGGACATTTGGAGCGCTTTCAGGCCTATGTTGGAAAAGGAAATATCTTCCCATAACAACTAGACAGAAGCATTCTCAGAAACTTATTTGAGATGTGTGTACTCAACTAAGAGAATTGAACCACCGTTTTGAAGGAGCAGTTTTGAAACACTCTTTTTCTGGAATCTGCAAGTGGATATTTGGCTAGCTTTGGGGATTTCGCTGGAAGCGGGAATACATATAAAAAGCACACAGCAGCGTTCTGAGAAACTGCTTTCTGATGTTTGCATTCAAGTCAAAAGTTGAACACTCCCTTTCATAGAGCAGTCTTGAAACACCCCTTTTGTAGTATCTGGAACTGGACTTTTGGAGCGATTTCAGGGCTAAGGTGAAAAAGGAAATATCTTCCCATAAAAACTGGACAGAAGCATTCTCAGAAACTTGTTTATGCTGTATCTACTCAACTAACAAAGTTGAACCTTTCTTTTGATAGAGCAGTTTTGAAATGCTCTTTTTGTGGAATCTGCAAGTGGATATTTGGCTAGTTTTGAGGATTTCGTTGGAAGCGGGAATTCATACAAATTGCAGACTGCAGCGTTCTGAGAAACATCTTTGTGATGTTTGTATTCAGGACACAGAGTTGAACATTCCCTATCATAGAGCAGGTTTGAATCACTCCTTTTGTAGTATCTGGAAGTGGACATTTGGAGCGCTTTCAGGCCTATGTTGGAAAAGGAAATATCTTCCCATAACAACTAGACAGAAGCATTCCCAGAAACTTATTTGAGATGTGTGTACTCAACTAAGAGAATTGAACCACCGTTTTGAAGGAGCAGTTTGGAAACACTCTTTTTCTGGAATCTGCAAGTGGATATTTGGCTAGCTATGGGGATTTCGCTGGAAGCGGGAATACATATAAAAAGCACACAGCAGCATTCTCAGAAACTTATTTGAGATGTGTGTACTCAACTAAGAGAATTGAACCACCGTTTTGAAGGAGCAGTTTTGAAACACTCTTTTTCTGGAATCTGCAAGTGGATATTTGGCTAGCTTTGGGGATTTCGCTGGAAGCGGGAATACATATAAAAAGCACACAGCAGCGTTCTGAGAAACTGCTTTCTGATGTTTGCATTCAAGTCAAAAGTTGAACACTCCCTTTCATAGAGCAGTCTTGAAACACCCCTTTTGTAGTATCTGGAACTGGACTTTTGGAGCGATTTCAGGGCTAAGGTGAAAAAGGAAATATCTTCCCATAAAAACTGGACAGAAGCATTCTCAGAAACTTGTTTATGCTGTATCTACTCAACTAACAAAGTTGAACCTTTCTTTTGATAGAGCAGTTTTGAAATGGTCTTTTTGTGGAATCTGCAAGTGGATATTTGGCTAGTTTTGAGGATTTCGTTGGAAGCGGGAATTCATACAAATTGCAGACTGCCAGCGTTCTGAGAAACATCTTTGTGATGTTTGTATTCAGGACACAGAGTTGAACATTCCCTATCATAGAGCAGGTTGGAATCACTCCTTTTGTAGTATCTGGAAGTGGACATTTGGAGCGCTTTCAGGCCTATGTTAAAAAAGGAAATATCTTCCCATAACAACTAGACACAGCATTCTCAGAAACTTGTTTGTGATGTGTGCCCTCTACTGACAGAGTTGAACCTTTCTTTTCATAGAGCAGTTTTGAAACACTCTTTTTGTAGAATCTGCAAGAGGATATTTGCATAGCTTTGAGGATTTCGTGGGAAACGGGATTGTCTTCAGGTAAAATCTAGACAGAAGCATTCTCAGAAACTTCTTTGGGATGTTTGCATTCAAGTCACAGAGTAGAACATTCCCTTTGGTAGAGCAGGTTTGAAACACTCTTTTTGTAGTATCTGGAAGTGGACATTTGGAGCGCTTTCAGGCCCATGTTGGAAAGGGAAATATCTTCCCGTAACAACTAGGCAGAAGCATTCTCAGAAACTTATTTGAGATGTGTGTACTCAACTAAGAGAATTGAACCACCGTTTTGAAGGAGCAGTTTTGAAACACTCTTTTTCTGGAATCTGCAAGAGTATATTTGCCTAGCCTTGAGGATTTCGTTGGAAACGGGATTGTCTTCAGAGAAAATCTAGACAGAAGCATTCTCAGAAACTTCTTTGGGATGTTTGCATTCAAGTCACAGAGTAGAACATTCCCTTTGGTAGAGCAGGTTTGAAACACTCTTTTTGTAGTATATGGAAGTGGACATTTGGATCGCTTTCAGGCCTACGTTGGAAAAGGAAATATCTTCCCATAACAACTAGACAGAAGCATTCTCAGAAACTAGTTTCTGATGTGTGTCCTCAACTAACACAGTTGTACATTTCTTTAGACAGAACAGTTTTGAAACATTCTTTTTGTGGAATCTGCAAGTGGATATTTGGCTAGATTTGAGCATTTCGTTGGAAACGGGATTACATACAAAAAGCAGACAGCGGCATTCTCAGAAAGTTCTTTGTGATGATTGCATTCAAGTCACAGAATTGAACATTCCCTTTCACAGAGCAGGTTTGAAACACTCTTTTTGTAGTGTGTGTAAGCGGACATTTGGAGCGCTTTCCGGCCTAAGGTGAAAAAGGAAATATCTTCCCATAAAAACTAGACAGAAGCATTCTCAGAAACTTACTCGTGATGTGTGTACTCAACTAAAGGAGTAGAAACTTTCTGTTCATAGAGAAGTTTTGAAACGCTCTTTTTGTGGAATCTGCAAGTGGATATTTGGCTAGTTTTGAGGATTTCGTTGGAAGCGGGAATTCATACAAATTGCAGACTGCAGCGTTCTGAGAAACATCTTTGTGATGTTTGTATTCAGGACACAGAGTTGAACATTCCCTATCATAGAGCAGGTGGGAATCACTCCTTTTGTAGTATCTGGAAGTGGACATTTGGAGCGCTTTCAGGCCTATGTTGGAAAAGGAAATATCTTCCCATAACAAATAGACAGAAGCATTCTCAGAAACTTATTTGAGATGTGTGTACTCAACTAAGAGAATTGAACCACCGTTTTGAAGGAGCAGTTTTGAAACTCTCTTTTTCTGGAATCTGCAAGTGGATATTTGGCTAGCTTTGGGGATTTCGCTGGAAGCGGGAATACATATAAAAAGCACACAGCAGCGTTCTGAGAAACTGCTTTCTGATGTTTGCATTCAAGTCAAAAGTTGAACACTCCCTTTCATAGAGCAGTCTTGAAACACCCCTTTTGTAGTATCTGGAACTGGACTTTTGGAGCGATTTCAGGGCTAAGGTGAAAAAGGAAATATCTTCCCATAAAAACTGGACAGAAGCATTCTCAGAAACTTGGTTATGCTGTATCTACTCAACTAACAAAGTTGAACCTTTCTTTTGATAGAGCAGTTTTGAAATGGTCTTTTTGTGGAATCTGCAAGTGGATATTTGGCTAGTTTTGAGGATTTCGTTGGAAGCGGGAATTCATACAAATTGCAGACTGCAGCGTTCTGAGAAACATCTTTGTGATGTTTGTATTCAGGACACAGAGTTGAACATTCCCTATCATAGAGCAGGTTGGAATCACTCCTTTTGTAGTATCTGGAAGTGGACATTTGGAGCGCTTTCAGGCCTATTTTGGAAAGGGAAATATCTTCCCGTAACAACTATGCAGAAGCATTCTCAGAAACTTGTTTGTGATGTGTGCCCTCTACTGACAGAGTTGAACCTTTCTTTTCATAGAGCAGTTTTGAAACACTCTTTTTGTAGAATCTGCAAGAGGATATTTGCATAGCTTTGAGGATTTCGTGGGAAACGGGATTGTCTTCAGGTAAAATCTAGACAGAAGCATTCTCAGAAACTTCTTTGGGATGTTTGCATTCAAGTCACAGAGTAGAACATTCCCTTTGGTAGAGCAGGTTTGAAACACTCTTTTTGTAGTATCTGGAAGTGGACATTTGGAGCGCTTTCAGGCCTATGTTGGAAAGGGAAATATCTTCCCTTTAACAACTAGGCTACAGCATTCTCAGAAACTTATTTGAGATGTGTGTACTCAACTAAGAGAATTGAACCACCGTTTTGAAGGAGCAGTTTTGAAACACTCTTTTTCTGGAATCTGCAAGAGGATATTTGCCTAGCCTTGAGGATTTCGTTGGAAACGGGATTGTCTTCAGATCAAATCTAGACAGAAGCATTCTCAGAAACTTCTTTGGGATGTTTGCATTCAAGTCACAGAGTAGAACATTCCCTTTGGTAGAGCAGGTTTGAAACACTCTTTTTTTAGTATATGGAAGTGGACATTTGGAGCGCTTTCAGGCCTACGTTGGAAAAGGAAATATCTTCCCATAACAACTAGACAGAAGCATTCTCAGAAACTAGTTTCTGATGTGTGTCCTCAACTAACACAGTTGAACATTTCTTTAGACAGAACAGTTTTGAAACACTCTTTTTGTGGAATCTGCAAGTGGCTATTTGGCTACATTTGAGGATTTCGTTGGAAACGGGATTACATATAAAAAGCAGACAGCAGCATTCTCAGAAAGTTCTTTGTGATGATTGCATTCAAGTCACAGAATTGAACATTCCCTTTCACAGAGCAGGTTTGAAACACTCTTTTTGTAGTGTGTGTAAGTGGACATTTGGAGCACTTTCCGGCCTAAGGTGAAAAAGGAAATATCTTCCCATAAAAACTAGACAGAAGCATTCTCAGAAACTTACTCGTGATGTGTGTCCTCAACTAAAGGAGTAGAACCTTCCTTTTCATAGAGAAGTTTTGAAACGCTCTTTTTGTGGAATCTGCAAGTGGATATTTGGCTAGTTTTGAGGATTTCGTTGGAAGCGGGAATTCATACAAATTGCAGACTGCAGCGTTCTGAGAAACATCTTTGTGATGTTTGTATTCAGGACACAGAGTTGAACATTCCCTATCATAGAGCAGGTTTGAATCACTCCTTTTGTAGTATCTGGAAGTGGACATTTGGAGCGCTTTCAGGCCTATGTTGGAAAAGGAAATATCTTCCCATAACAACTAGACAGAAGCATTCTCAGAAACTTATTTGAGATGTGTGTACTCAACTAAGAGAATTGAACCACCGTTTTGAAGGAGCAGTTTTGAAACACTCTTTTTCTGGAATCTGCAAGTGGATATTTGGCTAGCTTTGGGGATTTCGCTGGAAGCGGGAATACATATAAAAAGCACACAGCAGCGTTCTGAGAAACTGCTTTCTGATGTTTGCATTCAAGTCAAAAGTTGAACCCTCCCTTTCATAGTGCAGTCCTGAAACACTCCTTTTGTAGTATCTGGAACTGGACTTTTGGAGCGCTTTCAGGGCTAAGGTGAAAAAGGAAATATCTTCCCATAAAAACTGGACAGAAGCATTCTCAGAAACTTGTTTATGCTGTATCTACTCAACTAACAAAGTTGAACCTTTCTTTTGATAGAGCAGTTTTGAAATGCTCTTTTTGTGGAATCTGCAAGTGGATATTTGGCTAGTTTTGAGGATTTCGTTGGAAGCGGGAATTCATACAAATTGCAGACTGCAGCGTTCTGAGAAACATCTTTGTGATGTTTGTATTCAGGACACAGAGTTGAACATTCCCTATCATAGAGCAGGTTGGAATCACTCCTTTTGTAGTATCTGGAAGTGGACATTTGGAGCGCTTTCAGGCCTATGTTGAAAAAGGAAATATCTTCCCATAACAACTAGACACAAGCATTCTCAGAAACTTGTTTGTGATGTGTGCCCTCTACTGACAGAGTTGAACCTTTCTTTTCATAGAGCAGTTTTGAAACACTCTTTTTGTAGAATCTGCAAGAGGATATTTGCATAGCTTTGAGGATTTCGTGGGAAACGGGATTGTCTTCAGGTAAAATCTAGACAGAAGCATTCTCAGAAACTTCTTTGGGATGTTTGCATTCAAGTCACAGAGCAGAACATTCCCTTTGGTAGAGCAGGTTTGAAACACTCTTTTTGTAGTATCTGGAAGTGGAAATTTGGAGCGCTTTCAGGCCTATGTTGGAAAGGGAAATATCTTCCCGTAACAACTAGGCAGAAGCATTCTCAGAAACTTATTTGAGATGTGTGTACTCAACTAAGAGAATTGAACCACCGTTTTGAAGGAGCAGTTTTGAAACACTCTTTTTCTGGAATCTGCAAGAGGATATTTGCCTAGCCTTG
Source organism: Homo sapiens (assembly GCF_000001405.40). NCBI lineage: Eukaryota > Metazoa > Chordata > Mammalia > Primates > Hominidae > Homo > Homo sapiens. Next base: position 17,525,733 of record NC_000018.10, read on the forward strand.
AGGATTTCGTTGGAAACGGGATTGTCTTCAGATCAAATCTAGACAGAAGCATTCTCAGAAACTTCTTTGGGATGTTTGCATTCAAGTCACAGAGTAGAACATTCCCTTTGGTAGAGCAGGTTTGAAACACTCTTTTTTTAGTATATGGAAGTGGACATTTGGAGCGCTTTCAGGCCTACGTTGGAAAAGGAAATATCTTCCCATAACAACTAGACAGAAGCATTCTCAGAAACTAGTTTCTAATGTGTGTCCTCAACTAACACAGTTGAACATTTCTTTAGACAGAACAGTTTTGAAACACTCTTTTTGTGGAATCTGCAAGTGGCTATTTGGCTAGATTTGAGGATTTCGTTGGAAACGGGATTACATATAAAAAGCAGACAGCAGCATTCTCAGAAACTTCTTTGTGATGATTGCATTCAAGTCACAGAATTGAACATTCCCTTTCACAGAGCAGGTTTGAAACACTCTTTTTGTAGTGTGTGTAAGTGGACATTTGGAGCACTTTCCGGCCTAAGGTGAAAAAGGAAATATCTTCCCATAAAAACTAGACAGAAGCATTCTCAGAAACTTACTCGTGATGTGTGTCCTCAACTAAAGGAGTAGAACCTTCCTTTTCATAGAGAAGTTTTGAAACGCTCTTTTTGTGGAATCTGCAAGTGGATATTTGGCTAGTTTTGAGGATTTCGTTGGAAGCGGGAATTCATACAAATTGCAGACTGCAGCGTTCTGAGAAACATCTTTGTGATGTTTGTATTCAGGACACAGAGTTGAACATTCCCTATCATAGAGCAGGTTTGAATCACTCCTTTTGTAGTATCTGGAAGTGGACATTTGGAGCGCTTTCAGGCCTATGTTGGAAAAGGAAATATCTTCCCATAACAACTAGACAGAAGCATTCTCAGAAACTTATTTGAGATGTGTGTACTCAACTAAGAGAATTGAACCACCGTTTTGAAGGAGCAGTTTTGAAACACTCTTTCTCTGGAATCTGCAAGTGGATATTTGGCTAGCTTTGGGGATTTCGCTGGAAGCGGGAATACATATAAAAAGCACACAGCAGCGTTCTGAGAAACTGCTTTCTGATGTTTGCATTCAAGTCAAAAGTTGAACACTCCCTTTCATAGAGCAGTCCTGAAACACTCCTTTTGTAGTATCTGGAACTGGACTTTTGGAGCGCTTTCAGGGCTAAGGTGAAAAAGGAAATATCTTCCCATAAAAACTGGACAGAAGCATTCTCAGAAACTTGTTTATGCTGTATCTACTCAACTAACAAAGAAGTTGAACCTTTCTTTTGATAGAGCAGTTTTGAAATACTCTTTTTGTGGAATCTGCAAGTGGATATTTGGCTAGTTTTGAGGATTTCGTTGGAAGCGGGAATTCATACAAATTGCAGACTGCAGCGTTCTGAGAAACATCTTTGTGATGTTTGTATTCAGGACAGAGAGTTGAACATTCCCTATCATAGAGCAGGTTGGAATCACTCCTTTTGTAGTATCTGGAAGTGGACATTTGGAGCGCTTTCAGGCCTATTTTGGAAAGGGAAATATCTTCCCGTAACAACTATGCAGAAGCATTCTCAGAAACTTGTTTGTGATGTGTGCCCTCTACTGACAGAGTTGAACCTTTCTTTTCATAGAGCAGTTTTGAAACACTCTTTTTGTAGAATCTGCAAGAGGATATTTGCATAGCTTTGAGGATTTCGTGGGAAACGGGATTGTCTTCAGGTAAAATCTAGACAGAAGCATTCTCAGAAACTTCTTTGGGATGTTTGCATTCAAGTCACAGAGTAGAACATTCCCTTTGGTAGAGCAGGTTTGAAACACTCTTTTTGTAGTATCTGGAAGTGGACATTTGGAGCGCTTTCAGGCCCATGTTGGAAAGGGAAATATCTTCCCGTAACAACTAGGCAGAAGCATTCTCAGAAACTTATTTGAGATGTGTGTACTCAACTAAGAGAATTGAACCACCGTTTTGAAGGAGCAGTTTTGAAACACTCTTTTTCTGGAATCTGCAAGAGTATATTTGCCTAGCCTTGAGGATTTCGTTGGAAACGGGATTGTCTTCAGAGAAAATCTAGACAGAAGCATTCTCAGAAACTTCTTTGGGATG